>NC_000011.10:363030-666060 GCF_000001405.40 Homo sapiens | reverse complement strand
CCAGACTTTCAGGTGGTGAGCAGCAGCCGCAGTCTCTGCTCAGTGTTCTCGGTCTTCAGCCGTCCATTTCTGCTGAGTCTTCCCCACATGCTGTGTCATCAGCTCAGGGTCAAACAAGGACGTGGGGAGCGTTTATGTGCTGGATGGGAGTGTCCTCTCTCTGTGCTTGCTCCTTTCTAGGGTTTCTCCCCTCATTTTCCAGCCACTTTGTCAGCTCTGGCCAGGGTGACTGCAGCCTGCTACCACGGTGTGGCCGCCCATGTCTGGTGGCCTGGGGCTGCCTCCAGGAGAAGCCTTCCTGGCTCCATCTCCCTGCTACGTCACCTGTCCCTGCTATGTCACCTGGCTGCCTCTCTCCCCTGCTCATTTGGCAGCCAGAGTGTCTGATGCTGCTGCGTCAGCTGGGTCCCTGCCCTGAAAGGCTGGGCTTTGAATTTTATTAGTAATTTTATGTATTTCTATGAGAGAAATGTGGCATGAAATCCCTTTATCCTTAAAATCCCGTTTGGTAGACAGCCAAGCCTTTTAAAACGTTAGAAAGGGCGGCCCCTTTCTCAGCTGGAAGCAGCTGTTGCAGTGAACATCCCGTGCATCTGAAAATGTCAGGAGTTAGAAGAAATGTCAGGAAGTGTTAGAAGCGATGTGTTCCCTTTCTCTAAAGCTGTGTATCGGACGTGTCATTCATAAAGCCATTACTTGAATAGCTGAGCCAGGACTCAGAGGCTCTGAGTGTGACACCCTGTCCTCCTCCTCTCAGTGTGAATAGCTGAGCCAGGACTTAGTTAGAGTGACCGAGTGTGACACCCTGTCCTCCTCCTCTCAGTGTGAATAGCTGAGCCAGGACTTACTTAGAGTGACCGAGTGTGACACCCTGTCCTTCTCCTCTCGGTGTGAATAGCTGAGCCAGGACTTACTTAGAGTGACCGAGTGTGACACCCTGTCCTCCTCCTCTCGGTGTGAATAGCTGAGCCAGGACTCAGAGTGACCGAGTGTGACGCCCTGTCCTCCTCCTCTCGGTGTGAATAGCTGAGCCAGGACTCAGAGTGACCGAGTGTGACGCCCTGTCCTCCTCCTCTCGGTGTGAATAGCTGAGCCAGGACTCAGAGTGACCGAGTGTGACGCCCTGTCCTCCTCCTCTCGGTGTGAATAGCTGAGCCAGGACTCAGAGTGACCGAGTGTGACGCCCTGTCCTCCTCCTCTCGGTGTGAATAGCTGAGCCAGGACTCAGAGTGACCGAGTGTGACGCCCTGTCCTCCTCCTCTCGGTGTGAATAGCTGAGCCAGGACTCAGAGTGACCGAGTGTGACGCCCTGTCCTCCTCCTCTCGGTGTGAATAGCTGAGCCAGGACTCAGAGTGACCGAGTGTGACGCCCTGTCCTCCTCCTCTCGGTGTGAATAGCTGAGCCAGGACTCAGAGTGACCGAGTGTGACGCCCTGTCCTCCTCCTCTCGGTGTGAATAGCTGAGCCAGGACTCAGAGTGACCGAGTGTGACGCCCTGTCCTCCTCCTCTCGGTGTGAATAGCTGAGCCAGGACTCAGAGTGACCGAGTGTGACGCCCTGTCCTCCTCCTCTCGGTGTGAATAGCTGAGCCAGGACTCAGAGTGACCGAGTGTGACGCCCTGTCCTCCTCCTCTCGGTGTGAATAGCTGGAGTCAGGACTTAGAGGCTCCGAATGTGATACCGTTTCTGTCTTCCTCCTCTCAGTGCCATGGCTTGGGGTGGATACTGCTTCACACTCCTTCAGGGTGGCCCAGACACAGTAGGTTTCATTTTCCTTTTTTTTTTTCTTTTCTCTGGTGGCTACAAAAGTGAACTTTTTTTCTTTTTTTTCTTTTTCTTTTTTTCTTGAGACAGAGTTTCGCTCTTGTTGCCCAGGCTGGAGTGCAATGGCGTGATCTCGGCTCACCGCAACCTCTGCCTCCTGGGTTCAAGGGATTCTTCTGCCTCAGCCTCCTGAGTAGCTGGGAATACAGGCATGTGCCACCACGCCTGGCTAATTTTTGTATTTTTAGTAGAGATGGGGTTTCTTCATGTTGGTCAGGCTGGTCTTGAACTCCCAGCCTCACGTGATCCGCCCACCTCAGCCTCCCAAAGAGCTGGGATTATAGGCGGGAGCCATGGCACTCGGCCCTATTTTGTCCGTTTTCTTGAGACATCTTAAATGAACATATAGCTTCAGGAAGCCATGGTAGCAGACAGGACCACAGTGCTTTCCGTGATGTGGCCGTCTCCTAGAGTCCAGCAGACCGGACCTTCGCAAGAAAAACTGCTGAGGAGATGGAGAAGGAAAGGCCAAAAGCCTGGTATTCACTCCAGAGGCAGTCGCTGAGGAGATGGAGGAAGGGTCAAAAGCCTGATATTCACTTCAGAGGCAGTCGCTGAGGAGTTGGAGGAGGAAAGGCCAAAAGCCTGATTTATCAGTCCAGAGGCAGTCGCTGAGGAGATGGAGGAGGAAAGGCCAAAAGCTTCGTATTCATTCCACAGGCAGTTGCTGAGGCGATTTGAGGAGGAAAGGCCAAAAGCCTGGTATTCACACCAGAGGCAGTTGCTGAGGAGATGGAGGAGGAAAGGCCAAAAGCCTGGTATTGACTCCAGAGGCAGTCTTTTGTTGTTGTTGTTGAGTCTCACTCTGTCACCCAGGCTGGAGTGCAGTGGCAGAATCTCGGCTCACTGCAACCTCCGCCTCCCGGGTGCAAGCGATTGTCCTGCTTCAGTCTCCCGAGTGGCTGGAATTACAGGCACGCGCCACCACGTCTGGCTAATTTTTGTATTTTTAGTTGAGATGGAGTTTCGCCGTTATTAGCCAGGCTGGTTTTGAACTCCTGCGTTCAGGTGATCCACCCTCCTTGGCCTCCCAAAGTGCTGGGATTACAGACGTAAGCCACCATGCTCAACTAGGTTTTGTGTTTTTTATAGAGACAGCATCTTGTTTTGTTGCCGAGGCTGGTCCTGAACACGTGGTCTCAAGATATTCGCCCAGTCAGCCTCCCAGAGTGCTGGGACTCTAGGCGTGAGCCCCTGCTTCTGGCCCCCAGGCCAGTAGTAAAAAGCCAAATATCATCCCTTTCAGAGCATCAGGACAGCGGTTGTGCTCAGGGAGGCTGGGAATGGGCATCGTGCCCTCTGGGGGTGCGGCAGGGTCAGTTGGCTGGAGGATATTCATGGTGCTGCTGCCCCCTGCTGCCGTGCTGAGGGCTGACATGGTGAACAGTCATGGGCACTTGCAGACGTGGTTGTGCCCAGTGCTGTGTGCATGCAGCCGTTCCAGCAAAGGTGGTGGTCACTTGGACCATTGTGGTGCCATCATGGTACAGCACCCAGGCAGGAGCAAGGCCGTTGTGTTCTGGTGAGATGATGGTTCTGAATTAGATGTGGAGATTTCTTTGAGATCAGCTCCACAGGTATCTTACGAGGGCTCGGGGGTGAGGCTCAGAAGTCCTACAAGGAGGGGCCTCAACCTGTGTCCCTTCACCTGCAGCAACAGCAACGCGGAGCAACCTCCAGGAGCCTGGGGGGCGCCTGGGCTGGGCGGGAGTCGGAGGTCGGCGAGGGGAGGAAGGTGGTCGCATGTTGGCGTCCTCCTGCCCTGTAGGAAGTACTGAATGGTTCCCCACAACAGTAGGATGAAAATGAGTTTCTGTTCCCTGATCCCACGCCACTGCAGAATGGGAGGAAGGCTTTATGCCGGGGTGTCCAATCTTTTCTCTTCCCTGGGCCACACTGCAAGAAGAGGAATTGGGCCACACATTAAAAATCTCATAATTTTTTTTTGTTTTATGAGACGGAATCTTGCTCTGTTGCCCAGGCTGGAGTGCAGTGGCGCGATCTCAGCTCACCACACACAACCTCTGCCTCCCGGGATCAAGCGATTCTCTTGCTTCAGCCTCTCGAGTAGCTGGGATTACAGGTGCGCACTACTGCGCCCAGCTAGTTTTTGTATTTTGCCATGTTGGCCAGGCTGGTCTTGAACTCCTGACCTCAGGTGATCCGCCCACCTCGGCCTCTCAAAGTGTTGGGATTATAGGCATGAGCCACCGCGCCCGGCCCATAATGTTTTAAGAAAGTTTACGAATGTGTGTTGGGCCTCATGCAAAGCCATCCTGGGCTGCATGCAGCCCGCGGGCTGTGGGTTGGACAAGCTTGCTTTGTGCCATTAAATTGTTATTTGTAATTAGTGCTGGAAAGTCAGGGTTTGAGAGGCAGACACTGCTGTCTCTGAATGGAAAGGTCCACGTGTGGGAATGAGGAAGCCTTGCTCATGAGCACCCTGACAGAGCACCCATGCCTCCAGCAGTGGGAGGGCAGGCGTGACGCTGCCGATTCCACATTGTATCTGGAATGTTTGTTTTGGAGATGGAGTTTCGCTCTTGTTGCCCAGGCTGGAGTGCAGTGGTGCGATCTCAGCTCACTGCAACCTGTGCCTCCCAGGTTCAAGCGATTCTTCTGCCTCAGCCTCCCGAGTAGCTGGGGTTACAGGCGCTTGCCACCACGCCTGGCTAATTTTTGTATTTTTAGTAGACGCGGTATTTCACCATGTTGGCCAGGCTGGTGTTGAACCCCTGACCTCCGGTGATCCACCTGTCTCGGCCTTCCAAAGTGCTGGGATTACAGGCATGAGCCTCGGTGCCTGGCCTTTTATCTGGAATTTAAAAAAAAAAAAAATCAAATGTAGCCCAGCTGAAGCTATTAAGGGGATTGTTGCCAGCTTTAACCATGGGAAATCTGCATTCGTGTGTATGTAATGAGCTCTGCAGAGATTCAACAAGGCAGAAAAGCAGATGCCCTTGGCTGTCAAGGGCACAGTGTCCAGTGGAAGCCAGCCGAGTGGCTGCAGGGTCTTGGACTCACTGCCCTGGCCCCGGCTTGTTGTTGGCCATGCTGCCCTGAGCGCAAACCCCATTCCTCTAGCCTGTCCCCGTTTCTAGTAGCTCGCTCTCAGGCTTTCTCCAGTCTCCCTAACTTCCTTTTAAAGTGTTAAATATAGTACAGCACAGAAGGGTATGAAAGGGAGAAGAATACGTAAGTTGGACAGTAACAATGTCCTTGACTCCTAGGAAGCTCAGAAATAGGTCTGTGCTGTGCCTGGATGGTGCCTCCGTGCCTGGGGATCTGGAAGGGTGGAGACAGACCCCAGAGCAGCCGCTTCCCTGCGGGGGCCTCTCCCAACACCGTAAGGCCGCGGGTGCCTCAAGCAGCGCCGAGAGGGGCTTGTGTTTCAGTGACATTTCCTTGAAGTCCAGGTATGGGGTTTCTGTAAATGAAGGCTTTTGCCTGCCTTGTTCTCCAGTGTCAGCCTAACACTCACGTGAGCCAAATAGGCCCGGCCAGACCCAAGACAGCTCAGTCACCTGTTCCGCATCAAACATCAGATTCCAGAGCCGGACTGGACCAACGTCCTGCCGTGGCCCAGTGAGCGAGGGTTGCTGGCGTCTTTGGGATACTCGGGAGCAGCCCGCCATCCCCGTGTCCCCAGGGAACTCTTCAGAGCACCCCCCAGCAGCGTGGAAGCCCCCGGAAATGCAGGCTTGGAGTCCCCCGAGGGAGCCAGGGGTGTTGTGGTGGGAGGGGCGGCCAGGTGCCCGGGACGGGGTGAGGCGGCGCCGGCGGGGCAGCCTGGGAAAAGCACAGAGGTGGCTTTGCAGTCCCACTTCAGGGGGACCCTGCCTGACCTGGGATGAGGTGTGTGGGCTTTCTGGGGCAGGGGCGGGGACAGGTTGTAAATCTGAATTTGTCTGATGCTTCCTCAGAGATCTGTATCATGGTCATTTCATAGAAACGGCAAACTCTGTCCCAGCTCAAAAAGATGCTATTAGACTAATCCTTTGATCTCTTTACGTGTGCGGCTCAGCTTTCAGATAAACCTGCTTGATGTTTTGAGGGTTTTCTCTTATTTCCGTTGCTTCCTCGAGGGAGAGTAATCCAGTCTAATTTGCATTTCTCTTACTTTTAAGCTGAGCTGCTGCGCCCTCACGGGACACAGTCATGGGGAGCCCTCTGCCCCATGGTGGGCATTGGTGAAGCCACAGTGGTCCCGGGGGCAGACCTCAAGGGTGCACAGCAGCAGCCCCTTGGGCCCTGCCTGCCCAAGCCCCACCTGGCCCCACCTGCCCTGTGTTGGGGACTTTGTATTTCAGCCTCCATGCAGGGTGACGCTGGGACTCCCCAGCTTCCGGTTCACGGCTTCAGGGTCCAGCAGGTTCTCCTGAAGCCCCATCTACCGCTGGCTTCCTGCTCACTCTCCCCTCTCCCGCTCTGTCTCTCCAGAGGAGGCCGGGCCTGTGGAATTAGGCGGCTGCTTCACCTGAACTCACTGCAGTGCCGGGAAAGGAGCCTCTGGAACTAGACCCAGGAGCGGATCTGCAAAGGCTACTCAGGGTTCTCCCAGCGGCTCTGAACCCCGAGGCCAACTCGCCCTCCAATCACCTGGCCCCTGAAGCAGGCGGAGGCCCCTGTGCACAGTGGGCCTGTGGCCCCATTTGGTTCAGGAGTGATGGTGACACGGAGTTGGCTCCATCGAGGCTCCTGGCAGCATTACATCCTCTAAGAATAAGTCATAAAGAAAGCACTCCTTGTAAGATACACGATCCACCAGGCTGCCTCCAACCACAGCCTCATCTCCATCCGGGGTGTGTCTAGGTTTTCTTTTTTATTATTATTTTTTATCATTTGAGACATGTTCTCCCTCTGTCACCCAGGCTGGAGTGCACTGGTGTGACCTCAGCTCACTGCAACCTCCACCTCCCAGGCTCAAGCAATCCTCCCACCTCAGCCTCTCTGGTAGCTAAGAGGTGCATGCCACCATGCCCAGCTAATTTTTTTTTTTTTTTTTTTTGTAGAGACAGGGTTTTGCCATGTCACCTAGGCTGGCCTTAAACTCTTGGGCTCAAGCGATGCTCCCGCCTCGGCCTCCCAAAGTGCTGGGATTACAGGTGTAGCCACCATGCCTGGCCAGTATCTAGGTTTTCAAGTTAGACTTAGTTTTATTTGCAGAAAGAATAATGAATACATTATTAACTTATTCTTTGATAGTTAGAAATTAATAGGCATTTTATATGTGATCTTATGGTCTTACTCTTGGTTGGCTGTTTCTGAAGGAGTGGCTTTGTTATCTGTAATTTGTCTAATTTAAAAATCAATTATAATGAAACCAGCATATGTGATTCACAAGGCTTTTTTCCACCTGGACCAGAGTACACCAGCTATTGCATTGCCAAAAGTAGGTGTGTTCCTGTTGTGTGATGTGCAGATGGGGGGCCCCTGCAGCAGGGAAGGCAGGCCAGGAAACCCCTTCGCAGTCTCTGCTGAGGGGCTGGACCCGCTGCTTGGGCGGGACTCCCCGCAGGGTGCTCTGCTGCAGTCTCCTCCTCTGCCCGCCTGCGGCCCAGAGAACTCTGAATGCTAATGGCAATGCCAGCTGCTTGGCAGCATGAGCTTCTTGGGGCGCCTGGGCAGGCCTGGGCACTTCTGCCCTTTGTGCCATCCGCAGTCCTGTGATTTCCTGACAGTTTCCTGAAAGCGCAGAATGGGACTTGTCGATGTCCTTGGCTGCGGAAACGCGGTGTCTTGTCCTAACCTTCTGCAACGCACACACACCTCTTCCGCAGTAATGAATGGTTTTTTGTTTTTGTTTTTGAGACAGAGTCTAGCTCTGTCACCCAGGCTGGAGTGCAGTGGCGCGTTCTCGGCTCACTGCAAGCTCCACCTCCTGGGTTCATGCCATTCTCCTGCCTTAGCCTCGCGAGTAGCCGGGAGTACAGGCACCCGCCAACACGCCTGGCTAATTTTTTTGTATTTTTAGTAGAGACAGGGTTTCACCGTGTTAGCCAGGATGGTCTCGATCTCCTGACCTCGTGATCCGCCTGCCTCAGCCTCCCAAAGTGCTGGGATTACAGGCGTGAGCCACCGTGCCCGGCTAATGAATGGTTATTTTAAAAAATAAACGTATTTCGGGATAATTTTAGGTTTACAGAAAAGTTGCAAAGTGAGCGCAGAGGGTCCCTTCTGCCACTCCGCAGCCTCCCCTCTGTAACTTCAAAGCCCACAGGGCATGGCTGTTGTAGCTGAGAAACCGTCGCTGGGTGTCCCTGTGAACTCCGGACTTTGAATTTCACTATCAATGTCCTGTTTCTGCTCTAGGACCTTGTCCCCGCTGCCACCTGTGGGAGACAGCCTCCCGTGCACCATTTGCCCAGCACCCTCAGGCCTGTGACGGTCTCTCAGTCTTTCCTTGTCTTCCATGCCCTGCAGTTCTGAGAGGGCCTGGCCAGGCAGTTTGTCCAGGTGCCCCGATCCAGGCTTGTCTTGTGCTTTCTCGTGGGGGTGGACGACAGGTTTCAGGGAGGGGTGCTGCCGCCTGTCTCACCCCACTGTGGCGTCCCTGACATCCAAGTGACATTACAGACAGCTCTGACCTTCCTCACCAGAGTCAGGTGTCTGTAGGTGTCTCCTTGGTGACAGGACTGCTTCTCCCTTTGCACATTTAGTCAGGCAGCAAGTCCACGGCCGTGGGGGGGCTTCTCCTAGACGGGAGGATCTGGAATAGCTTGGACTTGTATTTATTTATTTGATCATTTGTTTGTATCCGGATGGGCTCATTTTATATGTGTTTTAAACTCTGAGCTAGAAGGCAACACTACTTTCTTGTGAAGCACACCATCTGTCCTTGGCCCTAGGGAGCTCCTGCCGTCGGCTCCTGGGTCCCCTGATGCACCCCTTTCAACAGACTTTTCATTTTGGGGTACGTCCTGACTTCCTGGCACTGCAGGGTGCTCCAGCCTCCTCTTGCATTCCCTGCCCTGGCCCGGGAATCAGCCCCTTCTCCAAGGAGCCCCGGGTCCTTTTATTGGCAAGTCTTAAGAGAGTGAGGCCTGGGTGCCAGGCAGGGAGCCCCAGGTCCTTTTATTGGGAAGTCTTAGAGAGTGAGGCCTGGGTGCCAGGTGGGTGCCAGGTGGGTCCGGTGCTGCTGGGATGTTGTCACGTGGAGGCCCTCAGCTGCAGAGCAGGGACGAGGGTGTCACCTGTTCAGCTGCAGAGCAGGGATGAGGGTGTCACCTGTGTGTATGAACATCTCCGCAGCCACTTCTGTATCTGTGAAGAGAACATGAGTTCATGCTACTGCCTCTGACTCTAATTCAGACCCCAAAGCTCCTTCTAACCTTCCTAGAACGTTATTTTTCAGTTTAAAAAAAAAAAAAAGTTTTGCAAAGGGCATACCGCGAAAGGCCCAAGTGGTTGAAAGTCCCAGCTGAGGCTGAAGAGGCGCCTGCGAGGCAACAGGACAGGCTTCCCGTTCAGTTCAGGGGTGCTGTCCTCCAGGAACTATGCTGGGGGGCAAGTACAGGACGTCCTGGTGTGTGGTGCACAGGGACTGCTGGACACGGAGACCCGTGCCCTTCTCAGCGTGGGGGCCGCTCCCCGGGACAGTGACCACGCTCCCGCCAGCCTCCCACCCCACCTGACCTCTGTCTGTGAGGGGCTGGACCAGGGTCCTGCCTGGCCCGGCCATCCACAGAGCAACCCAGAATGTTAATAAAGCCTGCAGAAGCTGTGTTCTCCTTCGAGAAGCTTCTCTGTGGTTACAGACTTTTTAAGAAATATTTTGTCGGCTGGGCTTGGTGGCTCATGCCTGTAATCCCAGCATTTTGGGAGGCCAAGGCAGGCGGATCACCTGAGGTCAGGAGTTTCCGAGACCAGCCTGGCCAACAGGGCAAAACCCCGTCTCTACTAAAAATACAAAAATTAGCCAGGCATGGTGGCAAGCGCCTATAATCCCAGCTACTTGAGAGGCTAAGGTGGAAGCATTGCTCGAATCTGGAAGGTGGTGGTTGCAATGAGCTGAGATCGTGCCACTGCACTCCAGGCTGGGCGACAGAGCGAGACTCCATCTCAAAAAAAAAAAAAAAGTTTGTCATTTAAAGTAGAGGCACAGGCCAGGCGCGGTGGCTCATGCCTGTAATCCCAGCACTTTGGGGGGCCGACTCAGGTGGATCATTTGAGGTCAGGAGCTCGAGACCAGCCTGACCAATATGGTGAAACCCCATCTGTACTAAAAATACAAAAAAATTAGCCAGGCGTGGTGGTCCGTGCCTGTAGTCCCAGCTGTGGGGAGGCTGAGGCACAAGAATCACTTAAACCCAGGAGGTGGAGGTTGCAGTGAGCCGAGATTGCGCCACTACACTCCAGCCTGGGCGACAGAGTGAGACTCCATCTCAAAAAAATAATAATAATAATAAATAAATAAAGTAGAGGCAGGGGGCAACCTAAATTAGCACCAAAATTCCTCCTAATGCTCCTGTTTTCTGAAGTGAGTGACTGAATGTCGGAGCTCTGAATGTCTTACAACTGGAAAAATGTTAAAGATCACGTTTGCGAAGGAGGGAGGCAAGCATCAGAACAGAACCTCGGAGCAGGTCTGCACGCGTGCAGGGGCCGTGGGGCCGCGCTGGAGTCGTTTCCTGTGCTGCTCTGTGCTGCTCACAGACGCTGCCACTCACCCACTGGCCACGGCCCCTCCCGCAGCTGCGGATGATCTGGGCGCATAGCGGGCGTGCAGGTCGCGGCGCCAAGGCCTCTCCTAGGCCCAGTGGTCTTCTCCGTCTCAGAGAGCATTGACGGCGGAGCTCACAACTGTCAAGCACCTTAGTCATGCCGCAAACATTAATCATTGACAGCATGTTGACCTATGCGCTGATTAAAAAGAAAAGCTCCAATAATGTAATTCCAGGAGAAAGTACACAAACCTCTGGTGGCATCTTTTCAATCCACCACAGAAACCAGCTCAGGTGGGGCCGTGGGGGTGTTGGCTGGGGCACCGCCGCAGCAGTTTGGGACACATGCCTGCCACGGTGCGCCCAGGCTGATGCCCACAGCCCTGCTCAGGAGTGTTGGGAGCGGTGGACTCCTGAGTTTGATTTTCTGTGCTGGCCTGGCTGGAGTGAAGCTCCTTGGAGTTTGGAGAAAGATTTCCATGCTGATTTCCCTTTGTTTTTGTTTGTTTGTTTGTTTGTTTGTTTTGGAGACAGTCTTGCTCTGTCGCCCAGGCTGGAGTGCAATGGTACAATCTCGGGGTTTCACCGTGTTAGCCAGGATGGTCTCGATCTCCTAACTTCGTGATCCGCCCACCTCAGCCTCCTAAAGTGCTGGGATTACAGGCATGAGCCACTGCATCCGGCCCTGATTTCCCTTTTTTTTTGAGATGGGAGTCTCGCTCTGTCACCCAGGCTGGAGTGCAGTAGTGCAATCTCGGTTCACTGCAACCTCCGCCTCCTGGGTGCAAGCTATTCTCCCACCTCAGCCTCCCAGGTAGCTGGGATTACAGGTGGCCACCACCACACCCAGCTAATTTTTGTATTTTTAGTAGAGACTGGGTTTCGCAACGTTGCCTGTGCTGAACTCCTGACCTCAGGTGATCCACCCGCCTCGGCTGCCCAAAGTCCTGGGATTACAGGTATGAGCCGCTGCTCCCGGCCCATACTGGTCTTCCAGTGAATGAATGTAGGGGGCAAACTGCACTGAGGCCAGGAAAGAGCTGATTCTGGAGGTGACAAGAACGTTCTGAGCAGCACTGGGGCAGAGGCGCAGTCAAGAGTCCAATGGGAGCTGGGCGCAGTGGCTCACGCCTGTAATCCCAGCACTTTGGGAGGCCGAGGCAGGTGGATCACGAGGTCAGAGGTTCAAGACCAGCCTGACCAACATGGTGAAACCCTGTCTCTACTAAAAATACACAAATTAGCTGGGCGTGGTGTCAGGCACCTATCATCCCAGACTCAGGAGGCTGAGACAGGAGAATTGCTTGAACCCAGGAGGCGGAAGTTGCAGTGAGCTGAGATCGCACCACGGCACTCCAGCCTGGGCGACAGAGTGAGACTCCATCTCAAAAAAAAAAAAAAAAAAAAAGGGGGTCCAATGGGGGGAACTTGGGGCCTCCTGCCTGCACCTGCCTCTGTCCCCGGTGTCTCAGGGGCTCTCCACGGCCACGTCACTGACTGGCCTGTTGTGTCCTTCTTGCAGCAGTCCTGCGTTAACTGCGGCCGGGAGGCTATGAGCGAGTGCACCGGCTGCCACAAGGTCAACTACTGCTCCACCTTCTGCCAACGCAAGGTAGGTCTCACCTACACCAGGCTCAGTGCCCCCGCCTCCTCCCTCGCTACGAAGACCCCTGGGTGGCCCTCCCTCCCCTTGTGCTCCTGGTGCCACACCTGACTCCCCTCCCTGTCCCTCCCTCTGGGAATCCGGGGCTCCTGCCTGGCTCCGTGAAGACCCTGCAGAAGGCTCACATGTGACATGGCCAGGTAGTGCTCTCATGTGAGGCCCCACAGTTGGTGGCCGGAAACCCTGAGGGCTGCTGGTCAGTGCTTCCCAGCCCTCCACACCCCTGCACAGCCACGCAAGAGAGACTGTCCACAGTTCCATTATTGAGCCCTCCACACCCCTGCAGAGCCACGTGAGAGAGACTGTCCACAGTTCCTCTATTATTCAGCCCTCCACACCCCTGCAGAGCCACGCAAGAGAGACTGTCCACAGTTCCTCTATTATTGAGCCCTCCACACCCCTGCAGAGCCACGCGAGAGAGACTGTCCACAGTTCTTCTATTATTGAGCCCTCCACACCCCTGCAGAGCCACGCGAGAGAGACTGTCCACAGTTCCTCTATTATTGAGCCCTCCACACCCCTGCAGAGCCACGCGAGAGAGAGCGTCCACAGTTCCTCTATTATTGAGCCCTCCACACCCCTGCAGAGCCACGCGAGAGAGAGACTGTCCACAGTTCCTCTATTATTGAGCCCTCCACACCCCTGCAGAGCCACGCGAGAGACAGCGTCCACAGTTCCTCTATTATTCAGCCCTCCGCTCCACAGAAATTCAAGAGAAATTTTGTAGGCTACAAACGGTAGTTCAGGATTGTATAACTTTGTCTACCATAATCAGAGTACTCGGGAGCATTTAGTCACTCTTTTTTTTTTTTTTTTTTTTTTTTTTTGAGACAGAGTCTCATTCTGTCACCCAGGCTGGAGTGCAGTGGTGCGATCTTGGCTCGCTGCAACCTCTGCCTCCCGGGTTCAAGCGATTCTCCTGCCTCAGCCTCCCGAGTAGCTGGGATTACAGGCATGCGCCACCATACCTGGCTAATTTTTGTATTTTTAGTAGAGACGGGGTCTCACCACGTTGGGCAAGCTGGTCTCGAACTCCTGACCTCAGGTGATCCACCCACCTTGGCCTCCCAAAGTGCTGGGATTTAGAGGTGTGAGCTACTGTTCCCAGCAGCTTTACTAATCTTTTTGATGGTTTTTTTTTCTCATATTTATGAGAGATGCTGGTCTATATTTTGTCCTGTGATGTCTTTGTTTCATGTTGGTGTCAGAGCAACACTGGCCTTTCAGATCAATTGGGAAGTGTGCCCTTCTGCCCTCCTTCTCTATTTTCTTTTTGAGACAGTTTTGCTCTGTAGCCCAGGCTGGAGTGCAGTGGCAAGATCTCGGCTCACTGCAACCTCTGCCTCCCGGGTTCAAGTGATTCTCCTACCTCAGCCTCCCGAGTAGCTGGGATTACAGGCATGCACCTCCACCCCCGGCTAATTTTTATGTTTTTAGTAGAGACAGGGTTTCACCATGTTGCCCAGGCTGGTCTCAAACTTCTGGCCTCAAGTGATCTGCCTGCCTCGGCCTCCCAAATTGCTGGGATTGCAAGTGTGAGCCACGGCACCCAGCCTGTGTTTCATCTTTATTCAGTTCGAATATTTTATGCAGTTGAAAATATTTGCCGTGTGATTTTTTTCTGTGACCTATGAGTTATTTGGAAGTGTGTGCTGGATTCAGGAGTAGATCTAAAAAAGAAGTATGCTAATTTCAAATATTTCTGGATTTCTTAAATGTACCTTTATAATTAATTTCTACTTTAATTACATTGTGGTTCAAGAACATACTTAGTGTTTTTCAGTACCTTTAAATTTATTGAGATTTGTGTTAGGGCCTAGCGTATGGTCTTATCATGGAGAGTGTTGCTTGTATATTCTGCTCTGTTGGGTGGAGTATTAGATATCAGTTAGGTTGGTTGATAGTATTGTTCAACTCTTTCATATTCTCACTGATTTTCTCTATTTGTTCTACCCCTTATTTAGAGTGAAGTGTTGAACTCTCCAGCTATTACTGTTGAATTATCTGGTTTTTGTTTTTGTTTTTGAGACGGAGTCTCGCTCTGTCGCCCAGGCTGGAGTGTAGTGGCGCCATCTCAGCTCACCGCAAGCTCCGCCTCCCAGGTTCACGCCATTCTCCTGCCTCAGCCTCCCGAGTAGCTGGGACCACAGGCACCCGCCACCACGCCCGGCTGATTTTTTGTATTTTTAGTAGAGACAGGGTTTCACTGTGTTAGCCAGGATGGTCTCGATCTCCTGACCTTGTGATCTGCCCTCCTCAGTCTCCTTTCAAAGTGCTGGGATTACAGGCGTGAGCCACCGTGCCCAGCTGAATTATCTGTTTTTATCTGCCATTATGCCTGTTTTTGCTTCATTTATTTTGGGTCTCTGTTGTTAGGTGCATGTATGTTTAGTTTATAATTATCATTCCTGATGAATTAGCTCTTTTATCATTATAAAACATCCTTCTTTGTCTCAATAAGTTTTTTATTTTTTATTTAATTTTTTTTTTTTTTTTCTTACAGAGATGGAGTCTTACTATGTTGACCAGCCTGGTCTCCATCTCCTGGCTTCGGGCGATCCTCCCATGTCAGCCTCCCAAAGTGCTAGGATTATAGGCATGAGGCACTACACCAGCCAACAGAAGTTTTTATATTAAAATTTACTTTTTCTAGCTGGGCACAGTGGCTCACGCCTGTCATCCCAGCACTTTGGGAGGCTGAGGCAGGTGGATCACCGGTCGGGAGTTTGAGACCAGCTTGGCTAACATGGTAAGACCCCATCTCTACTAAAAACACAAAAATTAGCCAGGCGTGGTGGCGCGTGCCTGTAATCCCAGCTACTAGCGGGGCTGAGGCAGGAGGATTGCTTGAACCTGGGAGGCGGAGGTTGCAGTAAGCCAAGATCACTCCACTGCACTCTAGTCTGGGCAACAGAGCGAGACTCCATCTCAAAAAAAAAAAATTACCTTTTCTGATAGTAGCATAGACACTCCACCTGTCTTATGGTGAATGTTTGCATCTTTTACTTTTGAGACAGAGTCTCACTCTGTCACCCAGACTGGAGCGCAGTGGCATGATCTTGACTCACGGCAGCCTCTACAGATACACGCCCCACGCCCAGCTAATTCTTTGTATTTTTAGTTGAGACGGGGTTTCGCCATTTTGCCCAGGCTGGTCTCGACCCCTTGGACTCAAGTGTTCCACCCCCGCTTGGCCTCCCAAAGTGCTGGGATGACAGGCATGAGTCACTGCGCCCAGCCTGCATCTTTTTAAAAAAAACCTTTTTGGCTGGGTGCAGTGGCCCACACCAGTCATCCCAACACTTTGGGAGGCCAAGAGGGGAGGATCTCTTGAGCCCAGGGCCAGCCTGGCCAACAAAGCGAGACCCTGTTTCTATTTTTTAATTAAATAAACATATAAATAAACAAACATCTTGTTACTTCTAATTTTGTGTCCTTGGCTCTTAAGCATTCCCTTAGAGACAGAATGTGGTTGGATCTTAGGTTTTAATCTAGTCTGATAGTCTCTGCCTTTTTTTTTTTTTTTTTTTTTTTTTTGAGACGGACTGTCACTCTGTCCCCCAGGCTGGAATGCAGTGGCTCCATCTCCACTCACTGCAACCTCCATCTCCTGGGTTCAAGTGATTCTCATAGCTCAGCCTCCCAAGTAGCTGGGATTACAGGCTCCTGCCACCACACTCAGCTAATTTTTGTATTTTTAATAGAGACGGGTTTCACCATGTTGGCCAGGCTGGTCTCAAACTCCTGACCTCAAGAGATTCACCCGCCTCAGCCTCCCAAAGTGGTGGGATTACAGGTGTGAACCACCACACTAGTCTCTGCCTTTTGATTGGAGTGTTTAATCTACTTTTTTGTTTTGTTTTTGTTTTTGTTTTTGTTTTTGTTTTTTAGACAATCTCACTCTGTCGCCAGGCTGGAGTGCAATGGCACGATCTCAGCCCACTGCAACCTCAACGTCCCGGGTTCAAGTGATTTCCCTTCCTCAGCCTCCTGAGTAGCTGGGATTATAGGCATGAGCCACCACGTCCAACTAATTTTTGTGTTTTTAGTAGAGATGGGGTTTCTCCGTGTTGGCAAGGCTGGTCTCGAACTCCTGACCTCAGGTGATCCACTCGCCTCAGCCTCCCAAAGTTCTAAGATTACAGGTGTGAGCCACCGCACTGGAACTCGGCCTGTTTTGTTTTTTGAATTGAGACAGAGTATCACTTTGTTGCCCAGGCTGGAGTGCACTGGCGTAATCTCGGCTCACTGCAGCCTCCACCTCCTGGGTTTAAGGGATTCTCGTGCCTCATTCTCCCGAGTAACTGGGACTGCAGGAGTGTGCCATCAGACCCGGCTAATTTTTGTACTTTTAGTAGACACAGGGTTTCACCATGTTGGTCAGGCTGGTCTTGAGCTCCTGACCTCAAGTGATCCGCCCGCCTCGGCCTCCCAAACTGCTGGGATTATAGGTGTGAGCCACCACACCCAGCTGTTTTGTTTTTTTTTTTAAGTGGGGTCTCTCTCTGTCACCCAGGCCAGAGTGCAGTGGCACAATCTCAGCTCAGTGCAACCTCCGCTTCCCGGGTTCAAGCAATACTCCTCCTTCAGCCTCCCAAGTAACTGGGATTACAGGCACCCGCCACCATGCCCGTTTTTGTTGTTGTTGTTGTGTGTGTGTGTGATGGAGTCTCGCACGGTTGCCCAGGCTAGAGTGCAGTGGCGCAATCTCGGCTCACTGCAGCCTCTGCCTCCCGGGTTCAAGCGATTCTCCTGCCTCAGCCTCCCAAGTAGTTGGGATTACAGGCATGCACCACCATGCCAGGCTAATTTTTGTATTTTTCGTAGAGAGAGGGTTTTGCCATGTTGGCCAGGCTGGTCTTGAACTCCTGGGCTCAAGTAACCCTCCCACCTTGGCCTCCCAAAGTGCTGGGATTATAGGCATGAGCCACTGCGCAAAACCTAATCTCATGTTTAATGTAATTATCAATGTGAGTGGATTTGTGTTTATATTTGCAGTTTATGTTTCATGTTTTGCTCCTCTGTTCTTTCACTGCCTTCTTTTCTGTTAAATGTGTATTTTCTAGTTGTGTTTTCTAGTGTACCACTTCAATTCTTTTGTTGAACATTTTTAAACAGTATCTTTAAAGTTGTTATTTTCTTACTGCTATAGGTATTACAATATACATTTTAATTTATCTCAGTTTCAGTAGGAGGATAGAATTTCCTCAAGCAGGGAAAGTGTACTGCAGAGGCTGAGTGTATACATTCCTGGCAAACACTATTTGGGCCCCAATATAAGCACTTACTGAGCTCCTTTCACCTACAGAACGAACACATCCCG
The DNA here is from genome assembly GCF_000001405.40 of Homo sapiens. Taxonomy (NCBI): domain Eukaryota; kingdom Metazoa; phylum Chordata; class Mammalia; order Primates; family Hominidae; genus Homo; species Homo sapiens. The sequence continues at coordinate 648,587 of NC_000011.10, read as the reverse complement.
TTCTTTTAAAAGCTGCCTTCCAGCCGGACCTCCAGCCCAGGACACCCTGTCCTCAAGCCTCCCTCAGATCCTGTTCTTTAAAAAGCTGCCTTCAGCTGGGCACGGTGGCTCACGCCTGTAATCCCAGCACTTTGGGAGGCCGAGGCGGGCGGATCACGAGGTCAGGAGATCGAGACCATCCTGGCTAACATGGTGAAACCCCGTCTCTACTAAAAATACAAAAAAATTAGCTTGGCGTGGTGGTGGGCGCCTGTAGTCCCAGGTACTCGGGAGGCTGAGGCAGGAGAATGGCATGAACCCGGGAGGCGGAGCTTGCAGTGAGCCGAGATCGTGCCACAGCACTCCAGCCTGGGAGACAAAGGGAGACTCCGTCTCAAAAAAAAAAAAAAAAGGCAGTGATAATTTTAAAAATTAATTGTAGAGGACTTGGTATGTACACAAAAGTATACACGAGTTTATGCATGTTATGAAGCCCCAACAGGAATCCCCTGCTCCCAGCACCGCCTGGGTCAAGTCCACCCACCTGCTCCCAGCACCGCCTGGGTCAAGTCCACCCACCTGCTCCCAGCACCGCCTGGGTCAAGTCCACCCACCTGCTCCCAGCACCGCCTGGGTCAAGTCCACCCACCTGCTCCCAGCACCGCCTGGGTCAAGTCCACCCACCTGCTCCCAGCACCGCCTGGGTCAAGTCCACCCACCTGCTCCCAGCACCGCCTGGGTCAAGTCCACCCACCTGCTCCCAGCACCGCCTGGGTCAAGTCCACCCACCTGCTCCCAGCACTGCCTGGATTGAGTCACCTACGTGCTGTGGTGGCAACACTTTTCTTTTAATCCTTAACTTTGGAAAATGTGAGACGTGCACATGAGTTGGATCGCCCAGGAGAGGCCCGTCGCCCTCACCTGTATCAGCTGCTTTAGCGCCTGCCCTCCTGGCTTGTCCCCCTCTCTCTTTGGGCTGAGGGCTGAGCATTTTAAAGCAAGCCCCACGCATCATTATTTTCATTTGTGAGGCCTGGATCACTGTAAGTCAGATTTGGATTGTGTTTTAATTGGATTTTTAGTCACTGTTTTTATTTCATTACTTATTTTTGGTTTTTATTTGTTCGTTTGTTTTTGGTTTTGTTTCTGTTTTTGAGACAGGGTCTGGCTCTGTCACCCAGGCTGGAGTGCAGCGGCGCGATCTTGGCTCACTGCAACCTCCACTTCCCAGGTTCAAGCGATTCTCCTGCCTCAGCCTCCCTAGTAGCTGGGGATTACAGGCACCCGCCACCACGTCCGGCTAATTTTTGTATTTTTAGCAGAGACGGGGTTTCACCATGTTGTTCAGGCTGGTCTTGAACTCCTGACCTCATGATCTGCCTGCCTTGGCCTCCCAAAGTGCTGAGATTACTGGCATGAGCCACCGTACCCAGCCTATTTTAGGTTTTCTATAGACAGGGTCTCGCTTTGTCACCCAGGCTGCAGTCCAGTGGTGCCATCACGGCTCACTACAGCCTTGATCTCCTGGCTCAAGTGATCCTCCTGCCTCTGTCTCCCAAGTAGCTTGGACCACAGGCATGAGCCACCACACCCAGCTAATTTTAAAACATTTTTTTTTTTTTATAGAGATAGGGTTTTGCTATGTTGCTCAGGCTGGTCTCCAACCCCTGACCTCAAGTGACCTCAACCTCCCGAAGTCATTGTTTTTACAGTCTGTGATGTTGGCTTTTCTCATTTATTTGTATCAGGCACTTTCATTGTTAGCTTCTTGTGAATTTAACCATTTTTTTCCGTTTTTCAAAAACTGAAACGCTAACTTCTAATTCTGGCTTTTCAGATAATGATTTTTTTTTCAAAAGTGTTTTAGCATTATACTGTAAGAAGCATCACATTGATGTTTAAGATGGAAAAATTTGCTTTAAAAAAGAACTGAGTAGTTCTGATTTTAAAAGTCAACCCTGGGCCTTTGCCTCTTTGCTGGAAGAACCTGATGGAAGCTTCTGTAGCTCAGAGTCAACACTGATGTGCGCCCTCTCTCCCTCCATCTGCACAGGCCCCAGGGAGTGGCTCAAACCTGTAGACCAGAGAAGGAAGCATCTAGAACTCCTGGGGGCCTTGTCCGCCGCCCACATCCTCTCACGGGGGGCAGCTCCCATGAGGGGTGCAGGCCCCTCACCCCACACAGAGTCTCGGCAGGAACCGGAACCCTTCCTGGTTGCCCCAGAGTGGAGGCCCGGGAGGGGCGGGCGGTGGGTCTGCACCCGATGCTGCAGTTTGCTGATGTATGTGCTTTCATGCTATGTAGATTTATAGTCTATTACCAGGTAATTTTAATTTTTTTTTTTTTTTTTTTTTTGAGACGTAGTCTCACTCTGTCGCCCGGGCTGGAGTGCCGTGGCACAATCTTGGCTTACTGCAACCTCTGCCTCCCAGGTTCAAGTGATTCTTGTGCCTCAGCCTCCCAAGTAGCTGAGATTGCAGGTGCGCATGACCACAGGCGGCTAGTTTTTGTATTTTTAGTAGAGATGGGGTTTTGCCATGTTGGGCAGGCTGGTCTCGAGCTCCTGGCCTCAGGTGATCTGCCCACCTCGGCCTCCCAACATGATGGGATTACAGCCGTGAACCACTGCGCCCGGCCTAATTTTGCTCTTTTATTATAATCAGCTGGAATTCTGCTCTCTAGGGAATAACTCTGTCACCATTTGGAAGCATTTATTTCTGCTCTGTGTGTCATATACGTACCTATCACGCCCCCGTGCACGGAGCTGCCTCTGTCTGACGAGGCCGTCTCAGCTTCAGCACCTGGCGCTTCCTCTAGAGCTCTGCTCCATTCCGAGGTGCTCGACGTAGCAGGGAGGCAGAGCCTGGTTCTGTGTGCTGACCTCACAGGAGCTGTGGCTTCTCCCAGGCACCATCCCCCACCTCCTTTCTCTGCAGCCACGGGCTGGTTCCAGTTTGCTTTTTCATCTTTGCCATTAAAAACAGAACTGGGGCGGGGCGCAGTGGCTCACACCTGTCATCCCAGCACTTTGGGAGGCCGAGGCGGGCAGATCCCCTGAGGTCAGGAGTTCGAGACCAGCCTGACCAACATGGTGAAACCCTGTCTCTACTAAAAATGCAAAACATTAGCCAGGTGTGGTGGCGTGCACCTGTAATCCCAGCTGCTAGGGAGGCTGAGGCAAGAGAATTGCTTGAACCCAGGAGGCAGAGGTCGTGGTGAGCCGAGATTGCGCGTTACACTCCAGCCTGGGAAACAAGAGCGAAACTCTGTCCGAAAAACAACAAAAAAACCCCCACAGAACTTGATCGTAATTTACATATGTAATATTTACATATTTAAATGTTTTTCTGCATGTGTGATATTTTTTGTTTACATCCCTAACACAAAACAACTGGTTTGGAGAGTCTTACCCTGGTTTGTTGTTTGACTTTTTTTTTTTTTTTTTTTGATATGGAGTTGTTCTGTCACCCGGGCTGGAGTGCAGTGGCACCATCTCGGCTCCCTGCAACCTCTGCCTCCCAGGGCTGAGCAGTTCTCCTGCCTCAGCTTCCCGAGTAGCTGGGATTAGAGGTGCCTGCCACCATGCCCAGCTAATTTTTGTATTTTTAGTAGATACGGGGTTTCACCATGTTGGCCAGGCTGGTCTCGAACTCCTGACCTCAGGGGATCCACCCTCCTGGGCCTCCCAAAGTGTTGGGATTACAGGCGTGAGCCACCGTGCCCTGCCTGTTGTTTGCCTTTTGATCCAATTCCTCAAACCAAGAGAGTGTGGGGAAGGCTGTATTGGAGCAGAGCCCACCAGAGTTTGGGCGCACGGGGGCTGGGGAGGGCATTCTCAGCACCTCCAGGTGAGGTTACAGAGGGCTGCACCCTCTGGGGTCTGCCTTGGGGACCCTGCCCAGACCCTGCTCCACCCACTGACCCTGCTGACATGGGTGTGTCCTCCCTTCCAGGACTGGAAGGATCACCAGCACATATGCGGCCAGTCAGCAGCTGTCACCGTCCAGGCAGACGAAGTCCACGTGGCTGAAAGCGTGATGGAGAAGGTGACCGTGTGAGGCTCCATCGGCCGCCCTGGGAGCTGGGGCCCCTCGCACTCCTGTGAGGCTTTTGCAGGTCGAAGGCCCCCCTGAGGACTCTGGGGGGACGTTGAGAAGAGGGGTGTGGGAAGGTAAAGAAACTTGCTGGACAAGTCATTAACACACTTTAAGCGAATGGTGCCCTGGGAAGCGCACTCCCCCTGCCCGGGCCCCCTGCCCGCTCGCGGACAGATTTTTTATCCCTGGGATCATGAGCGTCCGGTCTTGCCCACAGGGCCTGTGCTGCGACGCACATACATACGTGTTGTGTCTGTCAATAAAGTGTAAATAAGGTCTCCCTGCCCCACACGGCCGGTTGCAGTGCCAGCCCTCGGGGGGGGGTTTCCTCCCCTTCCTCCTACTGCGCAGGTGGGAAAACCAAGCCCACCGCACCTCTGGTGCACGGGACAGCGCGGCCAGGCCGGAGCCTCCGGTGCACGGGGCAGCGCGGCCGGGCTGAAGCCCTGGCGTCTGGTGGCTCGTGTAGTCCAGGAGGTCTTCGTTCCTTCTGTTCCACGAGACCCTCGTGGCTGCTGGGAGGTGCAGCAGGCCTACGGCCCTTCCCGCCAGGTTTCGGGGCACATGGTGCCTCCTGTGCCCTGGCTGCTTGAGCGAGCCCGACGGTCCAGCACGGCCTGTTCAGTCCACGTGGACAGCTTGGTGGCCTCGGTCCAGGGATCCACACGCAGAGCCTCATGGCCTCCTGGTCTCCCCCTTGTTTCTCATGGCCCTGGCGCCAGGTGGAGGAGAAAGGGCTGAAGCCTGTGGGGGGCACAAGGGGGCGTGTCCAGCGTGTTTGGGCACTGGGCTGGGCCTGAACATGGGACCCCCCTGCCCTCCTGACCAAGAGCGCTGCTGGAGCAGCATCACTCTTGTTCTGGAAGCTTCTGCCCTCATGGCCTGTGTTCTCTGCACACAGAAGGCTCCATGGCTGTGGCTGCCTTGGGGCGAGAAAGTACACACTCAGCAACAGCTCAGCAGGCACCTGGGGTAGGGTGGCAGCGCCAGGAGGAACCTGCACCAGTGATTCTGATGTTTGCCTCTGAAGCGCTTTCTGCACCAGCTGGAGCTGAGCCCGAGAGGTGGCCAAAGCCCCCTTGGAAGGGGATGTTCACTGGGCCCCGCAGAGGCCCCCCGATATTTTCAGTCTCTGGGTTTCTCAGGACCACCTGGTTTATTCCGGTTTTCTTTTTTTTTTTTCTTTGAGACAGAGTCTCACTCTGTCACCCAGGCTGGAGTGCGGTGGCACAATCTTGGCTCACTGCAACTTCGCCTCCCAGGTTCAAGCGATTCTTCTGCCTCAGCCTCCCGAGTAGCTGGGATTATAGGTGGCCACCAGCACACCCAGCTAGTTTAGGGATTTTTAGTAGAGACGGGGTTTCTCCGTGTTGGCCAGGCTGGTCTCGAACTCCTGTCCTCAGGTGATCCACCCACCTCGACCTCCCAAAGTGCTGGGATTACAGGTGTGAGCCACCGCCCTGGCCTATTTACTTAGTAAAGTCTCTGCCCAGCCAGGCCAAGCCCTCACTGATGTTTCATCATCCTGCTCAGGCGTGCCCGGTGCTGCACCGTTGGTGCTGCCAGTGAGCAGTGGAGGCTGGAAAAGGTGTCTGGGCTGCTGCAGGACGCGCTCCAGATGCTGCACCTCACCCCACCTGCCCCTCACCCCGCCTGTCCCTCACCCCGCCTGGCCCTTCCTGTGACCCTCAGCCCGCCTGGCCCTTCCTGTGACCCTCACCCCGCCTGGCCCTTCCTGTGACCCTCAGCCCGCCTGGCCCTTCCTCTGACCCTCAGCCCGCCTGGCCCTTCCTCTGAGACTCTACAATGGCTTTTCATCCAACCCAGCAGGGTCTGCCATTGCCGCAAGGTGGAGGCATCTCAGAGGCCCTGCTTGGCCTTGCCCTGTCCAGGCAGGCGGGCCGTGGGTTGACCTCCATGAGACAGCAGGGCTGGGCCTGCTCCTTTGGGTTTTAACCAACATAAAGGTGGCAGGCAATTGAGGACCTGCACCTCTTAAGAATAATCCCCCAAAGCTGAGAACACCAGCATCTCTGCAGAGAGCACAGCTGCAGGAAGTAGCTGAACCCCTGCCTGGTGGGGGAGGCACCGTGGGAGCCCTCTGGCACAGTGACCCCCGCCAGCAGTGATGCCACCTGGCTTCCTGCGCCAGGCCCTGCAGGAATGGAGTGGGGGTATTCCCTGGAATTGTGGGGGCCACTTACTCTTCCCCAACTTTCCGTAAAACAGAAGCCAAGCACCACGCGTCTGTTGGGATCCCAGGTTTCCACAGCTCCTCCTTTCCAAGCCTGGGAGGCTGATGGTCAGAGGTCGCCCTGCCCCAGGGCTGTCAGCACCCCCAGGACCCCCAGATGCATGTGCACCTCCCATGGCCTCCAGCGCTGTCAGGCACGTGTGGGGCTGTGGGTCCTGGGACAAAGCTGGCGGGAGCCCCTCCTTCACTCTCACGGGTGTCTGAGAGGAATCCACTGTGACTCAGTCTGTTCCGGGGGTGACTGGGACAGGCTGGTCCTGGGAAGCAGGTAGTCGGAGAAGGTGTCCTGGAGGAGGCAGCCGCTGAGGCCATCACAGAAGTGCGTGGTCACCAGACGGGACGGGGCAGCCGCACTAAAGTAGTAATTGGGCTTGGTCCTCTCTCCACCCAATACTCGTTTTCTTTTCTTTTTTGAGACAGGGTCTCCGTCACCCAGGCCGGAGTGCAGTGGCACGATCTCGGCTCACTGCAGCTTTGACTCCCTAGCTTTAAGGGATCCTCCTGCCTCAGCCTCCCGAGTAGCTGGGATTACAGGCGTGACCACCACACCCAGCCTGCACTGAGTATTTTAGCAAGCTGAGGTTGTGCCCAATGCTGTAGACTGCACAGCCCACAGTCTGTCAGTGTTCAGATGGGAGCCTGGCACCCTGACTGGCCACCCTGGCTGCAAACGCCGAATCCCCAGCACAGGAAAGTTCCAGCCAGCACGATTGGGAGGCGGAGGGTCCCCCATTTCTCCCACAACCTGGGCCTGGGAGAGAGCTGGATCCAGTCCAGGGTAGGCTGTTCCTGCATGGAGGGCCCTGGGAGCCGCCCCTCTTCCCCCAGGGTCAGGGGCTGCACTGGTTGATGGAGCCAGGGTGCAGACAGGCAGCTTGGGTCGCTCTGCCCAGCCCCTGGCCCCGCTGCCGCCTCCCTGCTCCCACCCCTTGGCCCAGCCACATTGGTGGACGCTGGGCAGAGGTTGGCTGGGCACCAGGGGTGACTGAGCACGGAGCTCCCTCCAGGGAAGCCACTTGGTGGGGCCCCACCCATCACCACAGGCCCCTTGCTGTGGGGCTTGGGGCATCCTCTGGCCAGGGACTGGCAGGAAGCTAGGCTCTGGCCTCAAGGCAGCTTCTAAAATGACAGGTTGGGCTCCCCTGCCGGGGTCTGCTGGGGCAGCATGAGCCTGGAGCCCCCTGTGCCTGGTTCTCAGAGGTGGGAGTTGGCCCGGGCAGGGCCTGGCGGCTGACAGCCCCCCACCCCGCCTCTCCCCATTTGTTTCTTCCCATCGGAACTGGGCTTCCCCAGGAGACACCTTGCCCTGCTGGGTGCTGCTTCCTCTCCCCTGCAGAGAGGGGAAGCTGGGCCCCAGCGCTGCGGAACTGAGTGGCTCTCGGGGGCCCCTTCCCCCCTCACCCTGAGCAGGCGGCCGGCTTGGTGGGGTCTGCTCTGTGGGCTTCCTTGGCGGGGAGAAAGAGGTTAACTGGCTGGGGGGCCTGGGGCCACTGAGGCAGAAACCCCTCTTCCCCACTCCCCATCAGCCCCCAGGAGCCTTCACAGCTGAGTTTGGGAAGGAATTTGTTTAATTAACGTACAAAAGCGCCCTCCCCATCTCCTTGGTCCCTGAGGCCTGGCCATCAGGCCGGGGGGCGTCCGGGGGTGCCCGGCTCAGCAGCAGGCACGCAGGGCCTTGCGGAAGACGTTGCGGAACTCGGCGTTGAAGACAGTGTAGATGACGGGGTTGAGGGCGCTGTTGACGTAGCCCAGCCAGGTGACGGCGCTGACCAGCCGCGGGGGCACGGAGCAGGCAGGACACAGCGCCTGCGTGATGTGCACCACGAAGAAGGGCGTCCAGCACAGCAGGAAGGCCCCTGGGGGCGCCGAGAGCCGCGTTAGCGCCCCCCGCCCAGCCGGCCTCGTACCCCCCCCCTCCTCTCCTCCCCGCCCCTCAGGACAGGAACCCACCGACCACCACCGGCAGGACCCTCATGGCCTTGCGCTCCCGGCCGGTGATCTTGGCACGCCGCCTCCTGCGGGTCTGCGGTGGAGTCTGGGGTGGGAGCGCGGCGGCTCTGACGGCGTCGGGGGGAGCACAGTTGGAGCCGCAGGGGTCCGGGGGGAGGCCGGGCGCGGGGGGCGCACAGTCGGGGCCGCAGGGGTCCTGGGGGAGGCTGGGCGCGGCGGGCGCACAGTCGGGGCCGCAGGGACCCCGGGGAAGGCCGGGCGCGGGGGGCGCACAGTCGGGGCCGCAGGGGTCCTGGGGGAGGCGGGGCGCGGGTGGCGTGGGGGAAGGCGGGCCAGGGCCGCTGGGTCGGCGGGGCGCGCGGCCGTGCAGCTTGGCGCGACGTGCCACCTCCCAGCGCTGCAGGCCGCGGAACGTGGCCCAGTAGAGCAGCAGCATGAGCGGGCAGGGTAGGAAGAAGGAGCACACGGACGAGTAGACCACGTAGTCGCGGTCCTCCAGGCGGCACACGGCGGGGTCGCGGCCGCGCACGTCGTTGAGGCCGCACAGTACGGGCGCCGCCACCGCCGCGGACAGCAGCCACGTGGCGCCGATGAGCAGCAGCTGCCGGCGGCTCCCACCCTGCCGGTTGTAGCGCAGCGGCACGGCCACGGCCACGAACCTGCGGGGAGCGCCGAGGGGGCGCCGGACAGCGCACAGGCCGCGGTGAGGGCGGCGGGCGGGGCGCGGGGGCGCCGGGGCGCGGGCGGGGAGGGCGGCGCACCTGTCCACGCTGATGGCGCACAGGTTGAAGATGGAGGCGGTGCACAGCATGACGTCCATGGCCATGAGGGCGTCGCACAGGCGGGGGCTCAGCAGCCACGCGCCACCCTGGACCTGCGCGGCGACACCACAGGCCCTGAGGTTTCCCAGCCACCGCGGGCCCTTGTGACCCGCCCCCACTCTTATGGGTAGTTCCAGGGCTGAATACGGAGAAGGGGGCCCGGCTGTGAGCCAGAGGCCAGAGGACCGGGCAGGGAAACACCCCTTCCCCACGCAGATCTCCCTTTGTTTTGAGTTAGGGTCTCGCTGTGTCACCGCGGCTGGAGTGCTGTGGCTCCATCATGGCTCACTGTAGCCTGGAATTCCTGAGCTCAAGCGATCCTCCCACCTCAGTCTCCAGAGTAGCTGGGATTACAGCCGCGCGCCACCACCCCCGGCTGATTTGTTTTTCTTTTTGTTTTTTGAGACGGAGTTTCGCTCTTGTTGCCCAGGCTGGAGTGCAGTGGTGAGATCTCAACTCACTGCAACCTCCGCCTCCCAGGTTTAAGCGATTCTGCCGCCTCAGCTCCCCCGAATAGCTGGGACAACAGCCGCAGCCACCACCCCCGGCTGATATTTTAAAATTTTTTGTAGAGACCAGGCCTGGTATGTTTCCCAGGCTGGTCTCAAACTATCCTCCTGCCTTTGCCTCCCAAAGTCCTGGGATTACAGGCGTGAATCACGGCTTCTGGCCTTGGTCTCCCTTTTGTTACAAACATGAGAACGGCCTGGGGAATTCCCTGGGGGCGGGCCTGATATCATCGGGCTCAAAGGGAGCCCCTCCCCAGCCTGGGGTAGGCAGGGTCCCCGCTGGGCCTAGAAGCGAAGCTGGCTGCTCTGTTGGCTAAGTTCTCTGTGGGAGACTCGGGCACGTTAATTCATTTCTGTTTCTTCATCTGTAAGACAAGGGTGATGATAGTATCCACATCATAATTGTCTTGAAGATAAATTATAATTAAAAATATGAAGACCGTGCCCAGTGCCCAGCGTAGGACTCCACGTGGAGTGACTCTCTCCAAGGGCAAAGGAGCAGGCAGCCCCTCTAATCCTTCCCGCCGATTTGGGGAGATTAGGAGCTTAAACGTCGTCACTGTGACGTCTGCGGCTCGAAAGGAGCACAGGTCACGCGTGTCCCGTGCTGCTGGTCTCTGCCCCAGCCGCCTGGATTCACTGTGTCCATCAAGGGGAAACCTCGAGTCCCCCTCCCCCACAGTCGGGGACACCGCGTCTCCAGCTCAGCCCTAAGCTGCTTTTCTCTGGCCGCAGAGGGGCTGGCACCAAGGCCGACCCACTCGAGGGCCAGACCTGGTGTGGAGTGTGGGCTCCATCCCCCAATTCCCCCTCAGGCTTCCCCCCAGGGTTCTCAGCAGGGGCCTGGTCCCCACACACCCTCCCCTCCCCTGGGTTTTGTCCAGCCCAGGTCTCCCCTGCGAGCTGTGAGCCTCCTTCTGGGGGTGTGCCAGCATCTGCACTAGGTGTGTGTGGTGGGCAGTGGCTGTGGCAGTGTGTGTGTGTGTGTGTCCCACGGCAGCCAGGGGGCTGAGCCTGCATCTGCCTGTCTGTCCAGCTGGCTGCCCTGGAGGTGAAATCCAGCTACGGAGGGGACTGGGCTTGACAAAGTCGCCTGTTTCCGGGGTCCCTGGATAGAAGGACGGGCATCTCCTGGATAACAGACGCCAAGACAGACGGGGAAGGAGAAGAGGAACGAGGGTCGGGGGACAGACAGCGCAGCGGGTGGAAGGTCGCGAGGTGGCGGCGGTGGGTGTATCGCCGAGGGACAAGGCGCAGCGCCCCTGCCGCCGCCCCAGCTGGAAGCTCCGCACCAGAAAGGGGCCGGGTCGCGCCGGGTCCTCCGTAGGGACAGGGACGGGGAACCGAGGAGCAGGTGAGGATGCTCGTGCGGCCGGACGCGGCTCACCTCGGAGTAGACGAAGAGCGGCAGCACCAGGAGAGCGAGGAGGAGGTCGGCGGCCGCCAGGCTCACGATGAAGGAGTTGGTGGGCGTCTGCAGGGCGCGCTCGGTGGCCACGCTCACGCACACGAGCGAGTTCCCCGCGAGCACCGCGCCGATGAGCAGCACGCCCCCCACCAGCGCCGCCGCGCCCTGCCCAGCCAGCCCCGCAGATGCCCCCGCAGATGCCCCCGCGGCCGGCCCGCGCCCAGCCAGCAGCCCGTCCGCGTCCGCGGTGCTGCGGTTCCCCATGGCGCGCCCGGGCGGGCGCTGAGCACCGCGGACAACGCCGGGTCGCAAGCCGGGGAGTCCCTCCCCTCGGGCACGCCCCGGCCGGACCCTGGTCCCGCCCCCGACCCGCCCCGGCTCAGGGGGGCCCCCGCGGCGCTCCACCGTGAGCCCAGTATTTGCTCATCTTGGAATTTTGCGCAGGGAGAGACGGGCACGTGGACGAATGCGGCGGCCCAAAGAGACGGGAATGAAGCGAGGTGGTGGCCACGGGCAGGCCAGCATCGCCCGGCGCCGCGCGGGGTCCGCGACCCGAGAAACCGACAAGGATGGAGGGGCGGCCAGACCAGGCCCTGAAGCGCGCGGGCATCGACGCCAGCGCCATCCTACCCGGCCCGTGCGTGCGTCCCGGCCCTCGGGCGCTCACCCTAGTCCACCTGGTATCTGGCAAAACCTCCCTCCCAGGCCCGTTCCGCCAGACGCAGAAAGACCTGAGCTCAGGCTCTGCCCGCCTCCCCCGCGGACTCGCCTCGACCTCGTGCGCACCCTCCACGCCCGCTCCCCCTGCCCCCGACTCCGCGCCCGACTCAACCGCCGACGCCTAGCTCATCCCGCCGCCCCCCCCCCGCAGCCTCTGGCCCTCAGCCCCCGCGACCACCACGGTCAGCCGCGGCCCCACCCGTTGCACAGTTGATCCTCGCGTGGCCGCCTCCGAAACTGGGCGGACAGCTGAGCGGTCGACCCCGCTCCCTCCTCCATTCCCTCCGGCCCAAGACCGTGAGCTAGGTAGGCGCCCCTCTGACCCTGGGCAGGGGGTCCCGGGACCGGACAGTAGGTTCGGCTCGCGAGGAGGCCAGGAGAAAGACACGACAGGCCGGGGTAGGTTCCAAACGTGCAGAAGAGAAAGTGCTTGCAAAGCGCAGCAGAGAATTCTATGGACTCTTCACCAAAGAGGGGTGACCTGTGACCTGAGAGGTATTTTCTGTAGTCTGTCACTAAGGGGCCTAGAAGACACTAAAAGGGGGCACCACTCTGTGGGACCCCAGGCGGCGCACATCCTGATGCTCTAGTCTGTTTCTGGGAGGCCTGGAGTGGAGGGGCTGTGCCAGGAATTGAGGCCCCTGACCTCGAAGGTCTGGAGGACACGGGCTAGACGGAGGCGCTGACAGGGCGTGCGTTAAAGGGAGAAATGAGGACTCTGAGAAGGAGCAGGCACCGTGAGCCTCACAGGACAAGGTCACGGGGCTGCGGGGGAAGGGCCTGCACCAGGGACAGGTGTGCACAGGCATCAGGTGCGGCCGCAGCCAGGCTCAGTCCCTCTTGTGCAGATCAGTCTGCTGCCCTTGTGAACCCTTGAGCAAAAGAAGTCACCACAGGAGAGACCACCAGGGACAGGTGTGCACAGGCATCAGGTGCGGCCGCAGCCAGGCTCAGTCCCTCTTGTGCAGATCAGTCTGCTGCCCTTGTGAACCCTTGAGCAAAAGAAGTCACCACAGGAGAGACTGGGACAGTGGAAGTTTCTTCTCTCCCAGGATGGAACCGGGGAGGGTGGCCCTGGGGTCTCCGGCTGGGCGCCAAACGGCGAGTCCAGCCCAGCCTCTGGTCGGCTTAGAGTTCCTTCAAGTAGCCCCCAAGATGTCTGCGACCACCAAGAGTGAAAACCAAGCTAGGCGGAGAAAGGATGTGTGCAGCACACATCTCTGACACACAGATCCAGAAACAATGGAAACAATGAGAAAAGACAGACAACCCCAATTTGTTTTTTTTTTTTTTTTTTTTTTGAGATGGAGTTTCACTCTTATCACCCAGGCTGGAGTGCAGCAGCACAATCTTGGCTCACTGCAACCTCCGTCTCCCGGGTTCAAGCGATTCTCCTGCCTCAGCCTTCTGAGTAGCTGGGATTATAGGCGCCCGCCACCACGCCCGGCTAATTTTTTTGTATTTTTAGTAGAGACACGGTTTCATCATATTGGCCAGGCTGGTCTCGAACTCCTGACCTCAGGTGATCCACCTGCCTCAGCTTCCTAAAGTGCTGGGATTACAGCTGTGAGCCACTGCCCCCAGCCTCCACTAAACTTCTGTTGTTTATCTGAAAATCAAATGTAACTGGATGTGATCACATCTTACTGCAATCATGGCTCACTGCAGCCTCAATCTCCTGGGCTCAAGTGATCCTCTGGCCTCAGCCTCCTGTACAACTGAGACTACAGATGCGTGGTGCCACACCCAGCTAATTTTCTTATTTTTTGTAGAGACGGGGTCTCGCCATGTTAGCCCAGCCGGTCTCAAACTCCTGGGCTCAAATGATCCTCCCACTTCAGCCTCTCAAAGTGCTGTGATTACAGGCATGAGCCATACAGCCAGCCTAAACAATTTTTAATGAGGACCTCCACTCATACCTTACACATTAAAAAATTAACTCAAATATGCTGTCAGGAGAATCAAAAGACACAGACCAGGAAACGACATTTGCAAATGGCCACGTCTGGCAATGTTTCTTCCATTTTAGTGTAGTAGGACGTCGTTGATTTTCCTGATGGCTACTCATGTTTGACCACTTTTCCCATGTGCCTGTTAACTGTCAGCATGCCCTCTTCTGGAATGTGCCTGTTAAAAATCTTTGCTTTTGTTAAAAATTGGGTTGTCTACGCCAGGCGCAGTGGCTCACACCTGTAATCCCAGCACGTTGGGAGGCCGAGGCAGGTGGATCACCAGGTCAGGAGTTCAAGACCAGCCTGGCCAACATAGTGAAACCCCATCTCTACTAAAAATACAAATAATTGGCCAGGCGTGGTGACTCACGCCTGTAATCCCAGCACTTTGGGAGGCCGAGGCAGGCAGATCACAGGGTCAGGAGATCGAGACCATCCTGGCTAACACGGTGAAACCCTGTCTCTACTAAAAAATACAAAAAAATCAGCCGGGCGTGGTGGCGGGCACCTGTAATCCCAGCTACTGAGGAGGCTGAGGCAGGAGAATGGCATGAACCCGGGAGGCGGAGATTGCAGTGAGCCAAGATTGTGCCACTGCGCTCCAGCCTGGGTGACAGAGCAAGACTCCGTCTCAAAAAAAAAAAGCCGGGCGTGGTGGTGTGCACCTGTAATCCCAGCTGCTTGGCAGGCTGAGGAAGGAGAATCACTTGAACCCAGGAGGCAGAGGTTGCGGTGAGCGGAGATCACGTCATTGCACTCTGGCCTGGGAAACAGAGCAAGACTCTGTGTCAAAAAATAAATAAATAGGCTGGGCGAGGTGGCTCATGCCTGTAATCCCAGCACTTTGGGAGGCCGAGGCAGGCAGATCACGAAGTCAGGAAATCGAGACCATCCTGGCTAACACAGTGAAACCCTGTCTCTACTAAAAATACAAAAAATTAGCCAGGCGTGGTGGCGGGCACCTGTAGTCCCAGCTACTCGGGAGGCTGAGGCAAGGGAATGGCGTGAACCCGGGAGGCAGAGCTTGCAGTGAGCCAAGATCGCACCACTGCACTCCAGCGTGGGCGACAGAGCGAGACTCCGTCTCAAAATAAATAAATAAATAAATAAATAAATAAATAAATAATAAATTAAAATTAAAAAAGAAACAAATTTTTTTTAAAAATTAGCAATCATATATCCAGCAAATGGCTTGTATACAAAAAAGATTAATAATTCTCAAAACTCAACAGTAATGATATCACAAAAAGAAAATTCCAAATGAGTATCCTTTATGAATATAGATGCAAAAGTTCTCGAAAAAATATGAGCAAACACAGTCCCTTTTAAAGTGCTGCCTGCCAGAAAAGCAGCATTTTTTTTTTTTTTTTGAGATGGAGTCTCACTCTGTCACCCAGGCTGGAGTGCAGTGGTGTGATCTCGGCTCACCACAACCTCTGCCTCCCGGGTTCACGCTATTCTCCTGCCTCAGCCTCCTGAACAGCTGGGACTACAGGCACGTGCCACCATGCCCAGCTAATTTTGGTATTTTTAGTAGAGACAGGGTTTCACTCTGTTGGCCAGACTGGTCTCAAACTCCTGACCTCATGATCCGCCCACTTTGGCCTCCCAAAGTGCTGGGGTTACAGGCGTGAGCCAGTGCCTGGCCGAAAAACAGCATTTTTAAAAGGATTATGTACCATAACCCAGTGGGATTTATCCCAGGAATGCAAGGGTGAACGAACAGACGAAATTCAATGTCATACACCACATTAACAGAATGAAGAAAAACCCACGCGATCATCCCAACTGATGCAGAAAAAACCATTTCATAAAATTCAAAACCCTTTCATGATAATAAGACTCAATAAACTAGGAATAGAAACAAACTTCATCAGGCCGGGCGCCGTGACTCATGCCTGTAATCCCAGCACTTCGGAAGGCCGAGGCGGGTGGATCACTTGAGATCAGGAGTTCAAGACCAGATGCCCAACATGTTGAAATCCCATCTCCACTAAAAATACAAAAATTAAAATTAGCTGGGCATGGTGGCGCACGCCTACAGTCCCAGCTACTCAGGAGGCTGAGACACGAGAATTACGTGAATCCAGGAGGTGGAGGCTGCAGTGAGACGAGATCGCACCACTGCACTCCACCCTGAATGACAGAGGGGGACTGTCTCAAACAAACAAACAAAATACAAACACAGCTAACATCATACTCAATGGTGAGAAACAAAAAGCCTTTGAAAGAGACAAGGATGCCCACTGCTGCTGCTTCTGTTCAACATTGTTCTGGACATTCTAGCAAGAGCATTACTCAAGAAAAAGAAATTAAAGGTATCCAAAATTGGAAAAGAAAACTATTTCTACTTGCAGATGACATGGTCTTATGTATAGAAGATCCTCCACAACAGGCCAGGCTTGGTGGCTCAAGCCTGTAATCCCAGCACTTTGGGAGGCTGAGGCGGGCGGATCTCAAGGTCAGGAGATCGAGACCATCCTGGCTAACATGGTGAAACCCCGTCTCTACTAAAATTACAAAAAATTAGCCGGGCGTGGTGGCGGGCACCTGTAGTCCCAGCTACTCAGGAGGCTGAGGCAGGAGAATGGCGTGACCCTGGGAGGCGGGGCTTGCAGTGAGCCAAGATCGTGCCACTGCACTCCAGCCTGGGCAACAGACCAAGACTCTGTCTCAAAAAAAAAAAAAAAAGAAAGACACCCCATCTCTACTAAAAATACAAACATTAGCTGGGTGTGGTGGCGTGAGCCTATAGTCACAGCTTTTTGGGAATCTGAGGTGGGAGGATCCTTTGAGTCCAGGAGGTTGAGGCCGCAGTGAGCTGTGATTGAGCCAACATATTCCAAGCTGGGCAACAAAGTGAGACCCTGTCTCAAAATAAAATAAATAATGAAAATGAGTAAAGGACTTGAATAGACATTTCTTCAAAGAAGATACCCAAATGGCCGGGTTCAGTGGCTCACGCCTGTAATCCCAGCACTTTGGGAGGCCGAGGCAGGCGGATCCCTTGAGGTCAGGAGTTCGAGAACAGTCTGGCCAACATGGTGAAACCCCGTCTCTACTACAAATACAAAAATTAGCTGGGTATGCTGGCGGGCGCCCATAATCCCAGCTACTTGGGAGGCGGAGGTGGGACAATCGCTTGATCCCGGGAGGCAGAGGTTACAGTGAGCCAAGAACACGCCACTGCACTCCAGCCTGGGCAACAGTGCGAGACTCTGTCTTAAAAAAAATATGGCTGGGCACGGTGCCTCACATCTGTAATCCCAGCACTTTGGGAGGCCGAGGTGGGCGGATCATGAGGTCAGGAGATGGAGACCATCCTGGCTAACATGGTGAAACCCCGTCTTTACTAAAAATACAAAAAAATTAGCCAGGCATGGTGGCGGGCACCTGTAGTCCCAGCTACTCAGGAGGCTGAGGCAGGAGAATCGCCTGAACCTGGGAGGTGGAGGTTGCAATGAGCCGAGATCGCACCATTGCACTCCAGTCTGGGTGACAGAGCGAGACTCCGTCCCCAAAACAAACAAACAAACAAAAAATATACATATGTCACACACAAATGGCCACAAAGCACTTGAAAAGATGCTCAACCTCATTAGTCACTGGGGAAATGCAAATCAAAACCACAGTAAGATACCATTCCATATCCATTAGGATGGCCATGGTAGTAAATAAATAAATAAATAAATAAATAAAAATACCAAGTGTTAAGGATGAGGAGACATTCACTGCTTTTGGGAATATAAAATGGTCACTGTGAGAAGAAGTCCAGCAGTTCCTCAACAAGTTTCACGTAGAGTTGCCATATGACTCAGTGGGTATGTTACATACCCAAAAGAAGTGAAGACAGGTGTTCAAATAAAAGCTTGTATGTAAATGTTCACAGCGGCACTATTCACAATATACAAAAGGGGCCGGGCATGGTGGCTCACGCCTGTAATCTCAGCACTTTGGGAGACCGAGGTGGGCAGATTGCTTGAGGCCAGAAGTTCAAGACCAGCCTGGCCAACATGGTGAAACCCCATCTCCACTGAAAATACACAAAGTACTGGCCGGGCACAGTGGCTCATGCCTGTAACCCTAGCACTTTGGGAGGCCGAGGCGGGTGGATCACCTGAGACCTGGAGTTGGAGACCAGCCTGGCCAACAGGGTTAAACCCCGTCTCTACTAAAAATACAAAAATTAGCCGGGCGTGGCAGGTGCCTGTAATCCCAGCTACTTGGGAGGCTGAGGCAGGAGAATAGCTTGAACCCGGGAGGCGGAGGTTGCAGTGAGCTGAGATCAGGTCAGTGCACTCCAGCCTGGGTGACAGAGTGAGAGTCCGTCTCTAAAGTAAATAAATAAATAAATATTTTTTAAAAATACAAAAATTAGGGGGTGTGGTGGTGCATGCCTGTAGTCCCACTACTTAGGAGGCTGAGGCAGGGGAATCACTTAAACCTGGTAGGCGGAGGTTGCAGTGAGCGGAGATCATATACTGCACTCCAGCCTGGGCAACAGAACGAGATTCTGTCTCAAGCAGACAAACAAACACAATATATACAAGGTAGAAATAAACCAAACGTCCTCAGCAGGTGAATGGATGAACCAAATGCAGTGTGATTTTTCCATTAAAATGAATGAAATTCTGGGGCCAGGCGCGGTGGCTCCTGCGTGTAATCCCAGCACTTTGGGAGGCTGAGGCGGGCGGATCACCTGAGGTCAGGAGTTCAAGACCAGCCTGACCAATATGGCAAAACCCTGCCTCCATGAAAAGTACACAATTAGCTGGGCATGGTGGTGCTGTAATCCCAGCAACTCCAGAGGCTGAGGCAGGAGAATTGCTTGAACCCAGAAGGCGGAAGTTGCAGTGGGCCAAGATCGCGCCATTGCACTCCAGTCTGGGCAACAAGAGTGAAACTCCATCTCAAAACAAATAAATAAAAATAAATAAATAAATAAAAATAGTGACCAGGGTCTTGCTATGTTTCCCAGGCTGGTCTCGAACTCCTGGCCTCAAACCATCCTCCTGCCTCACCGTCTCAAGTAGCCGAGACCACAGGCATGTACCACCATGCCCAGCTTTTAGGATTTTATTGGTATGAAATACCCAGAACAGGCAGATCCACAGAGACAGAAAGTAAATTCATTGTTACTCAGGAGCTGAAGGGATGGGGGAAGGGGAGGTAAATGCTTTATGGATTTGAGATTTTCCATCTGGGGAGTAAAAAGTTCTGGAACTAAACAGCGGTGCTGGTTGTATAATTCCGTGACCGTACTAAGTATCACTTCATACTTTAAAATGGCTAAAATGGTAAGTTTCATGTTATGCATGTTTTCCCACAATAAAAAAAAAAACAAAACTCAGCAGTAGAGAACAATTTAAAAACGGGCAAGAGATGTGAAGATACATTTAACCCACGACAACATGCAAATGGAAACAAGCACCTGGAAAGAGGTTCGGAATCACCCGCCACTGGGGAAATGCAACTAAGACCACAAGGAGGTGTTGCCGCAGAGAGAATGGCTGAAGGTTAAAAATAGCGACTGCAGGGATGTTGACAGTGTGCAGAGAAAGTGAGGCCGGGCGCTGTGGCTCACGCCTGTAATCCCAGTGCTTTGGAAGGCCGAGGCAGGTGGATCACTTGAGGTCAGGAGTTTCAGACCAGCCTGGGCAACATGGTGAAACCCTGTCTCTACTAAAAATATAAAAATTAGCCAGTCATAGTGGCAGGCACCTGTAATCCCAGCTACTTGGAGGGCCGAGGCACAAGAACTGCTTGAAACCGGGAGGCGGAGGTTGCAGTGAGCTGAGATGGCCCCACGGCACTCCAGCCTGGGTGACAGAACGAGACTCCCTCTGAAAAAGAAAGAAAGGAAGGAAAGAAAGGAAGAAAGGAAGAAGAAAGGAAGAAAGGAAGAAAAAGAAAAAAAGAAAGAAAGAAAGAAAGAAAGAAAAAGAAAGAAAGAAAGAAAGAAAGAAAGAAAGAAAGAAAGAAAGAAAGAAAGAAAGAAAAGCAAGCAAGCCAGCAAGCCAGCCAGCCAGCCAGCCCCACATTGCTGGCGGGGCTGTGAAATGATGCAAACGCTGGGGAAAATATTGTGGCTGATTTAACAGACGGATACAGTGCATGACTCGCAACCACAGCAGAACATCAAAGGGCTTGACGGCCATTTCTCCGTCCACTCCATGATGTATAAATGGCTCACAGACACTTGAGAACATGCTCCACATCGCTGGCCATTAGGGAGATGCCAATCAAAACCGCAGCGAGACACCACGTCGCACCCACCGGCATCGTTAGTACGCGACAAACAAAAAGCCACAAAGTAGCAAGTGTTGGCGAGGACAAGAACCGTGTCCCTGCTGCGCTGCTGGGAAGACAGTTTGGCGTTTCCTCAGAATATTTAACACATAATTACTCTGTCACCCAGCAATTCCCTCATAACTATACACCAAGAACGCTTGAAAACGGGATCGGGAAGCGCCGTTTGCACACCCACGTTCACAGCAGCGTTACTCGCCGTCGCCCCAAAGGGGAGGCAGCCCAGGTGTCCATCAAGATGCCCACAGATGAGCGGACGCGGTCGATGCGGTCCCTGCACACAGCGGGACACAGTTCCCCACAAAAGGGAAGGAGATTCCCACACAGGCCAGGCCGCGGCGGCGAAGGCGGAGGATGCTGCGCTGAGAATCCAGCCGGTCTCCAAAGGACAAATCCCGTGAGGCTCCCCCTGCGCGCAGTCCCTGGAAGCGCTGAATCCACAGACAGAAAGTGGACGGGGCGCCGGGGCTGAGGAGGGGAGGGGGCGTTTGATGGGGACAGAGCTTCATTCTGGGAGGACAGGAGAGTCTGAGAACGGATTTTGGGAGGACGGGAGCGTCTGTGAACGGATTTTGGGAGGACGGGAGCGTCTGTGAACGGATTTTGGGAGGACGGGAGCGTCTGTGAACAGATTTTGAGAGGACGGGAGAGTCTGAGAACGGATTTTGGGAGGACGGAAGAGTCTGAGAATGGATTTTTGGAGGACGGAAGAGTCTGAGAACGGATTTTGGGAGGACGGGAGCGTCTGTGAACGATTTTGGGAGGACGGGAGCGTCTGTGAACGATTTTGGGAGGACGGGAGCGTCTGTGAACGATTTTGGGAGGACGGGAGCGTCTGTGAACGGATTTTGGGAGGACGGGAGCGTCTGTGAACGGATTTTGGGAGGACGGGAGCGTCTGTGAACGGATTTTGGGAGGACGGGAAAGTCTGAGAACGGATGGTGGGGATGGATGCACCGAATGATCCTGAATCGCGCACTTCAAAGCAGATAAAATGGCAACACCGGCCCCCCAACAGTCACGCCACGCTGAAGCTGGAGACGAACTCGCCCCAGCAAGGTGCTCCAGGGGCCTCCGGAACTCCGGCCGCAGCCCCTTCCCCGGGGCCCCCCAGTCCCCCCCCAAACCCTCCCCCAAGCCCTCCGGCCCCTCCGCCCCCGCAGGCTCCGAGGCTTCGCGGTGCGGTTCCCTCTGCGGGTCCCAGGCCCGCGCTCCGTTCGCCCCCCAGGCCGGGACGTCCCCCTCCCCCAGCCGGCCGAGGGGCGCCAGCGCGGCGGAGGGGGCGGGAGGCCGGGCCGGGGCGACAGCTGGGGGGGCGGCCCTGACCTTCCCGGGATCGCTGGGCGCGGCCGGGCCGTCCCCTTTCCGGGCGCCGCCATAAAGGGGCCTTGCGGGGGCCCGGGGCCGTGGCCGCAGCGCTCAGCTCCTGCGCCCCGACCCCGCCATGGCCCCCCGGCCCCTCCTGCTGCTGCTGCTGCTCCTCGGGGGCTCCGCCGCGCGCCCCGCGCCCCCCAGGTGAGCCGCCCGCCAGGCCCGCCCGCCCCCCGGGCCCCACCCGCCCCCAGTGCGCCCTGACCCCGACCCCCGACCGCCCGCAGGGCCCGGCGACACTCAGACGGGACGTTCACCAGCGAGCTCAGCCGCCTGCGGGAGGGCGCGCGGCTCCAGCGGCTGCTACAGGGCCTGGTGGGGAAGCGCAGGTGAGGCCGGGTGGGGTGGGGGGTCCTGGCGTGGTGCCCCAGCAGCAACGCGCGACCCCCCAGCTCCAGGACTAACTCTGTTTTGGGGCGGGGGGCAGCGAGCAGGACGCAGAGAACAGCATGGCCTGGACCAGGCTCAGCGCGGGTCTGCTCTGCCCGTCAGGGTCCAACATGCCCATCCTGCAGGCCTGGTGAGCACCCGCCCCACCGCAGACCCCACTCCAGACCCCACCCCAGACCCCTCCTTCTGTCCTGGCCTCCCCGGGTCAGCGCTGGTGGCCACTGGAGGCCCAATTCCAGCAGCGGGGCCGGGGTCTCCAGCCCCAGCCCTCAGACCCTCACGTGCTGTCTCTGCAGGATGCCCCTGGACGGGACCTGGTCTCCCTGGCTGCCCCCTGGGCCTATGGTTTCAGAACCAGCTGGCGCTGCTGCAGAAGGAACCTTGCGGCCCAGATGAGGAAGGAACCCCCTCACCACCTGCCCGGCCCAGGAGCGCAGCTGCATTTGGGGTGGGGGGCAGGATGGGGGAGAGGGGGAGGGGTGGTACTTGGCACCAATAAAGGAGGAATCAGACCCAGACGCTGGGAGTTGTCTGTGTCCACTCAGTGTAATCGAGGCAACCCCTGTGTAGCGGGGCTGAGGGATGGATGGAGGCCCATCCACCCAGGAGGGACTGACCACACCCAGCTGCCCTTTACACCTGCAGGCACGGCGGCCCCTCATCCTTATCTCTGGCATCAGGGCCACCTCCTGTACCTCGACTAAGTACTGCAGGGCCCCGCCCCACCCCTTGTCATCCATTAGGAAACATTCTGGGGCTCGGGGGATCCCGGACACCCTCTCAGCTCCTGCCCGGGGGCCCATGTGGTCAGTGTTTCTGTAAGGGGTAGTGGGGAGGGTGTGAAGGGGCCAGGGGGGCTCAGGCGGGCAGGAAGAGGGGAGGGTGGAGGTGTCACCTGGGGTGCCAGGAATCCACTCTGGCGTGAGGACTCCGGACCCTCTGTCTCGTGTGGCCTCGGACCAGTGGCTTGACCCCTCAGAGCCTGTGGAGCACGGAGCGTGCAGGGCTTGAAGGCGACCATGAGGGCACCGTGCAGGGTTAGGACACTGAGCCCAGCCCCAGCCATGAGAGGCCAGAAGCTTCGGCGCACAGGCCTGGAGGAGGAGAACTCCACCTACCCCTCACGACAGCCACTTCCTCGCCCCGACCCTACCCAGTGGCCTCTCCCTAGAGCTGGGGGCTTCTGGGGGGCCAATGAAAAGAGCAGGGCAAGTGTCGAGTCTCACCTCACCCCCTCTGTCGGGCACCAGGGCCCCCCAGGAACTCCCAGCTGCCCCTCACAGCCCCGCCTTAGCCTCAGTCACTAAGGCCCTGTCCAGCCCCGCCCTGAGAAGCCGACTTGTCTCTGGGGCAGGCAGGGGTGTCCCCAGGACACAGTGAGGAGAGCCTTTTCCTTCAGAACCTGCTGTCAGGCAGGGAGGGAGGTGCTCCCTGGGGAACACCCGGGTTCTGAGCCTCAAGGGGTGGCCTTAGGAACTTTGCCTGAGGGAGATCTTAGGGGAGGAGCCAAGCCAGGGCAGCCTGGGCTAGGGAGGCAGGTTCCAGACACCCCGACACCAAGGGCCGAGCCCCCGCCCCCAGCCCCCAGCTTCTCTCCCACACCCTAGCCCTGCCCCTGCCCTGCCCCTACCCCCACGGCACCCATGAGCCGCTCTCCAGTCCCTTCTGCCCTGTGCCTCGGTGCCTGTGACCTGAGCCCCCTGGTTGACCCCTGCACTCAGTCCAACTTGGGCCAAACGACTGCCCCTCCTTCTGGCAGTGGGCTGGACCAGCCGGCCAGCGGGAGCCCCCTTGGCAGAAGCCGGTCGTAAAGGATCATAAACTGGGCGGCGTCTGGCTGGGGCGAAGGTCGCTGAGGTAGGAACTGCGCCAGTCCTAGACGCCAGACCCGCTCAGACCCTCCTGCCAGGTGACAGCCGCCAAGATGGGGTCTTGGGCCCTGCTGTGGCCTCCCCTGCTGTTCACCGGGCTGCTCGTCCGACCCCCGGGGACCATGGCCCAGGCCCAGTGTATGTGCGGGCAGGGGTAGGTGGGGCACGGGCGGCGGGGAGCCAGGGGCTGGGAGGCACTGATCCCTCCTCTGCAACCTTACAGACTGCTCTGTGAACAAGGACATCTTTGAAGTAGAGGAGAACACAAATGTCACCGAGCCGCTGGTGGACATCCACGTCCCGGAGGGCCAGGAGGTGACCCTCGGAGCCTTGTCCACCCCCTTTGCATTTCGGATCCAGGGAAACCAGCTGTTTCTCAACGTGACTCCTGATTACGAGGTGTGGGCGGCAGGCGGGCGGGATATGGGGGTCCCGGGAGAAGGGCACCTGCATCCTCAGGCCACACCTCCCTTGGGGGCCTAGGAGTTCTATGCCTGCGGGCATCCACTGACACCCATGCTTGGTGGTGCCTGCCCTAGAAGGCTGGGCCATTTCGGGATGAAGCTGCCTGGGCCCACACCCTCAGCACTGACCACTGATGATGGGGACCCTGGGCCAGCGCCTGCCCACTTGGCCTCAGTCTCCCCACCTGTGGGGCAGGACGGTGACTGCAGACCTGTCTACATCCACAGGAGAAGTCACTGCTTGAGGCTCAGCTGCTGTGTCAGAGCGGAGGCACATTGGTGAGTCCCCGCCCCGCTCTCCCCGCCCCACCCGGCCACCTCTGCTGGGCTCTGCCCTGCCGGTCCAGGACCAGTCTTTGATGACGTCAGCTAGGGTGTGGTTTCAAATTCCACCCCCCCGAGGGTGATGCCCACATTTCCTCCAGTCCAGACTCTGCCCTGAGCTGTGGAGTCCCCGTCACTGACCCCTTGTCCAGCAGACACCCCATCCAGTGTGCCCAAGACTCCCACCCACTCCCTCAACCATCCACAAGGGAGGCACCTTTATCCTGCCAGTCACGGGGACCACCTTGGTTCCCACTCGCCCTCCCTCCCCACGTGTCCCCCACAGCCCCCCACTGGTAAATCTGTTGGCTGTGCCCCAGCTCGACCCAGAAATCCAGAGTCTGTCCACCTCCAGTCCCATCAGGGCCGGGACACCAGCACTCATTTTGGGAAACTTCCAGCTGGCCCACCGGCTTCCCTGTTGCCCTTTGCTGGCCCCAGTCCACTCCACGTGGCAGAACAGCCCCTGTGGATGTTGTAAACCAAGGCTGCCCAGCCCACCCCAGCCCTCCACGGCTCCTTTCTCACCGAGTCAAACCCAGACATACTGTGCAGAGGCTCCACTGCAGCCTCAGGGCTCCCGCCAGGCACGCCCCTCCCTCACCGGCTCAGGACTGCAGTCTTCAGAGAAATCCCAACCACCCTATGCCCTGTTGCATCCCAGCCCCGCTCCCCCAACATCCTGCTTCTTGACCGGCGGCATTTTTTTCGGCTTTATTAAGGAAAATTGCAGAATCCTGAGGCCAGCACAGGCCCCCTCACCTACCAGCACACAGCAGGCTCTGTGCCCTCCATGCACCACGGCACGTCACCTGCACATATCTTGGGATATGTCTCTGAAAGAGAGAGACTCTTTTTTGAGACAGAGTCTCACTCTGTCACCCAGGCTGGCGTGCAGTGGAGCGATCTCGGCTCACTGCAACTTCCGCCTCCCGGGTCCAAGCGATTCTCCTGCCTCAGCCTCTTGAGTAGCTGGGATTACAAGCATGCGCCACCACGGCCGGCTAATTTTTGTATTTTTAGTAGCGACGGGGTTTCTCCATGTTGGTCAGGCTGGTCTCAAACTCCTGACCTCAGGTGATCTGCCCGCCTCGGCCTCCCAAAGTGCTGGGATTACAGGTGTGAGCCACCGTGCCCGGCTGACAATCCAGTTTCTTCACAAATAAATCTCCAGGAAAAAAGATGGGAGAAAGGGAAAGGTACAGATGAACAGAAACTCAGGAGAATTACCAACCAGGTCCATAATGTGGGCCCTGATTCAAACAAACAATTGTTAAAAAACCCTTCAGAGACCACGGGGAATGTGGCATCCTGGACATTTGAGGTAGAAAGTGACCGCTTTTCCCAGGTGTGACAACGACATTGTGGTTATGTTCTAAAAAGAAGAGTCCTGGCTGGGCGCCGTGGCTCACACCTGGAATCCCAGCACTTTGGGAGGCCGAGGCGGGTAGATCACCTGAGGTCAAGAGTTCGAGACCAATGTGGCCAAAATGGTGAAACCCCGTCTCTACTAAAAATACAAAAATTAGCTGGGCATGGTGGCAGGCACCTGTAATCCCAGCACTTTGGGAGGCCGAGGTGGGCAGAGGCCGAGGCAGGAGAATCGCTTGAACCTGGGAGGCAGAGGTTGCAGTGAGCCGAGATCACACCACTGTACTCCAGCCTGGGTGACGACAGAGCGAGACTGTATCCAAAAAAACCCAAAAACCAAAAAACAAAAACAAAAACCAAAAAAAAAAAAAAACAGAGAAAAGAAAATGGATTGTCTTTCCTCACCTGAGATTCTGCTGGCTGCATCCCCAAGTACCTGCATTATTTTTCTGTGGAGCACCTGCCACCTCCTGGCTTTATAAAGTCCTTTTTGTCTGTTGTTATAAGTCCTGCCAGGACAGGCACCACCAGGCAGAGATTTGTCTCTTGTGATCTCTGAATCCCAACGCCTAGAGCTGTGCAGCCCCTGTAGCCCCCCAACAACTGAATGAGCGAGTGGACGGATGGCCGTCGAGGGGTGCACCCCACTCACGGCGGGGACGGGTGGCCGTTGAGGGGTGCACCTCACTCACGGCGGGGACGGGTGGCCGTTGAGGGGTGCACCTCACTCACAGCAGGGACGGGTGGCCGTCGAGGGGTGCACCTCACTTAGGGCGGGGACAGGTGGCCGTTGAGGGGTGCACCTCACTCACGGTGGGGACGGATAGCCGTCGAGGGGTGCACCTCACAACGGGGAGGGGCTGTGGGAGAGGCTGACGGCCACATCCTGCAGGTGACCCAGCTAAGGGTGTTCGTGTCAGTGCTGGACGTCAATGACAATGCCCCCGAATTCCCCTTTAAGACCAAGGAGATAAGGGTGGAGGAGGTGAGGCCAGCGAAGCCGCGGGGACTGGGCACGGGGGTGTGGGAGCCCAGGGTGAGGGCAGGAGGTGAGTGGTGGCCGGGGGCTCAACCACAGTGGGGGTCCACAGGGGCCAAGAGTGTGGCCGGACCAAGCCCCTCTCCCTCCCCAGGACACGAAAGTGAACTCCACCGTCATCCCCGAGACGCAACTGCAGGCTGAGGACCGCGACAAGGACGACATTCTGTTCTACACCCTCCAGGAAATGACAGCAGTCAGTGCCGCCCACCCTGCCCCAGCACGAGCCCCTCGCCTCTGACACCCACAGCCGCCCTCGCCCTCCAAGGCTCTTAGGCTCTGTCCTCCCTGACCCTCCCCAGGGTGCCAGTGACTACTTCTCCCTGGTGAGTGTAAACCGTCCCGCCCTGAGGCTGGACCGGCCCCTGGACTTCTACGAGCGGCCGAACATGACCTTCTGGCTGCTGGTGCGGGTGAGCAGGTCACCCCAGCCCCGAGTCCCACACACTTGAGGCCCCCCGGCCCCAGCTGCTCCCAGGCCTGATCCAGCACAGCCGTCTGTTGCAGGACACTCCGGGGGAGAATGTGGAACCCAGCCACACTGCCACCGCCACACTAGTGCTGAACGTGGTGCCCGCCGACCTGCGGCCCCCGTGGTTCCTGCCCTGCACCTTCTCAGATGGCTACGTCTGCATTCAAGCTCAGTACCACGGGGCTGTCCCCACGGGGCACATACTGGTAATGGGGAGGGAGGGGCAGTGCACGGGGCAGGGCCTTCTAGGCAGGCTGGACACAGGGACGGCCAGGATCAGGAGAGGAAGGGCGGGGTCGGGGTCAGGGGGTGGGGCCGATTTCGGTCGTGATTTTGAAACAAATGCAGACTCTCCTTGTAAACCAACCCTTCCCATCTTGAGCGGTGAGGGAGCAAACCCTGAACACACAGGGAGGAGCGTGGGCCCCAGAGCCAGGCGGTCTCAGGGGCCTGGGGAGGTGGGCTGGGGCCCTGGAGCTCTTAAGGGATGCTGACATCTCTGCCCTGCTCACAGTCACCACTGGGCCCACACAGGCTGTCTGCAAACCTTCCTGGCACCAAGGCACCTGGGGCCACCAAACAGTACATGGGAGGCAGAAATGCAGACCCCGGGAGCCCCCACTTCCTAAATGTTTGCTTACCCGTCAAGACAAGCCTTGTGCAAATGGGACTCAGTATCTTTGGGCCACTGGACTCATTCATTAGTAAGGGACCCACAGGGGTGTTACTGATTGTGATGCTGGGACAAGGGACTGTCCTAGGCAGGCAGGGACGCCCGGCCACCAGCGGGACTGGGCCCCTCCTCAGCCAACCCTGCCCTTGATGGGGAGTCAGAGGGGCCAGGCTGGGGCCATCCACCCCAGCCCCACGACGTGCCCTCCCTTCCGCCATCCCTGAAGCCATCTCCCCTCGTCCTGCGTCCCGGACCCATCTACGCTGAGGACGGAGACCGCGGCATCAACCAGCCCATCATCTACAGCATCTTTAGGGGTGAGTGGGGCCCAGCCCTCAACAATGCCCTGTACCCCCTCTGTCCCTGTCTCCATCCCCACCTTGGGCAGAGCTGGCTGGGTCCCTGGGCCTCAGGGGGCCGGGGCTGAGCACTTCCATCATCCTCCCAGGAAACGTGAATGGTACATTCATCATCCACCCAGACTCGGGCAACCTCACCGTGGCCAGGAGTGTCCCCAGCCCCATGACCTTCCTTCTGCTGGTGAAGGTGAGGTGGGCACCTGCATGGGGGGCAGGGCAGAGGGGGAAGGGTGGAAGGTAGGGCGGGGGGTCAGGGCTGGGGGGCCGGGGCAGGGCCCCCGCCAAGTCTGCACCTGCCTTTCCTGAGCCCCAGCCTTCAGCGCCAGCTCCACCTTCAACCCCACTAGTCACTGCTGCCTCCCCCGCCTCCAGGGCCAACAGGCCGACCTTGCCCGCTACTCAGTGACCCAGGTCACCGTGGAGGCTGTGGCTGCGGCCGGGAGCCCGCCCCGCTTCCCCCAGAGACTGTATCGTGGCACCGTGGCGCGTGGCGCTGGAGCGGGCGTTGTGGTCAAGGATGCAGCTGCCCCTTCTCAGCCTCTGAGGATCCAGGCTCAGGACCCGGAGTTCTCGGTAGAGAGTGCATCCAAGGCCTCCCCTCTGTGGGTGGGTCAGGGCTGTACGTGGGAGGCAGCCTGGCCGGGGACTCAATGAGACCCTGTCCAGGACCTCAACTCGGCCATCACATATCGAATTACCAACCACTCACACTTCCGGATGGAGGGAGAGGTTGTGCTGACCACCACCACACTGGCACAGGCGGGAGCCTTCTACGCAGAGGTGCGGGGCAGGGCAGGCGGGCATCTCCAAGGGTGTGGGGCTTAAAGATGTGTCTAGGAGGGACAAGCCCCTTCCTGCCCCAGGTTGAGGCCCACAACACGGTGACCTCTGGCACCGCAACCACAGTCATTGAGATACAAGTTTCCGAACAGGAGCCCCCCTCCACAGGTAAGCCCCCCTCCACAGGTGAGCCCCCAGGGTTCTCCAAATAAGCCCCTTCGGTGGCTCCTTTCCCGCGGTAGGTGTGCAAGGGGCGGGCAGAGGCAAGCCCAAGCACTGTTCCCGGCCCCCAGATGTCCCCCCATCCCCAGAGGCTGGAGGAACAACTGGGCCCTGGACCAGCACCACTTCCGAGGTCCCCAGACCCCCTGAGCCCTCCCAGGGACCCTCCACGACCAGCTCTGGGGGAGGCACAGGCCCTCATCCACCCTCTGGCACAACTCTGAGGCCACCAACCTCGTCCACACCCGGGGGGCCCCCGGGTGCAGAAAACAGCACCTCCCACCAACCAGCCACTCCCGGTGGGGACACAGCACAGACCCCAAAGCCAGGAACCTCTCAGCCGATGCCCCCCGGTGTGGGAACCAGCACCTCCCACCAACCAGCCACACCCAGTGGGGGCACAGCACAGACCCCAGAGCCAGGAACCTCTCAGCCGATGCCCCCCAGTATGGGAACCAGCACCTCCCACCAACCAGCCACACCCGGTGGGGGCACAGCACAGACCCCAGAGGCAGGAACCTCTCAGCCGATGCCCCCCGGTATGGGAACCAGCACCTCCCACCAACCAACCACACCCGGTGGGGGCACAGCACAGACCCCAGAGCCAGGAACCTCTCAGCCGATGCCCCTCAGCAAGAGCACCCCATCTTCAGGTAGCACCCACTCTGTTGCCTTCCCTCCCTGACTCCGGTCATTGGCTGGTATGGGAAACGCTGTAGGAAGGGTCCACCCCAGGCTGACCTGGCCTGACCATGAAATCCCAAAGAGGAGTCTGTTTGGGACTGACAGACACAGACAGGCCCAAGGCCCCCAGTGAGGTAACCTGTGATGTGTGTAGGACAGAGGCCAGATGTGGGGTCCAGCGAATCCCACGATTCCCACGGCTGCCGCTCACCCTGCAAGTCCCTGCACCTCTTGTGAGCTCCTGTGAGCAGCTTGGCCTCCCGGGGGGGAGGGGGTGGGCAGGGTCTCGATGGGACACACAGGCCCCTTGAGCCAGGGTCAGCAGAGCCTGAGATTTGGGAGACAGCCCAGGCCTGGGTGGAACCCAAGTGTCCCAAGCCTGGCACAGGTTGGCATGGGAAATGCCTGGGGCACTCAACAGTGCGGGGATGATGACGTTTTCCACTGCGATGCCAGGTGGCGGCCCCTCGGAGGACAAGCGCTTCTCGGTGGTGGATATGGCGGCCCTGGGCGGGGTGCTGGGTGCGCTGCTGCTGCTGGCTCTCCTTGGCCTCGCCGTCCTTGTCCACAAGCACTATGGCCCCCGGCTCAAGTGCTGCTGTGGCAAAGCTCCGGTGAGGCCCAGGATGGAGAACAGGGCAGGCGACCAGGCAGGAAGTGGGGGACGGGGGACAGGAGAGGGGAGGGCAGAGGGACAGATGTGGAGACGGAGGGGTGTCCAGCGTGGAATGAGGGTGTGCAGGGCCAAGGCTGCAGAGACCCAGGGACCCCGCTGACGCCTCGACTCCCGCCTGCAGGAGCCCCAGCCCCAAGGCTTTGACAACCAGGCGTTCCTCCCTGACCACAAGGCCAACTGGGCGCCCGTCCCCAGCCCCACGCACGACCCCAAGCCCGCGGAGGCACCGATGCCCGCAGAGCCCGCACCCCCCGGCCCTGCCTCCCCAGGCGGTGCCCCTGAGCCCCCCGCAGCGGCCCGAGCTGGCGGAAGCCCCACGGCGGTGAGGTCCATCCTGACCAAGGAGCGGCGGCCGGAGGGCGGGTACAAGGCTGTCTGGTTTGGCGAGGACATCGGGACGGAGGCAGACGTGGTCGTTCTCAACGCGCCCACCCTGGACGTGGATGGCGCCAGTGACTCCGGCAGCGGCGATGAGGGCGAGGGCGCGGGGAGGGGTGGGGGTCCCTACGATGCGCCCGGTGGTGATGACTCCTACATCTAAGTGGCCCCTCCACCCTCTCCCCCAGCCGCACGGGCACTGGAGGTCTCGCTCCCCCAGCCTCCGACCCGAGGCAGAATAAAGCAAGGCTCCCGAAACCCAGGCCATGGCGTGGGGCAGGCGCGCGGGTCCATGGGGGTCCCATTCACTCAGTCCCCTGTCGTCATTAGCGCTTGAGCCCAGGTGTGCAGATGAGGCGGTGGGTCTGGCCACGCTGTCCCCACCCCAAGGCTGCAGCACTTCCCGTAAACCACCTGCAGTGCCCGCCGCCTTCCCGAGGCTCTGTGCCAGCTAGTCTGGGAAGTTCCTCTCCCGCTCTAACCACAGCCCGAGGGGGGCTCCCCTCCCCCGACCTGCACCGGAGATCTCAGGCACCCGGCTCATCTCAGACCTCCCGCTCCCGACCCTACACAGAGATTGCCTGGGGAGGCTGAGGAGCCGATGCAAACCCCCAAGGCGACGCACTTGGGAGCCGGTGGTCTCAAACACCTGCCGGGGGTCCTAGTCCCCTTCTGAAATCTACATGCTTGGGTTGGAGCGCAGCAGTAAACACCCTGCCCAGTGACCTGGACTGAGGCGCGCTGGGGGTGGGTGCGCCGTGTGGCCTGAGCAGGAGCCAGACCAGGAGGCCTAGGGGTGAGAGACACATTCCCCTCGCTGCTCCCAAAGCCAGAGCCCAGGCTGGGCGCCCATGCCCAGAACCATCAAGGGATCCCTTGCGGCTTGTCAGCACTTTCCCTAATGGAAATACACCATTAATTCCTTTCCAAATGTTTTAATTGTGAGAGTATCTGATATTCTTGACTGAACAATGTAAAAAACCCAAAGGGGGCTGCGCACGGCGGCTCTCGCCTAAATCCCAGCACTTTGGGAGGCCGAGGTGGGCAGATCACCTGAGGTCGGGAGTTCGACACCAGCCTGACCAACATAGAGAAACCCCGTCTCTACTAAAAATACAAAATTAGCCGGGCGTGGTGGTTCATGCCTGTAATCCCAGCTACTCGGGAGGCTTAGGTAGGAGAATCACTTGAACCCGGGAGGCGGAGGTTGTGGTGGGCCAAGATTGTGCCACCGCACTCCAGCCTGGGTAACAAAAGCGAAACTCCATCTCAAAAAAAGAAACGCAAACGGTGCAGCTGCCCCTTTTTCGAGGCACGTCCACCTCCCATTACCCACTTCCTTTTTTTTTTGAGACTGAGTCTTGCTCTGTCCCCTGGGCTGTAGTGGAGTGGCTCCATCTCGGCTCACTGCAGCCACTCCCAACGCCCTCCACTCCTCCCTACTCCGCGCTGGCCGGGGCGGGGTTCCGCTGGTCGCATCCAATAATAAGAACAGGCGGCGCGCGCCCTTCCCGGAAACTCCCGCCTGGCCACCATAAAAGCGCCGGCCCTCCGCTTCCCCGCGAGACGAAACTTCCCGTCCCGGCGGCTCTGGCACCCAGGTACTGGGGACCCCAGACCCACGCGGTGCAGGCCGGGAGCGAGAGCCTCCGTGGGGGCTCCGTGACCCCGGAGGGGTAGAGCCAAGAGCTGGGGGAGCCTGAGAGATGAGGGTCGGGCGGGGAGGGAGGCGGAGGCGGAGGCGGGGTTCCGCGGAGCTGAGAACCGGACGGGGTGGGATCGAGGAGGGTGCGAAGCGCCACTGTTTAGGTTTCGCTTTCCCGGGAGCCTGACCCGCCCCTGACGTCGCCTTTCCCGTCTCCGCAGGGTCCGGCCTGCGCCTTCCCGCCAGGCCTGGACACTGGTTCAACACCTGTGACTTCATGTGTGCGCGCCGGCCACACCTGCAGTCACACCTGTAGCCCCCTCTGCCAAGAGATCCATACCGAGGCAGCGTCGGTGGCTACAAGCCCTCAGTCCACACCTGTGGACACCTGTGACACCTGGCCACACGACCTGTGGCCGCGGCCTGGCGTCTGCTGCGACAGGAGCCCTTACCTCCCCTGTTATAACACCTGACCGCCACCTAACTGCCCCTGCAGAAGGAGCAATGGCCTTGGCTCCTGAGAGGTAAGAGCCCGGCCCACCCTCTCCAGATGCCAGTCCCCGAGCGCCCTGCAGCCGGCCCTGACTCTCCGCGGCCGGGCACCCGCAGGGCAGCCCCACGCGTGCTGTTCGGAGAGTGGCTCCTTGGAGAGATCAGCAGCGGCTGCTATGAGGGGCTGCAGTGGCTGGACGAGGCCCGCACCTGTTTCCGCGTGCCCTGGAAGCACTTCGCGCGCAAGGACCTGAGCGAGGCCGACGCGCGCATCTTCAAGGTGGGGACCCCAGCCCCGCCCCGCCCCGGGTGGGAGAGCCCGCCTAGGACCCCGCGGGCCCGGCACACGTGTTCTGTCCCCCTCTTCAGGCCTGGGCTGTGGCCCGCGGCAGGTGGCCGCCTAGCAGCAGGGGAGGTGGCCCGCCCCCCGAGGCTGAGACTGCGGAGCGCGCCGGCTGGAAAACCAACTTCCGCTGCGCACTGCGCAGCACGCGTCGCTTCGTGATGCTGCGGGATAACTCGGGGGACCCGGCCGACCCGCACAAGGTGTACGCGCTCAGCCGGGAGCTGTGCTGGCGAGGTGAGCGACGCCGGCTGCCAAGGGCGTTGGCATTCGTCCTGCTTGGGCAAAGGGGAACATTCTCTGGGTCAGATTTGTGGTTTTAGAAGCTGTTCTGGGAGAGGCTGCCAGCAGGCCCAGGACAGGTGGAGAGCCACATCCCCACCTCCTCAGGCCACAGCCTAAGGGTTCACAGCCAGGAAGCTGGTGGGGGCTACACCAGGCTCTCCTTGTATCTCTCACTCTGGTGTCGGGGCCTAACGCCTGCCCCATTCTCTCTCAGAAGGCCCAGGCACGGACCAGACTGAGGCAGAGGCCCCCGCAGCTGTCCCACCACCACAGGTACCCTTCTCTCTGCCTGCCTCTCCTCCTGCCAGGCCGCGGAGCTGCTTACGTTCACCCTGACTTTTCCCTGCAGGGTGGGCCCCCAGGGCCATTCCTGGCACACACACATGCTGGACTCCAAGCCCCAGGCCCCCTCCCTGCCCCAGCTGGTGACAAGGGGGACCTCCTGCTCCAGGCAGTGCAACAGAGCTGCCTGGCAGACCATCTGCTGACAGCGTCATGGGGGGCAGATCCAGTCCCAACCAAGGCTCCTGGAGAGGGACAAGAAGGGCTTCCCCTGACTGGGGCCTGTGCTGGAGGTGTGGGCGTGCCCGGGGAGGGGGGGAGCGCGGGAGGGGCCAGTGCACCTGGACGGACACTTTAGAAGGGGGCTGGGGATTGGGGAGCTGGAGAATTAGGAGGGGACCACCGTTCCCACTGTCCTCCCCTCCTCAGGCCCAGGGCTCCCTGCTGGGGAGCTGTACGGGTGGGCAGTAGAGACGACCCCCAGCCCCGGGCCCCAGCCCGCGGCACTAACGACAGGTGAGAGGGGTAGGGGTTGGGAGGCCTGGGGCACAGGGAGAGGCTAGGGATGAGGTGCCAGCACAGGATTCCCTTCCGGATGCAGGCGAGGCCGCGGCCCCAGAGTCCCCGCACCAGGCAGAGCCGTACCTGTCACCCTCCCCAAGCGCCTGCACCGCGGTGCAAGGTGAGTGCATCCCAGGAAGGGGCAGCCTGTCCCCGCCCACCCCCGTCACTCACGGCTTGTCCCCGCCCACCCATCACTCACATCCTGTCCCCGCCCACCCCCGTCACTCACATCCTGTCCCCGCCCACCCCCGTCACTCACAGCCTGTCCCCGCCCACCCCCGTCACTCACAGCTTGGTCTCCACACAGAGCCCAGCCCAGGGGCGCTGGACGTGACCATCATGTACAAGGGCCGCACGGTGCTGCAGAAGGTGGTGGGACACCCGAGCTGCACGTTCCTATACGGCCCCCCAGACCCAGCTGTCCGGGCCACAGACCCCCAGCAGGTAGCATTCCCCAGCCCTGCCGAGCTCCCGGACCAGAAGCAGCTGCGCTACACGGAGGAACTGCTGCGGCACGTGGCCCCTGGGTTGCACCTGGAGCTTCGGGGGCCACAGCTGTGGGCCCGGCGCATGGGCAAGTGCAAGGTGTACTGGGAGGTGGGCGGACCCCCAGGCTCCGCCAGCCCCTCCACCCCAGCCTGCCTGCTGCCTCGGAACTGTGACACCCCCATCTTCGACTTCAGAGTCTTCTTCCAAGGTCAGTGAGGCCCTTGCCTGGGGGGCTGTCTCCAGGGGTCCTTGGGAGCACCTGCCTGCCAGGTACTCAGCAGAGTCCCCTTCTTCAGAGCTGGTGGAATTCCGGGCACGGCAGCGCCGTGGCTCCCCACGCTATACCATCTACCTGGGCTTCGGGCAGGACCTGTCAGCTGGGAGGCCCAAGGAGAAGAGCCTGGTCCTGGTGAAGGTGAGACCAGAGCCTCAAGGAGGGGAGGCCATGTGCTCAGGCCCACTGACAGACGCCTGATGCCCTCAGAGCCTCGGAGAGGGGGAGGGGAGGCCATACACCGGGTCACTGACAGACGCCCGACGCCCTCAGAGCCTGGGGAGGGGGAGGGGAGGACACACGCCGGGTCACTGACAGACGCCCGATCCCTCCTGGCAGCTGGAACCCTGGCTGTGCCGAGTGCACCTAGAGGGCACGCAGCGTGAGGGTGTGTCTTCCCTGGATAGCAGCAGCCTCAGCCTCTGCCTGTCCAGCGCCAACAGCCTCTATGACGACATCGAGTGCTTCCTTATGGAGCTGGAGCAGCCCGCCTAGAACCCAGTCTAATGAGAACTCCAGAAAGCTGGAGCAGCCCACCTAGAGCTGGCCGCGGCCGCCCAGTCTAATAAAAAGAACTCCAGAACACGTACTGGCATCTTGGCTGGTGGGGAATTGGGTCCAGGCTGAACACGGGTGAGGCCCAGGGAGGGAGGGGACCTCCACGGCCTCCCTGCACACCAACTCACTTCTGTCTTCACCACACACATCACAGCCAAGCTTTGACTCAAAGAACAAGACCCTTGACAGGCCAGTGGCCGCCAAAGCCACTCCCACCAGCTGTGCCAAGGGCAGGGACAGCATTTCCCCATGCAGGACACCTGTCGCCAGCCCTCAGGCTGCCACTGCTGCACCCTGCCTCCAGGAGGCAACGGTGTTGAGTGCAAACTCGAGCAATTATTTACAAGAGCACAACATAATTGGAAAAGAGAAAGTAAAGATATTCCTAATTCAGAGCCAAAGGTACACAGCAGCTGTTGGCGGGAGGCCACCTAGAGATTTATCAAGGACGCGCCACCCCACCAGGAGCCCCTCTTGATCACCAAGTGCTTTATCTTCCAAGTAGTAAGTCAATCAAGAGGTTTCTAAAGATAATCCATTTTTGATAAATTAGAATGGAAACAGTGTCTCTATAATATACATACAAAAGTGTCCAGTTTTCAACTGTGAGCAACACAGGTGCACAGACCAGGTGTCAGCGCAGGAACCCGACGGCAGGCATGGTGATGCCCCCCATTTCCCGCCACTCCCGACAGCTCCCCGGGCATGGCCCCGATTCCCGCCACTCCCGACAGCTCCCCGGGCATGGCCCCGATTCCCGCCACTCCCGACAGCTCCCCGGGCATAGCCCGTGATTGCCTGGCCTCAGCCCTCGGCCCCCTGCGTGGGCGGCTCCTCCCCGGCCTCTGGTTTCTTGTGCCTGCGCATGTGCCTGTACTTGTCCACGTACGCCTTCACCAGGTTGGCCACCTTCACGGGGTTGATCTCTCCACTCTTGCTGTGGCAGATCTGGAGAAAGAGGTGCAATCACCAAATGCCCTTTCACATCCAGATGTTCCGGGCCAGAGCCCAGGGCCAAAGCTGGGCTCCCTCGCCTGCCCTGCTCAGGAGCAGGCCCTAGGTGCAGCACGCAGACAGACGGCGGCAGAGGCCGCCCCACCTATGTGAGACCCCCGTCCTGTTCGCTATGCCGCTCACAAGGCCACTGAGGGTCCCACGGTGTCGGTGGGCGGGGGGAGCATGGGCTGAGACGTCACCAGGCAACTGCTCACCTCTGGGGGTCGTTCTCCCACCTGTAAGCTGGGCGTGGGCTGGGTAGTTTTAAATTACCCAGGGTGCACTGAGGCACCCTCCTTCCTAAGCATCTGCCAGGGGCAGCCACAGGCGAACAGGCTTGACCCCAGGCCTACAGGATGTGGCAATACAGCCCCCTGACCCCTAACCTGGCTGGCTGACCTCGGGCCTGCACTCATGGCCACCCCAAAGTCCATGCTGACGAGACAGCAGCGACGTACCGCCCGTGACCCCGAGCCCCACACACAGGCTCGCACACAGCCCACCTTCTGCACGGCCTTGCGCAGGATGTCCTTGTACTCCTCCTTGGTCACCTCCCTCTTCTGGTAGAAGGGCTTGATGGCCAGCTTCACCTCCTCCACAGCACGCTCCTGCATGTGCAGCTTCTTCATGTACTAGAGGGGACATGTGTGTGATGCGGCCAGGAAGGGAGCCGGGAGTCCCTCTGGCCAGAGGCACTGTGGTTCTGGACACCCTTGCAGTTCCAGAGGCACAGCGACCAGCTTCCGCCCATAAACTCAGCCCCAACAACTTTAGTTTCAAAGTAAGATGGGAACATGGGGAAAGTGGGAGGAGGCAGGACTCACCTCCTCCTTCTTGGTTTTCTCCGCAGCTAGCCTGGGGGCCGGGGTCTTCTCCTCCGAGTTGCTGGCTGCAGTGGCTTGACTGGCTGGCTCTGAGGCTGGGGTCAGGGCAGCGGGCACTGGGGCCAGGGTCTGTGCTGCCCCACAGCCCACTAGCGGCAGGCTCCCCTGAAGGATGAACTGGACCGTGGGCTGGCTGACCAGTGCGCAGGGTGGGATGCTTGAGGGCTGGGCCGGGGCAGGCGGCAGGCCGGGGCTGTAAACCTGGGAGGGACACCCCTGCTGAGCACTGGGCCCTACAGCTAGCAGCTCTGTGCCCAGGAGCTGTGAGGCCTCAGCCCCAGCCTAGTGTGGTGTGTGTGGCACGGGTGCCAGGCCACTGCCCACGGCCCACAGCCCTCCAGCCCAGACACCCACCTGAGAGGGGTCTGTGTCTGGGAACCCGGGTTCCGGAAGCACGTGACTGGGAAAGGGCAGCTCGGAGAACACCTGCCTGACCCCTGTGGGGGCCACATCCTCCATGTCCCAGGCTCCTTCTCGGGGCTTCTGTGGCCTGTGAAGTGGTGCCCCTGGGGGCCCGACAGACAGGGAGGTGGGTGCTCTGTGCCCACCCCTGCCCAGAATGCTGTTTCATGGCTGGAAAAATCCAGAAAAGCACCAGGAGCAAGGACCACAGAGCAGCCCTCAGATCCACCCCCAGCACCAAGGGGAGGTTGCGAGGTGTGCCAGCTCCTAGCCACTGATCCCCGACCATGACCTGTTCTGCCCACCTGCAGGAGACCCCCACACCCACTATCCCAGTGTTCCCTGGCTCCAGAAGCTCCCTGTGGTGGCCGGGGCCCTACTCACTCAGGGGCCCTGTCCTTGACAGGAGTCAGATTCACAGGGGGCTCTGTTCTCAGCGGAGGCCAGGGCCCTACTCACGGGGGGCTCTGTCCTCGGTGGAGGCCGGGGCCTTACTCACGGGGGGCTCTGTCCTCGGCGGGGGCCAGGGCCTTACTCACTGGGGGCTCTGTCCTCGGTGGGGGCCGGGGCACTACTCACGGGGGGCTCTGTCCTCGGCGGGGGCGCTGCTCTCCGACTCCTGCAGGTTCCAGGTGACCCGCTTCACCAGGGCTCTGGACCGCAGCAGGGGGGTCTGCGAAACCACCTCCTCAGGCCGGGCTGCCTCCTGTACCCTCCCACTCGCAGAGGGGCTGTCTTCCTTCCCCGCAGGCGCCACATCCGGGGAACTGGGTGCCTCAGCCTTCTCAGCCGCGTCCGGCCTGAGCAAATGTGGCTCCTGGGTGCCCTCTGGCAGGGGTGGGGGCTGCGAAGGGTCTTCATCGTGCATCAATGACACCTCCCTCTGGATGGCGGCCACGGCCAGGCTGGCTGGGGGCAACGCAGGCTTCAGTGGGAAGTCTCGCTCCGGGGAAGAGTCTGTGCTTTCGGGAGAAGGTGGCGAGCTCATGTCATCGAGCTGGATGAAAACGGCGTCGCTTGAGAAATCATCAAAGACGTGTCCGGCCTCCACGGAGTCGCCATAATCCAGGTCCAGGTCGTCCGGCTCACACTCAGCTGCCACCTCCAGGACAGGGGGAGCCTGCAGGGGGGCCTTGTCGGCCGTAGCCACCTCCGGCGAGACATGTGCTTCCCCCAAGGCTGGCAACCTGGTGGGGAGGTCTTCCCGCCCTGGCTCCCCCTGTGCAAGGGGCGCTGGGGAAGCCTCCCTCACAGCCCCCTTCCTCTCTGGGGAATGGGACCGGGTCTGCGGCCACTTCTCACGGGACCGAGGCCGCCTGTGCTCCCGTGCCCTGTGCTCCGAGCTTGGGGACCGGGACCTCCGCTTCCTCCGGTCTCGGGGCCACGCCACACTCTCCTTCCTGTCTGGCCGCTCGTGGCTGCGTTCCCGCTGATGCTTGTGCCTGCAGAGCCTCTCCAGGCTGCTGGTGGGGGAGCACTCCCTTCCCCGAGGTCTGGACGCTGATCTCCTTTTCTTCTTCTTCCTACTCTCATAGTGCTCATAGGAAGAGCTGCCAGGGCTCCCCGACCGCGACCGGGACGTCCTCCGGCTGTGGCCCCAGGGGCCCCGCCTGTGCTCCCTGCTCTTGTCCTTGGCTTTCTTCCTCTTAGCTCGCTCTCGGCTGCTGGAGCGGTCACTGGAGGACCGCCGGCTCTTGGCCTTGGACCGCTGCCTCCTGGGGCGCTCCTCACCCACTGATGGTGACGCTGACCTCGAGCTCCTGTCCCTGGATTCAGAGCGCGTCCCAGAGCGCGTCCGTCCGTGCTCCCTGGACACCCTCTTCCTCTTGGCCTTCTTCCTGCTGCGGGAGCTGGATGTGGAGCGGGACCGGGAAGGGGGCCTGAGCTCCACGACTCTGTGGGTGGCAGCCTGCAGCACGTCCGGGCTGGGTGGGGCTTCCGGCTCCACGACAGTCACACAGGTCACCGTCCGCTCCTCAGAGCCAAAGAAGGTGCTGCAAGACGCCCCATCCTCCTCATCCCAGGGCTCTGGGGGGGATGGCCTCCGCAGCCGGGCAGCCAGGCCCTGGCTCTCTGTGGGCTCCTCTCGCTCCGTGTCAGAGGCCCCCTCGGCAGCCACTGCACCCCGGAGCTTGGACATGGCGGAGGACGGTCCGAGAGGGGGTTCGGGCTCTGTACCAAAGATGCTCTCCACCGTGTAGGAGGTGACGCAGCGCACAGCCTGCACCGTCTGGGCCTTCGGGCTGTTGATGGAGATGGTTCGTGTGATCTCAGAGGGCAGGAGGCCGGGGCCAGACCTCTCGGGGCTGCTGCCAGGGGCGCTGGAGTCGGAGCCGGTGGGGTCGGATGGGTCGTAGACCTCGCTCCGCAGCTGCTTCGTCTTCTTGATGGAGAAGAGGGGTGAGGGGTT
This sequence comes from Homo sapiens, assembly GCF_000001405.40. Classification (NCBI taxonomy): domain Eukaryota; kingdom Metazoa; phylum Chordata; class Mammalia; order Primates; family Hominidae; genus Homo; species Homo sapiens. Next base: position 607,889 of record NC_000011.10, on the reverse strand, counting down.
CTCCTTCCTCTGCTCCTTATCGTCCACAGGCCGGAACGTGTTACAGAAGCCAGGGCTGGAGAGCTGGCTGGAATGTGCCATGTTTCCAGGAATATTGATCCGGAAGCTCTCAAAGGTCGACCCGACCCCTTTCCCTCTTGATGGTCCCAGTGGGGCCAAACTGCCATGGGAGCTGGGGGCTGGGGGCCGGGAGCTGCCCGTGTGCACCCCGGGCTCCCGGGGCACCCTGCTGCTGGCCTCGCTCTCTGCCCGTGTGCCTCGCCCTGGCTGCCCGGTGCCCTCCCTGCCAGTCAGTCGGCTGATGCAGGCACTGGGGATCTCAATGCTCTGCCCGTGGGCCGGGGCCGCATCCCGTCTGCCACCACCGTCATCTCTCCTGATCTTTGGTATCCTGGGTAGCTCAGAGATGTCTGTTCTTCTGGGCGCTGGCTTCAGGGGAGGCCCCGGCACCACACTGCGACATGGGGGCTTAGAATCTCTGCTTGAGATCTTAGACGCGGCAGAGGCAAGGGGCAAGGTGTGCTTGTTGGTGCCGTTGAACCAGGGGCTGTGGCTCTGTCTGAAGCCAGGCACACTCCCATTTGACAAGTTCCGAGCCTGAACCGCCCCAGGGGCTGCTGGCAAGTCCAGCCTCACAGGCGCCCCCGCGGTGCGGGCGGGGGTGCGGGACCTGCCTTGACAGCTGAGCCCTGTGCTCTGTGGCCTGTTTCCTGACGGGCCTTGGGCCGGGCTCCCGGAGGGCAGTGCTCGGGGCTGCAGGCAGCCCTTGAATCCTTCTTCCCCTCTGGACAGACTGCCTGAGTTTCGCTGAAAAGAAACTGGAGCTAAAAAACAAAAAAGTCAATGGCAATCATTTCCCACCCACTCTTCTTAAATGTCAGTGGTTTAATTTTTATCACAACTGGTTTTCTGTGAGGTCGTGCGCTTTAAACTCCTGTCTGCCTGTTGAGGTGGACACCTCGCCTTTCCACACCCGGAGAGCTGCTTCAACAGCCACTCTGTGGATGACAAAGTACAGTGCCTGAGGCCATCAGGACACGATATTAACCAGGGGCGGGGGCAGTACCCCATCAGGACATGTTCTTATGAACATGAAGCTGTGGGGCTGGGTAAGAACTCGGAGCTAACTGAGAAACTGCTCAAGAAGGGAAATCAATGCAGAAAAATGGCTGAGGAATGGTCCCCCCAACTTCAGCTACATCTTCCGTGACTGAGACATGGGCTGAGTGCTTGCGAACAGCCTGAGGACCAGCAGCCCACAGAGGAAGGGGCCGTGGCAGGGAAGGCACTCACCCGCCCTCTTGGCGCTGAGGGAGCCGTCGCGGTGGATGATGACATCACTGCTGCCCAGCATCAGGAGGCTCTGGCCCGACAGGATGCTGCCCAGCAGGTCAGGCACTGGCTCCTCCTCCAAGTCTGGCTCTGGCACCGCGGCAGGGAGGCGCCTCCTGTGGGCACAGACCCAAGGCCCTGCCGTCACTGCCTCCCACGGCCTGAGGGCCCGCACCCAGGCAGAGCCCCGCAGCAGGCGGGAGCCAGGGAGAGTGGGGCTGGGCCGGGCCTGCGCCTCCCCCACAGCCCTGGCTCCGGCTGCTGTTCTAAGAGGTGCTCACCGGGGCCTCCCAGAGGGAGGGAGGGAGGGAGCCCCACCTCGCAGCTCTGGCCCCAGGGAAACCAGGCGTTTTTGGGAGAAGTCACCTCTGGTGCCTTTGCCACCCCCAACTCCACCAACAGGTGGGAGGGGGCAGACAAGCACCTTTACCTGTTTTGTTGGTTTTGGTTAATTTTTTGTTCTTGTGGCGAAACAAAAGAACTGGCCAAAAGGTGACCTCTGATGACAGCCTTATTCACCAGGGCCACTGCTCCTGCCCGAGGCGGTGTCCCTGTGCTGGTGGCTCTCAGGCCGGGGTGGGGGGCAGAGGGGCCACCTCGTGGAGCTGCAGCAACTCCCAGTCCACGCTCACAGGCAGGCCGTGGCCTCTGACACAGGATGGGCTGCAGCACTGCCTCACGCCAAGGGCCGACTGATGAGCATGACAGCTGAGGGGAGGTGCTGACGCCACCCAGGGCCACAGAGAGCCAGGCTATCACGGCCCCACCCTAGAACTCCCATCCGATGCCCAACTGCTGCCCCCACCTCCCCAGAAGCCTCTGCCCTCACACACCTGGAAAGCCCCACGGAGACGGGCCTGGCCACGGGCTGGTGGGACTGCAGGGCTGACCGGGACAGAGCCCGTCTCTTGGCACTCAGAGGGGAAAGAGGGTTTGCAGAAAGCTCTTCACTGCTAGAGGGGAGGACACAGGCCAAAGGGAACAAGTGACTCCCAGCTCCCAGAAACCCCAGCCCAGGGAGACGGCACGGAGGAGGATGGCCGAGCACTGGCCATGTGGCGGCACGTGTGATTCGGGCCCCGAACCAGACCTCTGAGTTCCACGCCACCCACCTGCACCGTATGGCGGTGGGAGGAATGGCCACCCTCACTCTCAAACACAAAACCTAACGCCTCCGCATGCACCTCGGGGCCCCGTGCCCACAGCCCCCAGGGAGAGGAGCGGGTGCCCAGGCAGGACCATCACCAGTTCACTCACCTGTCGAAGGGATCCAGCTCATAAGGATCTCCAAACAGAGACAGAGAGGCAGCTCCAATATCCGCTCTCAGCAGCCCCAAAGAGGGCTCCACTGGCTTCAACACTGACGGGATGCAGCTGCTGTGAACAGGCCTGCGCAGGCCCAGCGTCCGCGCGATTCGAGAGCGAGTGGTGGCTTCACTCTGAATCCAGTAACAAAGAAAAAGATGAACAGAGAGACGGGGATGGCATCTACGAGGGCTCTGTAAATGCCACGTGAAGCCTTCATCAGCAACAGTGAACACTAGAGCCGGAAAATACTAAGCCAAAGTCAATGGGCTTCTCAGGCATGATGACCGACAAGCAGGAACAATGCCGCACACATCGGCCGTGAAGCTCCTGCAGGCTACCAGAGGCTCTCGGGCATTGCAGTGTCACCATCACGTCGTAGTAGCATTAAGTGAAAACTCACAAAGAGGGAAACAAAAAATTCAACTGATGACTGACAGTAAAACCCCTTGATGGCTCACATCTGTAATCCCAGCATTCTGGGAGCCCAAGGCAGACAGATCATTTGAGGCCAGCTTGAGACCAGCCTGGCCAACATGGTGAAACCCCATCTCTACTAAAAATACAAAAATTAGCTGGGCCTGGTGGCGGACGCCTGTAATCCCAGCTACTCAGGAGGCTGAGGCAAGAGAACTGCTTGAACCCGGGAGGCAGAGGTTGCAGTGAACCAAGATTGCACCACTGTAACTCCAGCCTGGGGGACAGAGCGAGACTCTGTCTCAAAAACAAACAAACAAGAACACCAAAAAAGCCTTGAGAAGATGACACAAATTTAGATTTTAAGCGCTGTCATTATTCCTAAATTCCTAAAAACCCTAAGAGTTACTAGCTGTTTCCTTCTGATTCTAGGCAGAGCGGACAGGGCAGCCTCCCGCTGTGGCTGGGACTTCATCGCCTGAAGGCAGGCGTCGCCCCTCCCAAGGGTGAACACCCTCACGTGCCATCGGGCCCCCAGGCTGTGGTCCCAGAACACTGTCTGCAGAAGAAAGGAACCACAGAAACAGCATGCAGGACAAAAAGCTCAGGACGACGCCCAGGAGTGTTCTGGGCACAGGGATGGGAGACGAGGTTCCAACCCAGGCTCAGGGCACCCCGCAAAGCAAAGGGAGAGCCCAGGGGACCTGAGAACTGGGAAATAGCAGGTCCTTATCCAACACCTGGTCATGGCTTTAGCTTCTACTCCAGGAATTTTGTCTGAATGAATAAACAGATCGGATGTTCGAATAATGCATTTAAAACTAAAATAAGAGGGCCAGGCATGGTGGCTCACACCTGGAATCCCAGCAGTTTGGGAGGCCAAGGTGGGTGGATCACTTGAGGTCGGGAGTTCAAGACCAGCCTGACCAACATGGCAAAACCCCATCTCTACTAAAAATACAAAACTTAGCCGGGCGTGGTAGCACACACCTATGATCCCAGCTATTTGGGAGGCCGAGGTTGCAGTGAGCTGAGATCATACTACTGCACTCCAGCCTCAGCAACAAGAGCGAAACTCCATCTCAAAAAAAAAAAAAAAAAAAAAACAAACTTAAATATGGTTTTAGATAAATATGTATTATATGAGTTTATATTTACTAGGAAATAAACAATAATCTTGAGTATAAATTCACATAAAGATGCAGCAGACTTGGCGCTCACACCTGTAATCCCAGCACTTTGGGAGGTTGAGGCAGGAGGATCATTTGAGCCTAGGAGTTCAAGACCAGCTTGGGGAACGCAGTGAGACCCCGTCTCCACCAAAAAAAGAAAATTAGCTAGGTGAGGTGGCGTGAGCCTGTGGTCCCAGCTACTTGAGAGGCTGACGTGGGAGGATCACCTTAGCCTGGGAGGTCAAGGCGGGTGCAGTGAGCCAGGATCATGTCACTGCACTCCAGCCCGGGTAACAGAACCAGACTTTGTTCCCGCCCCAACCTAAAACAAACAAACAAACAACACTTTGTGAGGCTTAGATGACAAACTGCTTAAGCCCGGGAGTCTAAGACCAGCCTGGGCAACATGGCGAACGCTTGTGTCTACGAAAAATACAAAAACTAGCCGGGCACGGTGGGCTATGCCTGTAGTCCCAGCTACTCAGGAAGCTGAGGTGGGAGGATCACCTGGGCCTGGGGAGGTCAAGGCTGCAGTGAGCTGGGATTGAGCCATTGCACTTCAGCCTGGGCCACAGAGTGATACCATCTCAAAAAACAAAACAAAGGCTGGGCACGGTGGCTCACTCCTGTAATCCCAGCACTTTGGGGGCCGAGGTGGGCAGATCACGAGGTCAGGAGTTCAAGACCAGCCTGATCAACATGGTGAAACCCTATCTCTAATAAAAATACAAAAATTAGCTGGGCGTGGTGGCACACGCCTATAATCCCAGCGACTCAGGAGGCTGAGGGAGGAGAATCACTTGAACCCGGGAGGTGGAGGGTGCAGTGAGCCGAGATCGCACCACTACACTCCAGCGTGGGGACAGAGTGAGACTCCATCTCAAAAAAAAAAACAAAAAAAACAAAAACAAAACCAAAAAAGATTCAGCAAACACTTGAACAATGGCTGCAACTCAGTTTTGTTTTGTTTTGTTTTGTTTTTGAGGCAGAGTTTTGCTCTCGTCTCCCAGGCTGGAGTGCAGTGGTGCAATCTCGGCTCACTGCAACCTCTGCCTCCCAGGGTTCAAGTGATTCTCCTGCCTCAGCCTCCTGAGGCTGGGACTGCAGGTGCCTGCCACCACACCCAGCTAATTTTTAGTCTTTTTAGTAGAGATGGGGTTTCACCATGTTGGCCAGGCTGGCCTTGAACTCCTGACCTCAGGTGATCCGTCCGCCTCAGCCCCCCAAAGTGGTGGGATCACAGGTGTGAGCCACCGCGCTCGGCCGTAATTCAAGTTTTTACATATTAAGGTGTTTTAAATGTGCAGTCCGAGTGGACAAGGTGATACATTTAGTCCCGGTTTGAGCATCACAAACATGCACACGAATGACACACCACCCTCCACCCCATCAACACAGACAATAATTAGGGATCAACTAAAAATGAATATTAAATGTCTGGTCCATGATTTTGGATGGAAAGGGCCTAGGACAACAAACGCCACGACGTATACCAAGGAGGCCGCTCCCAGGGCCCAGCGAACATGGGTCAGAAGAGGTGGACAGGGCCTGTCAGACACGGCTTGTGTCACTCCTCAGAGCCAGGCTGGCCAGGCCTGCCTGAAACCCACAGCTGCTCCTGGGGGCCTCTGCCAGAGGGCTTGCACTGGCCTGGCTCACACCTGGCTCCCCGACCAGCTGATGGCTTCAGGAAGGTTCCTTGGGGGCACATGACCACCCCTCAACCCCTCAGTGTGCCTCAGGAAACAGCTGGCCTCAACCCCATCTTCAGTCTGTGCTACAGAAATGTTCATTTCCATCAGCAAATCACTGAGTAAATACAGAAAAGCAAAGACGATGATGATCCCTGCTCCATAACCGCGCGAGGGTGCCAAGGCCAGCGGGAGGCTTAGGCCCTGCTCCGTAACCACGCGAGGGTGCTGTGGCCAGCAGGAGACTCAGGCCCTGCCACCCAATGCTCACCTTTACCTTCTTCCCTCTTCTCTTCTTCACTCGATGTTGGCGTTTCTTAGATCTTGTCGCTGAGCTCTTACTTTTTGCGGATGGTCCGGACGGGGTTTTCTTTCTTCCCGGCACTTTCTTCCGTCTTCCTAAGGAAAAGAGGTTGAAGTCTGTGCTTCTCTGTGCTGGGCCCTCCCTGCCCCATTCCTGTGAGTCCAGCCCAGTGGACGGAGCCCAAGGAGCCGGTACAGCGGGACCACACGCACCGGCTTGCAATTTTTTTTTTTTTTTTTTGAGACAGGATCTTGCCCTGTCACCCAAGCTGGAGTGCAGTGGCACAATCTCAGCTCACAGCAGCCTCCAACTCCTGGGCTCACGTGATTCTCCTGCCTCAGCCTCCCAAGCAGCTGGAACTACAGGTAGGCACCACCGTGCCCAGCTAATTTTTTTTATAGATAGGGCTTATCATGTTGCCCAGGCTGGCCTCTGGGCTCAAGCGATCCTCCTGCCTCAGCCTCCTAAAGAGCTAGGATTACAGGTGTGAGCCACCACGCCTGCCCAAATTTTTTTCTGAGACGGAGTCTTGCTCTGTCACGAAGGCTGAAGTGCACTGGTGCGATCTTACCTCACTGCAACCTCCGCCTCCTGGGTTCAAGCGATTCTCCTGCCTCAGCCTCCCAAGTAGCTGGGATTACAGGCATGTGCCACCACACCCAGCTAATTTTTGTATTTTTGTATTATTTTGTTTTGTTTTTTTGAGACGGAGTCTCGCTCTGTCACCCAGGCTGGAATGCAGTGGCGTGATCTCAGCTCACTGCAATCTCTGCCTCCCAGGTTCACGCCATTCTCCTGCCTCAGCCTCCCGTGTAGCTGGGACTACAGGCGCCCGCCACCATGCCCGGCTAATTTTTTGTATTTTTAGTAGAGACGGGGTTTCACCGTGTTAGCCAGGATGGTCTCGATCTCCTGACCTCGTGATCCGCCCACCTCGGCCTCCCAAAGTGCTGGGATTACAGGTGTAAGCCACCATGCCTGGCCTAATTTTTGTATTTTTAATAGAGACAGAGTTTTGTTAAGTTGGCCAGGCTGGTCTTGAACTCCTGATCTCAGGTGACACACCCGCCTCAGCCTCCCAAAGTGCTGGGATTACAGGTGCGAGCCACTGTGCCCGGCGTCAAAGATTTTTAAACGGAGAAATAAACCATATATATATATATATATATATATATTTTTGGAGACAGAGTCTCACTCTGTCACCCAGGCTGGACTGCAGTGGCGCCATCTCAAACTCCTGGCCTCAAGCTATCCACCTGCCCCAGCCTCCCAAAGTGCTGGGATTACAAGCTACTCAGGAGGCTGAGGCACCACAATTGCTTGAGCCTGGGAGGCAGAGGTTGCAGTGAGCTGAGATTGCGCCATTGCACTCCAGCCTGGGCAAGATGAGATCCTGTCTCAAAAAAAAAAAAAAGGAATAAAAATAATGTGTTCCTATCGGGGAGAGACACAGAAAATGAGCTGCACCGAAGAACAGAGCCTGACATCCCTGAGTGCACCATTAGATATCTTACATAGTTCTCATCAGGGCCAGGCACCATGGCTCACACCTGTAACCCCAGCACTTTGGGAGGCCGAGGCAGGTGGACTGCTTGAGACTTTAACACAAATGAGCTCACTGCACATCTGTAGTGACATAAAGATTAAAACAATTTTAACTGCAAAAAACACCCAGCCAAACGCCCATCAACAGGACAAACTGTGGTATATTCATACAATGGAATATTTCTCAATAATAAAAAATCAGCCACAGACACAGGTAATTACAGAGATTCCCAGAGTACTGTGCTGAACAAAAGGAGCAAGTTGGGCCCCTGCACCAGACCCACAGACGCCGAGACCCCCGGAGCCCCAGGACCCTGCACCAGACCCACAGACGCCGAGTCCTCTGGAGACCCAGGACCCTGCACCAGACCCACAGACACTGAGTCCCCTGGAGCCCCAGGACCAGCACGACCGACACACAGTGATGCACATGGCCACAGGGCTGCTGGTGGGGCTGAAGTGTGGTCTCATAACTATTTCTGTGCTGGCTGGAATGGAAGTTACGTCTGTCAAACCTAGGACTACACACTAAAGCGAGTGCATTCACTTAATAAAAAGCACGTACGCTTCAGGCCAGGCGCAGTGGCTCAGAGGCCTGTAATCCCAGCACTTTGGGAGGCTGAGGTGGTCGGATCACCTGAGGTCGGGAGTTCAAGACCAGCCTGGCCAACATGGTGAAGCCCCATCTCTACTAAAAATACAAAAACTAGGTGGGTGTGGTGGCGGGTGCCTGTAATTCCAGCTACTTGGGAGGCTGAGGCAGGAGAAACACTTGAACCCGGAAGGTGGAGGATGCAGTGAGCCAAGATCATGCCACTGCACTCCAGCCTGGGAGAGCGAGACTCTGTCTCAAAAAAAAAAAAAAAAAAAGAAAAGAAAAAAAAAAAGAAAAAGTATGCATGCTTCAATACAGTTAATTTCTAAAAGATCACAGATTAGAACGCACTGAGTAAAGCAGGAGTCCATGCGTCTACAGTGACTTAAATCCCCACGAGGGAAAGGGAATGCTCTTCTGAGAGCCAAATGTGCACGCGCACCAGCGCCGGGGGTGTCTGACAAGGTGCAGTCCACGGCTCTCCCCAGGAGCGGCCCGTTAATTTTAAGGGAGAATTAGTCACTTCACAGTGGACCTCTGAGAACCAAGTCATCAAAGTTAACCAGCACTGGGACAAAATTACCAAAACTCACAGAGAAAAGGACTGAAAACCTGAACAGGGCAGAAGCAAGACAAGATGCGAAATCACTGATCTCAACTCGGCCCCCACAGAAAAGCCCAGGCCCAGATGGCTTCAGGGCGTATTCTGACAAATGTTTACAGCAAAAATAACAAGACTGCTTCCATAAACTTCAGGATGCAATCCTTCCAGAAAGCAGAGGGGAACAATGCGGGAAGGCCGGCATCACCCTGACACAATGCCAGAGGCAGCGTGGTCGCAGATCGGCACATCAGACCCACACCTCCCGGGCCCGGCGCGGCTTCTGTGTAGTGTTTTCAGCAGAGAAGATTAACTTGCAGAAAGAAGAAATGGAAATGCCCACAGCCTTGAGGGAAGCAGTGAGTGGACCTCGGGCGTGGGTCCCAGCCTGTGGCTGGCGGGAGAGTCCATCCCTTCAGGCTTACTTGTCTTCCTCTTCCGTCGGGCGGGAGTGCGCGGCGTCAGGGGGCGCTGATACACGGCAGTGCTCAGGCCAGTCGCCACAGCCTCGATGGCTTCATCCAGCAGGGAAGACCCGAGGCGCCCTGGTGTGTGCTACAGGCAAAGGGGTGGTGCCGTCAGATGCCCTTGGGGCCTCAGCCGGTCCAGCACAGACCCCAAATGGAGCCCAGAACACAGCCCACAATGGCAGCCAGAGAAGCAGGACAGCCTCCCCACCCGCCACTGCAGCAGCCACGGCCCGGCCTTCCTCTCCCCTGCCAGAGGCTGCCAAGCACTCCCACGGGGGCAAGGCGGGTGGGGGACAGACAGCATCCCAGGGGCACACGAGAGGGCACCAGTCACTGTGGCGGGGGTGGCGCAGGTACTGGGCAGGGCACTGGACAGGGACAGCCCCCTCCCCACCCAGCCTTCTCAGTCCACTCCAAATTCAGCGTTAGGCTTGCCAAGGGCACACACCACATGCCCACAGCCCAGACCCTCCTGCTTGTCCAATGCCCAGGGAAAGGCTGCTGTCAGGACGGAGGCTGCAGGGAGCACCTGAAACCGAGCACCAGGTCCAGTGCAAGAGGAAGGTGCTCACAGGTGCCTAGAGGGAGCGGTGCTGGCATGGGGCCTGGGGAACAAGGGGGGTTTCCTAGAGCCCCCACCCCGCCAGGGCCAGGCTTCACCTGCCCCTCAATACCTGGCTCCAGGTGCTCAGAGGCAGCCCCACCTTGGGCCGCTGGGGTCACCCTGGGGTGCACTCATCTGCTCCCCTCAGCAGGCCGAACAACATGAGCCACCGGGGCCGGGCGGACCCCACAGTGCCGACGACGCCCCTCCCACCCACCCAGACTGCCGAGATCACTCTGGGCAGCTGGGGTTCTACGACTGGCGTCAGGGCTGGGCCACCCACCTGGACCCTCCTGGCCGTGGAGATCCGGTTCCGGTTCACGGTTGCTCTCACTCTCTCACTCTGCCGTGTCCTGGCTATCGCCCGGGTCCTACCTGCTCGAGGCCGAAGCCTGCTGGTGGTGGGCACCACATCAGCCAAGAGCAGGGAGACCTCCTCCTCACTCACGGGACCCGCATCTGGGAAGAACCACCAGGGCTGATGTGCCACACTCACAGGCCACACGCCTCCCCCAACGGCTCCCCCTGTGGCTGCCGGCCAAGTAGCAGCCCTGGCTCGGGCTGACCTGTGCACAGGACCCAGGGCTGCTCATGGAGCCTGGTGCTCCTAACACTGAGGACCGGAACCCCCCAGCCAATGGACCCCACACACATCCCCGAGAAGACGAGCCCGAGACAGCCCTAGATGTCCTCCCGACACCGCAGCCAACCCTAACCCCCATGAGACAGCCCTAGATGTCCTCCCCACACAGCAGCCAAACCTAACCCCGGGGACCGCAGAGTGGACAGTGAGAAGGCCCATGTGCGCCTTGGGACGGGAGCAGTGTCCTTACCAGCGGCAAGGACAACACCAGGCGCAGCACATTCCGGGCAGAACCACTCGTCCACCGGCACCTCCTGGAGAGGGGGGTCCAAGCATTCCATGTGGTACCTACAGGAGAGAGCAGGGCCAAAGCATCCGGGTGCTGCTCACAGCTTTCCCAAACCTCCTCAAGTGAGGGGACCACAAAGCAGGCCTCCGATGGCACCCAAGTCTGCGATGCATTCTGTTATGGGCTGACCCACATCCCTCCAAAATTCATAAGAAGCCCTAACCCCCAATGTGACAGCAGATAGACATGGAACCTTTAAGGTTATAGGATTGGTGTCCTTAGATGAGGGAAGGCCAGGTGAGGTCACAGCGGGGAGGCGGCCGTCTGTAAGTCAGGAAGGGGGCCTCCCCAGGAACCAGGCCTGCTGGTATCTCAGATGTCTAGTTTCCAAAACCAAGAAAAGGAAGACCTGCGGTTTACGCTGCCCAGCCTGTGGTATCCTGACAGCAACTGAGCTGGCTGCGACACACGACACACACCCACAGGCCGACAGTGGCTCACACTGAGCTCCTGCGGTAGGTGCTGCCTGTGGGGCCCCCTTCCCAGAGAGCTTGTCTCCCCCACCCTCACTCCCGGGTTTTCAAACATTGCACCTCACACCAAGCCACTGAAGAAGGCGAAGGTTTCTTTGCTGAAAGGAAACTATGTTTTAATTGTTTCTATCGAGCCTTCTGGGAAGGTAGTTTGGGAAGTGCTGCCACTGGTATGAGGTATATGTGCCCCTCCAAGCAGCCGAGGCTCGGGAGTCTATGCAAAGATCCTTGAAACTTCATCCCAAAGACCCCAGACAGCCCTGAGTAAGGCAAAAACAATCAAGGGAAGGGAGTCAAGCTGATGATTTCCCTGAAAATTGAGCCTGAATTCAACTGAACTTAACTACCACTTACCACGGGCTGAACTGTTCTAGGATCTAAGATACGAGTTAAACAAGAGTAAACCCATTCTCCCAAGAGTCCTGCACCTATGAGAAGGTGTCTGCTGTGTGGCCCTTGCTAGGGCCATACAAGAAAGACAGGAGACAGGCATGCAGGAAGAGAAGCCGACTGCCCCGGGCACACGACACGCCCTGCCAGGCCAGCAGAGGGGGGCGGCGGGTGGGGGCACTCCAAGAGCCTAACTAGGTCCCCTAACATCTGTTCTTATACAAGTTCTCTGGGGACAAAGGCAAGGATGAGCAGTACCTTCTTTCAAAGAATTCCAAAGTCTGAAAACGTCCAACCCACTTTCCCACCACTGAGCTCCAGCAGCCTTGGAGGAGGCTGCGGCTCACCTGAGGCCCGAGCAGAAGGCCCCTCTGCGCCTGGCAGGCGCCCATCCACAGCCAGGCCAGGCCTGTGTCCCCCACACTCATCCCCGAGAAGAGGAGATTGGCTGCAAGTTTAAATACGAGCACGGGGACAAGGAGGGCTGCCGAGACCTGCCCAGCTACGGTGCAGGCACCCATGGCTCCACCTGCACAGGGAGCTTGGTGGCCCTGCAGCTGAAGGTGCTCAGATCTGACCTGCCCAGGGAGGGGAGGGCCACACCTAACAGGCCTCAGTGAGCCCCTGCACTGCCTCCCTGGTGAACACACACTTTTAAATTAGATTGTAACTTAAAAAAGAAAAAAATCAGAAACTGTATCTTATTTCATGTAATGTCAGTGTATCTACAGATAGTGTTTTTTTGTTTTTTGTTTTTAGTCTCTCTGGAGTGCAGTGGCGCAATCTCGGCTCACTGCAACCTCCGCCTCCCAGGTTCAAGGTATTCGCGTGCCTCAGCCTCCCAAGGATCGGGGGTTACAGGTGTGAACCACCACGCCCGGCCAATTTTTTTATTTTTAGTAGAGACGGGGTTTCGCCATGTTGGCCAGGCTGGTCTCGAACTCCTGAGCTCAGGTGATCCACCCGCCTCGGCCTACTGTGATTCCATTTTGACATGAGGAACTGAGTAATTTTAGACGTGTGATTTTTAAGTCAGACTTAACTGAAAATTTGGCAGACTGCAAATTGTAACAGTATGGAAATGTTTAGAAGTATGAGAATCGTTATATTGATCAGTTTTAATGTTTTAGATCCACCAGGGTTTTTATGTACTTGCGTTGTTTTATCTGCCAAGTAATTCAAGTAGTGTAGGTAGAAAGAAAATCAATATATCAAGTTTGTAAATGTAATTTATAATAAAAAATTTTAATTAAGCTGTAAACATTCCCAAGAGCCTTGTTAGAAGGTACTACAACTAGGTTGGGCATAGTGGCTCACGCCTTTAATCTCAGCACTTTGGGAGGCCGAGGTGGGCGGATCAATTGAGCCCAGGAGTTCCACACCAGTCTGGCCAACATGGTGAAACCCCGTTTCTCCATAAAATACAAAAATTAGCCAGGTGTGGTGGCATGTGCCTGTAATCCCAGCTACTGAGGAGGCTGAGGCAGGACAGTCACTTGAACCTTGAACCGAGGTTGCAGTGACTCGCTGCAGAGGTTGCAGTGACTCGCTGCAGAGGTTGCAGTGAGCCAAGATGGCGCCACTGCACTCCAGCCTGGATGACGGACCAAGACTCTGCCTTGAAAAAAATAAGTAAATGAGTAAAATAAAAGCTAACAGGAAAACCAGGCTTTGTGCGTGAAAACTGGCCTACCAGCTGCCCTCGAGCCACTAGAAGGCTCACGGCCCTGGCCTGCGATGAGGGCCTTGCCCAAGACGGTGCCTGTGGCGACCAGGACCAGGTCTATCATGCCATGGTCTCTCAGGCCGTGTCCAGCGATTCCAGGCCAGCCCAGGCCCTTCCTTCACATGCCCAGAGTGGCCGCAGCCACAGGTAAAGAGGACAAAAGAGGACCAGTCCTACACATGGGCATGGAGTGCTGAGCCACCCCTCCACCTTTTTTTTTCTTTTTAAGCATTCTGCATATATTCACGGTGTAAGTCAGTAATCAACAGCCAATAAGCACTGTGCCCAGGGCTGCAATGACCAGGCTGCTGGGATAGTCAAGGCAGCAGCCCTGCCCTTCAGACTCACAGCAACCAACTCAGTGCCTGCCGGGGCAACTGGCAGCAGACGCTCCCAGGAACCCTGAGGAGGTGAGGACCGTCAGGGCAGAGCACTCAGGAAACTCACAAAACATGGATTTAGGCTCAGACTCGTGAGAAAGGAGGGACGGCGAGGTGTCTGCGAATGTGAGCAGAGGCGTGGCTATCTCCCGGCTGCTGGGAGCAGAGGGCAGGACCAAGCAGGGGCTGGGGACCTGGAAGGGCCGGCGGAGCGCACTGCAAGGCCCCTGTACTCCCACAGGCCATGAGGAGGAGGGCGAACTGACGATGAGACAAACGTGGTGGCCGCCTGCAGGACCCCCAAGGAGGCCCCTGCAGTGTCTGCAAAAGGACAGCCAGCGATTCCTGCACCAACAACAGCGTGAGTGGAGCAGAGGCCTGGGTATGTGGCTAACAACGAGGTGACAGGTGGGGGCACAAGCGGCTGTGCTCAAGGACGAGTCAAAGCTGGGACGACCGGGACCACCCGCCACAGAGCAAAGGCCTTCACCAGGAGCCCATCCTCGGTGCGGCTCCAGCCGCGGCACGTCAAGGCCTCCTGGCTCCGGCTGTTCCGTAGTCCAAACCCTGACCCAGCTACTTCCCACCCAAGAGAAGGCCCCAGATCGAGCAGCCTCACTGGTTCTTTCAACAAGGGAAAGATTTCCAGAATCCTCTCTCCATAATTTCACAGCAGAAAAATTATTCAAATCAACAGGGAAAGCCCCTCGCAGGAGGCTAACGGGGAAGGGGGCATCTGCTTACAGCCAACGACACAAAGCAGGGATGAGGAGACAAGTGTCACAGGCTCCCGGGAAGCCAGGGCCACGCAGGGCCAGAGCAGGCGCTCTCAGCTGTGCCAGGGAGAGCAGCAGGTGCAGCATAACTGGACATGCACCAGAGGGTGAAGGAGGAGCAGGGTGAAAGGTGAGGGACCAAGGCAGCCAGAATGATGGACGCAGGCATAGCCACCCCTCCCCCACAAAGGCCGGGACCAGGACACGTCCCACCCTCTGGCTGACCAGCCCCACAGCCTCCTGTCCGGCTGTTTTCTTTTTTGTCTTGATGTATTACCTGCACTTCTGTGGGCAGCCTCAGAATGTTTTTTGGGGAAAGACTGAAGTGTAAATGAGTGTAACAGGAAGGCCCGCAGGACTGAACCGCGCTGCTGAGGGTGGTGAGCACAGCTCCAGGTGCTGGGACTCAGACTTCACAGAGCGAAGAGGCTCTGCATCCCTCCTGCGCCTGGCCCGCCTTGCACGCAGCAGGGCACGTGTGCCAGTCCCAACCGTCCCTTACCCCGCATCGCAGCCGTCGCAGAGCAAAAGCCTGTCCTCACGGTCGCTCCTGCCGCACACCTCACAGAAGGTCGGGTCCTCCTCCTCCTCGCTCGCTTTGGTGTTCTCCACTGGGATCTAGGACAGAATCGTCGGTCACCACCACACAGGACCCAAACTCCCCGCAGTCACTTCCCAGCGTGAAACGCAGTTAATCCAGAATCCACCCATTGCCTTAGATTCATATTTGGGCTCCACAGGCCCAGAGGGTCTCCCTCCACGTGTACACAGGGATTTTTATGTTTTCTACCATCTCAGGGTGGTGATCTAAGAGGAAAGTATTCAACAGAAAACAAAGTATGATGCACGGAAAGGAGCGGGTAAGCCCTGCGGCCCCAAAGTGGGCCGCAGTAGGGCGAGGCAGCAGGTGCTGGACTGCCACGGAAGAGCAAGATCTGCCTCTTAAAAAAAAAAAAAAAAAAGGCTGGGCACGTTGGCTCACGCCTGTAATCCCAGCACTTTGGGAGGCCGAGGTGGGTGGATCACGAGGTCAGGAGATCGAGACCATCCTGGCTAACACAGTGAAACCCCGTCTCTACTAAAAATACAAAAAATTAGCCGGGCGTGGTGGCGGGTGCCTGTAGTCCCAGCTACTCGGGAGGCTGAGGCAGGACAATGGCGTGAACCCAGGAGGCAGAGCTTGCAGTGAGCCGAGATTGTGCCACTGCACTCCAGCCTGGGCAAAAGAGCGAGACTCTTGTCTCGGGAAAAAAAAAAAAAAAAACAGCCGGGTGTGGTAGCTCATGCCTGTGGACCCAGCTACTCAGGAGGCTGAGGCATGAGGATTGCTTGAGCCCAGGAGATTGAGGCTGTAGTAAGCTGTGATTGTGCTACTGCACTCCAGCCTGGGTGAAAGAGCAAGATGGTGTCTCAAAAATAAAGAGCTCCGAGCAGACGGGCCAGAGCACTGCTCCCAGATGTGATGGGTACAGGGGTGGGGTCGAAGGGATATCCCAGGAGCTGGCAATATCTCTGCCTCTAACCCCCAACCCAGACCCCAAACCCCCCAGACAGGGCTCATGGCCACAAGGGGCACTTGAGTTGATTTCTATGAAGCATTTAACCAACCCTCATTTCAGGAGAGCAAGCCCACTTTGGAAAGCATGCTCTGTCCCACAGGGCCGGGATAGAAGCACGGCTGGGGCCTCCACGGCAGCGTCCACACTCACCTTTCTTAAGATTTTACCACCAAATTGAGCTCGAATACAAATGCACTTAAATAGAGTTCGATCAACTGGACAGGAATTGGCATTCTGTGAGAAATAAAAACAGGATCAGAATCTTGTCAATCACTTTCACTTAGAGATCAAAAATTCTTTTACACTGAAAATCAAGTATCTGCTAAATGCCTCCATGCGCCAGGCCCTCCACTAAGCTGCTGGCAACACGGCAGTGGAGGGAGCACAGCGAGCCTTGCCTCCCTGCAGAGCTGCCAGCCCTAGCGGGGAGGAAAGAGCAGCTCCATGAACGCGTAGCATCTCAGTGACAAGTAAGAACAATAAAGGGAGGAAGGACAGGCGTGGGGGCGGCATTGTGCACAGGCCCCTCTGCGGCGAGCCTGTTCAAGTCTTCTGCTAACTTTTCCAAAAGATTGTTGGACATTCACTAGTAAATTTTTAGAATTTCTTTTCATAGGCCGGGAGCAGGGGCTCATACCTGTAATCCCAGCACTTTGGGAGGCCGAGGCAGGCAGATTACCTGAGGTCGGGAGTTCGAGACCAGCCTGACTGACACAGAGAAACCCCGCCTCTACTAAAAATACAAAATTAGCTAGGTGTGGTGGCGCATACCTGTAACCCCAGCTACTCGGGAGGCTGAGGCAGGAGAATCGTTTGAACCCGAGAGGCTGAGGTTGCGGTGAGCCGAGATGGCGCCACTGCACTCCAGCTTGGGTGACAAGAGCCAAACTCCATCTCAAAAAAAAATTTACTTTCATAGTATGGATAACAGTCAGGTATACGTTGCAAATTTATTTTTGCCTTTATTAATAGTGTTCTGACCCACATAAGATCTTTATGTTGGCTTTATTAAGGTACACCATACACAAGAAAACACTGATTTTAACTGAATAATTCAATCGGCTCTGACAAATATACAACCTGTGGAGTACCCACCCTGGTCTTCGGGCCCTTCCCTCTCCCACCTGACTGTTTCTTCCTGTTGTCTCAGGGGTGTGGTTAGGTACGTCTTCCCTGGGGTTTCTCAGGATTGGAGCCGCAGCATGGACTCTGCTCATGGCATTCTGCCCTCCCTAGCACTGAAGAGACACTGCCACACAAATGGTCCACGTGTCCATTCCCCCGTGGTGAACATCGATGGACGTGTCTTCGTGTGGGCGCACTCCTGTTTCTCTTGGGTAAACACCCAGGAATACATGGCCTTTGAGGTTGTACGTGTGACACCCCCACCTCTGGAGTCTGGGGTGCCCTCCTACCGACCAGCTCCAGGGGTGTGCGGCAGCACCCCCCATGGTGGGACTGGGGTTCCCAGAGGAGCCCTGCTGCTGAACCCTGCACGCTCCGTGCCCGTTTGCACACATTCTCAGGCTGAGCCCCGCACGCTCCATGCCCGTTTGCAGACATTCTCAGGCTGAGCCCCGCACGCTCCATGCCCGTTTACAGACACTCTCTGAGGCTGAGCCCCACACGCTCCGTGCCCGTTTGCAGACTCTCAGGCTGAGCCCCGCACGCTCCGTGCCCGTTTGCAGACACCCTCTCAGGCTGAACCCTGCACGCTCCATGCCCGTTTGCAGACATTCTCAGGCTGAGCCCCGCACGCTCCGTGCCCGTTTGCAGACTCTCTCTCAGGCTGAGCCCCGCACGCTCTGTGCCCGTTTGCAGACACCCTCTCAGGCTGAGCCTGACATGCTCCGTGCCCGTTTGCAGACACTCTCTCAGACTGTTTAGGAAATCCTTCTCTTTTCTTATCACAGAGCTACCCATGCTTTCTTTTCAAAGGTTCAGCTTTGCTTTCTAGTCCGAGATCTTGACTCCGTCCGGCATCGTGTGTGTGCTGTGAGCAGCCCCCAGCTGACCTGCCCCACAGGCGCCTCCTGCCCCCCCGAGTGTGTCCAGGCCTCTTCTAAGCCCCTGCAAAACCCCTGGGACTGGTTTCCATTCCTGGACCGGTTCCAGTTCAATCCCTGTAGTTTTATAAATCATAATATCCAGTAGGCAATTTCTCCCCTTTTCAAAGCTATCTTGGCAATTCTTGGTGCCTTCCTGTCCTCCTGTGTTGACTTCACAACACATCAAGCACCCTGAACTCCTGCTGGGAAGGACGGAATCAGCATCCTCAACCTCTCTATGGAGCAAGATGTCTCGAAAGGGAAGGGGCCTTGCTTCAGTCACGGCTGTGTTAGAAAAGCTCTTTAAATGTCTTACACGTCTCCTTATGACTTATTTCTAAACACAATTTTAATCTTTATTAACCTCGTATCCAATAATCTCGCTAAGCAGCATTTTAACAGTTCATCTGTAAGAGTTCTCCTTTTTTTTTTTTTGAGACAGTGTCTTGCTCTGTCGCCGGGCTGGAGTGCAGTGGTGCAATCTCAGCTCACTGCAACCTCCAACTCCCAGGTTCAAGTGATTCTCCTGCCTCAGCCTCCCGAGTAGCTGGGACTACAGGTACGTGGTACCACGCCCGGATAATTTTTGTATTTTTAGTAAACACAGGGTTTCACCATGTTGGCCAGGATGGTCTTGATCTCTTGACCTCATGATCCACCCACCTTGGCCTCCCGAAGTGCTGAGATTACAGGCGTGAGCCACTGCACCCGGTTCCATTTGTAAGATTTCTATACTGACAAACTTGTTTGCAAATGCCCTCTTCTGCCCAATATTTATCTAATAAATGCCAGACAGAAAATACATAGCAAACACTGTATCTTGTTCCTCAATTTAAATGAAAGCTTCACTTGCCAAAAGAAAAATCTACAAAAAAAAATAAAAATAAAAATGGCCGGGCGTGGTGGCTCACGCCTGTAATCCCAGCAGTTTGGGAGGCCGAGACGGGTGGATCACCTGAGGTTGGGAGTTCAAGACCAGCCTGACCAACATGGTGAAACCCTGTCTCTACTAAAAATACAAAATTGCCCTGGCGTGGTGGTGGGCACCTACAGTTCCAGCTACGCGGGAGGCTGAGGCAGGAGAATCGCTTGAACCCGGAAGGTGGAGGTTGTGGTGAGCCAAGATCGCGCCATTGCACTCCAGCCTGGGCAACAAGAACAAAACTCCGTCTCAAAAAAACAAAAAAAAAAAGAAAAGTCTAAGTCTGAATCTACTGTGTGCTGTGGACCCACCACAACAGAACAGGAACAGGAAGTACCAGAGCCAGACTTTGGGTGACATCACAGCCTGCCACCACCAGCAGCATGAGGAATGTCTGGGTCCTGCTTCAAACTAAGCATACAGGCAGTTTTCAGCTACTCAGTGAAACAGAACAGGAGGACCCAGTCACTAGGAACCCTGGGTGAGGTCACGGTCCTGAAGAGAGCCGGGGACAGCACGGGCTGCTGGTGCAATCGCAGGGAGGGGAGGGAGTCAAGAGGTAGTGGTGTCGGAGCTGAGCCCTGAGTACAGAGGTCGGGGACTCATGAGTCATCCTCAGACTGCAAGCTCTCCTTTTCTGACATTTTTCACAATATTCAGAAAGGGAGGGGGGAGCTGACTGCTTCTAAAAGTTCATTTTGAAATATAAAATACACTGCACGTTTACGGTAAACTCTATTCACCTGTTTTAAGGACAGTCTCTTTTGATGCCAGTTATTGTGAATGAATGCCAAATCGTACCGGTGTTTTCTGTATCAACTGAGAGAACCACATGTCAAGGCAGCAAAGTGACCACGCACCACAGCACACCTGCCTCTGGCTTGCAGGCCAAGATGGCCCCTATGTCAACCAGGGTTTCTGCAGCTGGTCCTGGGAGACCCACGGCCATCCTCTCTCCTGCCCCTGACCAATACACCACAAACGCCTCACATGAGCTCACCCACACCCCCAAGAGCCATGGTGCTCACAAAGCAAAGACCAAGCCAGACTCAATCCTGTGGCCCCAGGGTCAGCCGCAGAGCAGACAACTAGAACCTCACAAGAGGCTGAACACAGGCTGGGTCACCTATAAACAGGGAGGCCATCCTGAAGGGAGGAAGCACCCAACCAGAGGTGAACTCACCTTGGACCATTCGACAATGCAGTCCAGGCAGAAGTAATGGGCACAGTTCTCCGGCGTCCCCACGGCCTGGTCTCTGAATGCGTTGAGACAGATTGGGCAGCTCTCTGCATCATCATCAGAATTGAAAGAGCCAGCGGCTTCCAGTTTCCCCTGAGTACCCGCTACCTCCAGCAATGTCTCCCCGTCGTCTTCAGAATCCTCGGAACCTGGAGAGGAAACATGCCAGCTGGTGCAAGCAGGATGGGCAGCGTGAACCGCGGCACTGGAGGCAAGCGGGCCCAGGCTGCGCTCAGGACACCAGGTCGGCAATGCACAGCCCACCTCCCCGCAGGCTCCTGCCACTTACCTCCACGTCCACGCTCAGCACATCCACAACCCTGGGAGCCCTGCCCTGCACCTAACCTGAAGCCTCGGGTGCCCTGCACCGAGGGGCGGGAAGCTGAGCGTCCTGAGTGCCAGACCAGCTCCTCTAAGCTGAGCCTGGGGCTGAGGCAGACCTCGAGAGGCAGGGCAGCCCTGGGGCCTAGCACAGGTCCCAGAGACCATCAGGTTCATTTCAGAGCCTCCAAGCGAGCCCCTCAGTGCAGCAGCCCCCTGACAGCAGCCCCCATTTCCAACGCCCCCTTCTCAAAGCATGAGGACCACAAACCCTCTGCCCGCGGAAGGGACTTCCTTCTGAGGTTGCCTGTTCCTCCTCCCTGTGGGAGGCAGAGCACAGACTCCTAACTGGGCCACTAACCACAACCGTTCTGGCCAATTCGGAGTGGTTCTGAGGCTACACCTTGACCAGCAGGGAGCAGGGAGATGCTCCGAGTTCAACACGGCAGAGCCCATACGTGCACTGCTATCTTCTTTGTACCAAACTCCAATGAAACAACGCTAAAGTAAACAGAACACAAGTTCACATGGGAAGAGGAGCAGACTCGGTGTGGGTGGCAGGTTCCTCCTAGGCCCGAAACCCTCCAAACCCTCCCGGTTCCACGCATGTGGGCAGGACCCTGCCAGCACTGGGGCATCACTGCCAGGACCCTCTGTTATCTGGCAAAGGGAAAGACACACCCAGAACAGAAATATTTACACTGTTAAAGAGGCTGGGAGAAGTGAGAGCTGCGAGGGAGGCAGCAGAAGAGTTTTAAGTTCCCATCTTTCATGTTAAGAGTTGAAGAGCTACTGGCCGGGCGTGGTGGCTCACGCCTGTAATCCCGGCATCTTTGGGAGGCTGAGGTGGGCAGATCACGAGGTCAGGAGATAGAGACCATCCTGGCTAACAGTGAAACCCCGTCTCTACTAAAAGTACAAAAAATTGCCAGGCGTGGTGGCTCAAGCCTGTAATCCTAGTACTTTGGGAGGCTGAGGCAGGTGGATCACCTGAGGTCAGGGGTTTGAGACCAGCCTGGCCAACATGGTGAAACCCCGTCTCTACAAAAAATACAAAAATAGCCGGGTGTGGTGGCGTGTGCCTGTAATCCCAGCTACTTGGGAGGCTGAGACAGGAGAATCGCTTGAACCTGGGAAGCAGAGGTTGCAGTGAGCCTAGACTGCACGATTGCACTCCAGCCTGGGCAACAGAGCAAGACTCCGTCTCAAAAATAAATAAATAAATAAATATACAAAAAATTAGCTGGACGCGGTGGCAGGTGCCTATAGTCCCAGCTACTTGGGAGGCTGAGGCAGGAGAATGGCGTGAACCTGGGACGCAGAGCTTGCAGTGAACTGAGATCGTGCTGCTGCACTCCAGCCTGGGCAACAGAGCGAGACTCGACCTCAAAAAAAAAAAAAAAAAAGAGTTGAAGAGCTACTACCTCAAGCTGGAAAGGGCTACTACCTCAAGCTGGAAAGGGCTACTACCTCAAGCTGGAAAGGGCTACTACCTCAAGCTGGAAAGGGCTACTACCTCAAGCTGGAAAGGGCTACTACCTCAAGCTGGAAAGGGCTACTACCTCAAGCTGGAAAGAGCTACTACCTCAAGCTGGAAAGGGCTACTACCTCAAGCTGGAAAGGGCTACTACCTCAAGCTGGAAAGGGCTACTACCTCAAGCTGGAAAGGGCTACTACCTCAAGCTGGAAAGGGCTACTACCTCAAGCTGGAAAGGGCTACTACCTCAAGCTGGAAAGGGCTACTACCTCAAGCTGGAAAGGGCTACTACCTCAAGCTGGAAAGGGCTACTACCTCAAGCTGGAAAGGGCTACTACCTCA
Organism: Homo sapiens; assembly: GCF_000001405.40. Lineage (NCBI taxonomy): Eukaryota > Metazoa > Chordata > Mammalia > Primates > Hominidae > Homo > Homo sapiens. The sequence goes on along the minus strand of NC_000011.10, from coordinate 585,267 downwards.
AGCTGGAAAGGGCTACTACCTCAAGCTGGAAAGGGCTACTACCTCAAGCTGGAAAGGGCAGTGTAACAAGTGATTTCCAGCAGGAAACACCAGGGTGGGAAAAGCAATGAGAACGAAAGCTCCCAAGCCCCAGCAACGTGGGTGTTGCTCGTGGAATAACTCCCTCCTCAACATGTTTCCCACCAGTTAGGGACCCACTGGCTACTTCTTCATGTTTAAAAAACAGTCCTGGCCAGGCGCGGTGGCTCATGCCTGTCATCCCAGCACTTTGGGAGGCCAAGGCGGGTGGATCACCTGAGGTCAGGAGTTCAAGACCAGCCTGGCCAACATGGTGAAACCCCATCTCGAATAACAATACAAAAATTACCCAGGCATGGTGGTGCGCGCCTGTAATCCGAGCTACTCGAGAGGCTGAGGCAGGAGAATCGCTTGAACCCGGGAGGCAGAGGCTGCAGTGAGCCGAGATTGCGCCACTACACTCCAGCCTGGGCAACAAGAGTGAAACTCGGTCTCAAAAAAAAAAAAAAAAAAAAAAAAAGGTCCTGGAGAAATAAAAAGAAGTGTTCACAGTGGCTATACCAACACCTCTCCAGTGCCTTCCCATCCCCTTCCTTCGGGGCGCTCAGCCCTCAGGGGCTCCAGGTCTCCATAAACCTGTCTCTTCACAGCTCCCCCGTCCTGGCCTGCCGCCTCTGCCCAGCCACCTCCTCCTGCCCCTCAGGTGGCAGCTTGGATTCTCCAGAAGCCTCTCCCCACCCCAGGTCCATGGAGCCTGCCCCTCCCCTGGACGCCCACAGCTCTCAGTGTCTATGACCCTGTCCCCCAGCTGCTGCTTGGCGCACTGTTTGCTGCTAGAAGGTGAGCGCAGACACGGTGGGGGCCCTGCTGAGGCTCCCGCCACCTTCACTCCAGCCCCCAACCCAGAGTCTCTGGCATCCAATGTGCCCTCAGGATCTCAAGGACAGAGTCACCTGGCGGCCCTGACGGCCCACACTTTCAGCCCTGGCAACGCCAGAACTGGTGCGGAGACCTACTACAGATGAACCAGAGCCCTAACCTGATGCTGGGAGGGAGCAGGGAAGCCCCTCAGGACCTGCAGACCCAAGCAGACCCGCAGAGCACGTGCAGAGCTAAACATCGAACTCTGGAAGGACACGGCCAACACACATTGGCTCAGGCCATGAGTGCCATTCCCTTACCAACAGTCTCAAACAGGAGTGTTACCTTTCTGGAACATTCTAACCCTGATAACCACAGGGCTATGCAGAAAGACTGCTACACACAGATCACAGTAGCCACTTGAGGACCATGGATTTTCCAGCCCAAGGGTGATGTCAGAAGGAAAGTAGTGGAAAGGCAAAGTTCTGAGCCTGAGCTCGGCCTCCCTCTGAGGAAGCAACCACAGCAGGGCCGGGGCAGGGCCACCTCCTTGGTGGCCTCACAGGCTGTGCACCACCGAGGGTGATGGCAACAGGGGACAAGGAAGGAGGTACCACCAGCGCACCCCACGGACTTGTCTCCCCTTTGTTTTGTTTGAGATAACGTCTCGCTCCAACACCCAGGCTGGAATGCAGCCTCAACTTCCTGGGCTCAAGGGTCCTCCCACCTCAGCCTCCTGCGTAGCTGAGACCATGGGCCTGGGCCACCACACCCAGCGCAGACCTGCCCTTTGGAACATTGTTCTCTCAAAAGAAGTTCAAGGGCACAACCATCAGCCAATTGTAAGTGAGCTGAGAATTTTTTATCTTTTTGAGACAGAGTCTCGCTCTGTGGCCCAGGCTGGAGTGTGGTGGCGTGATCTCAGCTCGCTGTAGCCTCGACCTCTTGGGCTCAAGCGATCCTCCAACCTCAGCCTCCTGAGTAGTGGGGATTACAGGCACGCACCACCACGCCCGGCTAATTTTGGTGGGGTTTTTTTGTTTGTTTTTTTTGAGACAGAGTCTCGCTCTGTTGCCCAGGCTGGAGTGCAGTGGCGATCTTGGCTCACTGCAACCTCCGACTCCCGGGTTCCAGCAATTCTCCTGCCTCAGCCTCCCAAGTAGCTGGGATTACAGGCGCGTGCCAACACGACTGGCTAATTTTTCTATTTTTAGTAGAGACGGGGTTTCACCATGTTAGCCACAATGGTCTCGATCTCCTGACCTCCTGATCCGCCCGCCTCGGCCTCCCAAAGTGCTGGGATTACAGGCGTGAGCCACCGCGCCCAGACAGCCAGAATTTCTTTTTCTTCCTTTGAGATGGAGTCTCGCTCTGTCGCTCAGGCTGGAGTACAATGGCACAATCTCGGCTCACTGCAACCTCCACCTCCTAGGTTCACACCATTCTCCTGCCTCAGCCTTCCGAGTAGCTGGGATTACAGGCGTCTACCACCACACCCGGCTAATTTTTTGTATTTGTAGTAGAGAGGGGGTTTCACTATGCTGGCCAGGCTCGTCTTGAAAAAAGGCCGGGCGCGGTGGCTCACGCCTGTAATCCCAGCACTTTGGGAGGCTGAGGTGGGCGGATCACGAGGTCAGGAGATCGAGACCATCCTGGCTAACGCGGTGAAACCCCATCTCTACTAAAAATACAAAAAATTAGCCAGGCTTGGTGGCGGGCGCCTGTAGTCCCAGCTACTCGGGAGGCTGAGGCAGGAGAATGGTGTGAACCCAGGAGGCAGAGCTTGCAGTGAGCCGAGATCGCGCCACTGCACTCAGCCTGGGCGACAGAGCGAGACTCCGTCTCAAAAAAGAAAAAAAAGGAGGACTACAGGCCAGGCACAGCGGCTCACTTGAGGTCAGGAAGAGTTCCAGACCAGATGGTGAAACCCCGTCTCTACTAAAGATACAAAAAGTAATTAGCCAAGTGTCATGGTGCGTGCCTGTAATCCCAGCTACTCACGAGGCTGAGCCAGGAGAATCACTTGAACCCGGGAGGCAGAAGTTGCAGTGAGCTGAGATGGCACCACTGTACTCCAGCCTGGGCAACAGAGCGACACCCTGTCTCAAAAAAAAAAAAAAAAAAGAAATGAAGTACTACAAATAAAGTGAGCCGTCACCACAGCTGAATATAAGGCCTCACCGTAGGTGACCGCAGGGACATGGCCAGCTGTGGTGACAGCACTCTCACGGAGGATGTGTTATAAAAGGCTGTCCCCATCACGACAAGAGGAAACACAGGAGCCGGCGTGAACACCAGCTGTCTCACCAGATCTGTCTTCCAGGTCTTCCTCCTCAGACGCCCCCTCGTCTTCTCCGTCTGTGCCATCTCCATGCTCGCTGTCACTGTCGTCCCCAGAGTCCCCACTGCTGCCCACGCTGCTTTCTTCTAGACACCAGGGTGAGACACAGGCCGCAGGGCGGCGTCAAGACCATGCAGCAGAGAGCAGGTTGCTTTGCACAGGCATAGAGGCGTCAGGAGCACCTGCCAAACGGCTAACGGCTTCCCCAGGGCCGGCAAGGTGGGGGCACAAGCAAGGAAAGGGAACATCCTTTCGTTCAACATTTGTGTTGTTTGCATTAAAAATAAAACAAAACAATACACTACTTCCGCAATTTAAAATCAAAGCATAATTTTTTTAGACTGAAAGTTGACAAGTGACACACACAGACGACCTCCAAAGGGAAACACCAGGCACCCTGCTCCTCCTGGGGACGCCCCTACCCGGCGCTAGGCAGCTCACCAAAGTCACCTGCCGGGTCCGCAGGGCCGACCTGTGGGTGTCCATCCGGCCCTGGGCTCCGGGCCACAAGCTCATCCAGGCTGTCGTCATCCATTGCTGCACATTGAGCTCAGCTCTGAAAGAAAGAAGAGCCAAGCAACTTCCAAACTGTCCCAGGCTGCAAAGAACCCTCTGAAGAGTTATGACCTCTCCCCACAGGCCACATCCCCGTGTCACATCCACCGCCACAGCACGTGAAGAGTGAGCCCTGAGATATCACCCACAGAACAACTCTCAGCAGTATCCCCACAGGCCACACCCCAGTGTCCCAGTGTCACATCCACCGCCACAGCACGTGAAGGGTGAGCCCTAAGATATCACCCACAGAACAACCCTCACCAGTAAGCCTTACACATGATTCACATTTACAGAGCTACCCATAAAGCCAGATCCTAGCTGGCCACTGTACCCGGCCAGAAAATAAAAATTTGTTTTTAACTAAAAAAAAAAAAAAAATTGGTCACGCCTGTAATCCCAGCACTTTGGGAGGCTGAGGCGGGCGGATCACCTGAGGTCGGGAGTTTGAGACCAGCCTGACCAACATGGAGAAACCCCATCTCTACTAAAAATATAAAATTAGGCCAGGCATAGCTGCTCACGCCTGTAACCCCAGCACTTTGAGAGGCCGAGGCAGGCGGATCACCTGAGGTCGGGAGTTTGAGACCAGCCTGGCCAGCATGATGAAACCCCGTCTCTACTAAAAATACAAAAATTAGCCAGGCGTGGTGGCGGGCGCCTGTAATCCCAGCTACTCGGGAAGCTGAGGCAGGAGAATCGCTTGCACCTGAGAGGCGGAGGTTGCAGTGAGCCGAGATCGCGCCACTGCACTCCAGCCTGCGCAATAAGAGCAAAACTCCATCTCAAAAAACTGCAATGCTCCTGAGGAATCGCAACACCATATACGAACAAAACGGCCTCATCCTGAGCTGAGGCAGAGCCGGGCTTTATCAGCTGGGCACAAGAGGGGCCTCAGTGACACGTAGGGTGCTCTCCCTGCCAAGGCTGGCCACTGTTGGGATGCCTGGAGGCTCCTCTGACCGCACCCCAACCCCATCCACCAGGGTGCTGCTGAGTCCCCAGTGGTACCCAGAGCTGAGGAGGCAGAAGGCACAGAGGCCAGGCCCACCCCTCGGCTCCCAAGACCACTTGCTCAAGGCCCTGACCCGTCAGCCGGGACCCCTGCCCTTCCCACTCTGCAAGGTCACTGTGAAACCACACAGGATCCCGTACAAAGCCTTGGGAAATCTAGTTGGACACGCTCCTCCTTCCACACCAGGGCCTCAAACTTTGGTCCCAGATAAGAAAGGAGATACGTGCACGTGGTTCATTTCTCATCAGTGCTATTGACCTTGTTTCCCAGGCGACTCTCGGAGGAAAGGCCTGTCCTAGGAGAGTGAGTCAGGAATCCAGCGAGGCAGTGAAGCCGGCCCTGCAGCACTCTGTTTCCCACCAAGTCCAACCTCCATCCATGATCAGAGGAAAGCGCATCGCACAAGAGGCCAGGAAGTAGGGGGCCAGAGCTGCCCTCGAGTTCAGGGCCTCCTTGCATTGGAGCTCAGCTCCCACCACCACTGTGGGCTGCACATGTACCACAGCAACGGGGGAAAGTGGCTGTCAGCGCCACTGCTGTCTGGAAACCCCTGGACAACAAACCCTAACGGGGCTCAGAAACCAGGACGGCCTCACTTCCCATCTGACAAGACAGTGCAAAACCCTAGATTCTAAGATGATGCCTTATAAAACAGTGAAGAATGTCAACTCCATCCAACTGTCAACTGCCAAATCTTACTACTGCCTGGAAACAGCGATTGTAGAAGTAGTTTTGCCAAATTAGTAATTAACCTTTCTTCTACCTGCCACCCTAAGGTGAAAACACCTGGTCATGATCCCCGCTCAAGGCAGTCTGCACCCCTGGTGCTTGGTGGACCCAGCAACTCCGCAGAGACGCCCTGCTCGTCCCGCACCTGAATCCTAGAGACACTGGCTCTGAGAGACACACGAGGGCCACGGCCCATCCAGGAGGGTGACCCCTCTCCCACAGCATGCACTGAGACCTAGCAGTGACCACAGCTCTCAGATAAGAGGACCTTAACTCCCTGGCAATAGCTGTGACCACCCTGACAACAGACCCCACATCTTCCAGGACGCCTGCTCCAACACCTACCCTGCTCCTACTTTGTGCAGCACAAGGCGAATGCAGTCCCTGCCCTGGAGAAACATATCTGAAAGAGGGAGGCAGACTCTCTCACATGAATCTACCAAGGAACACTTCAAAGAGACCACCTAAGAGATAACAGAGCAGGGCTGGGGGGAGGAGCAGGGCTGGGGGGAGGAGCAGGGCTGGGGGAGTCCCAGGGTCCAACTGTCCCGAGTGCAAATCCTCATTTGATGATGAATTTCACATAGAAAGTAAAAAATGTGAATTGGTAGCCAGGTGCAGTGGCTCACGCCTGTCATCCTAGCACTTTGGGAGACCAAGGTGGGCAGACGGCCTGAGCTCCGTAGTTCAAGACCAGCCTAGGCAACACAGTGAAACCCCATCTCTACTAAAATAGAAAAAATGAGCCGGGCATGGCGGCGTGCACCTGTAGTCCCAGCTACTCCGGAGGAGAATTGCTTGAACCTGGCAGGCGGAGGTTGCAGTGAGCTGAGATCGCGCCACTACATGCCACTGGGCGACAGAGTGAGACTCAGTCTCAAAAAAAAAAATGTGAATCAGCCGGGCGTGGTGGCTCATGCTTGTAATCCCAGCACTTTGGGAGGCTGAGGCAGGCAGATCACTTGAGCCTGCAAGTTATGAGACCAGCCTGGGCAACATGGCAAAACCGTTAAAAACCAGGTAGGTGTGGTGGAAACCGCCTGTAGTCCCAGCTGCTCGGGAGTCTGAGGTGCAAAGATCACTTCAGCTCAGGAGTTCGAGGCTGCAGTGAGCCATAGTATGTGAACAAACAGCTCCTGGCCTCTCCCTTGATGCACTGAGATTGGGGACCACCTCCAAGGGTTAGGTGGGGCGACAGGCAATGGCAGGGCTTGCCCCAGGGCTGCCAGAAGAGATCAGTGAGGCCGTGTGGGGTTTGGCACATAGGAGCTGGCCAGAAATACCAGCTCAGGAATGAGGCTGAACTTTGCGAGTCCATGCACCTGTGGGGCTAAGTCCTGAGGCCTTTGAACTTTACCACAGCTGGTGAGGGAAGACTCCACGGGCCTCTTACACTCCTCCACCACAGCAGCAGGAACGTTCAGGTTACGTGAGGCTGAACAACATCCTTCCTCGATATCACACAAAAGTAACCAGGGGCTATTTTGCCAGAGAACACAAAATAACCCAGGAAGCCTCCGCAGGTACCCTCTGGCACAAGCACCAGGCACAAGACCTGTTTGGGACCACCAGGACCTGTAGTTAGGATGCTGGGTTAATGGGAGCCCCTAGCTTAGGACCTCCTGGTTGCACCAGCAGCCCCAACTCCAACAAATCTTCCCTTCCCCATACCCACCTCTGCCATGTCCCAGGCCACAGGCCAGGAAGCCATTTCTGCAGAAAAGACCACAGCCCTTCCCAGCTGCTGGCCACCTTTGGCTGGGCTAGCAGAGCTCTGGGGTGGAGGAACCACTGTGACTCTCCTGCTTAGCCTCCAGATTTGGGGGATTAAAGAGGAAAACAAAAAACTGGAAAGGCTATTTCTCTCTCTTTTCAAATTCAGGGGAACCAATGCATTGGCAGTCCCAACTGTTACTAAGGAATGAAAAGGGCCTCTGGTGTCCGGGGTGCCTGCAACCCCGTTCCACGCCAGTCTCGGCACCTGAGTGCCCATCCCAGGCACTGAACAAGCCTGCAGCCAAGTCCAACACCTCAACTCAGGCCGACTTTTATTCTTGTATTCACCATCTGCTGTATCAGCTAGGAGAACTCAAAATTGTCAACTGCAATGGAAGTCAAAAAGTCAGGCACGCACAAAGGTCTCCGCGGGCCTGAGATAAACACAGCCCTGCTGAGGGCCAAGGCCAGGCTTGTCATGGCCATGATGCTGAGGTGCCATCCATCCACTAGCACTCTGACTTAACATTCTTCCAATAAGAAAGAAAACCGGATGGTCCAGGAGAGAGATCAACTATGCCAAACCCGAAGTCAAACCTCAGCTCGGCCTCAGAGCCTGTCCATTGACCACTGGCCAGAACGTGGTTCACCCAGCTGACTGCTGTTCTGCTGTTGTCGAAACAAGTAAAGCACATAAACTCCGAAGAAGGGGCAACACAAGCCCCGTCAAAAGGAGCATGGTAGGAGTCGGGGCTGGCGCGGATCCCCGGCTGCCGGCGCTGGCCAGTTACTTAGCCTTTCTGGGCTCCAATCCCCTCCTCTGTAAAACGGGAACAATACCTACACCTGAGAGGCTCTTGTGAGGACTGCAAGAGTTAAGGAATAGGAAAACCGCCAGCCACACAGGCCTGTGGACATGCAGACAAGGCCAGAAGCCCACGACGGCAACCATGCACAGGGGCCGGACACAAGGCAACGAAGTCACAGCTCTCTCCCAAACGCGGCAGGGCGGACTCGCAGGGGGCATGGGCGTGGGTGCCACAGAGCGAGGCGAGTGGGCTCTCGCCGCGTCCTCGCAAGCCCAGGACGTCCGCCCGCAGGCCACGGGCCTCCCAGTCTCGGCGGGGCCTCCCAGTCTCGGCGGGGCCTCCCAGTCTCGGCGGGGCCTCCCAGTCTCGGCGGGGCCTCCCAGTCTCGGCGGGGCCTCCCAGTCTCGGCGGGGCCTCCCAGTCTCGGCGGGGCCTCCCAGTCTCGGCGGGGCCTCCCAGTCTCGGCGGGGCCTCCCAGCGCGCGCGCGCCCGCCCGCCCTCCCGGCCCGCGGCCAGCGCGGCGCAGGCCTCGCCCCGCGGTGCAGGCCGCAGACAAAGCGCGTGGCGCCCACAGGCGGCCCGCGGCCCGGAGGAGCAGGGCCCCCAGGGCCGGCGCGGCCGCCGCACTTACCCGGAAACCTCGCGTCCCGCAGCCGCTCGCGAGCGCTCGCCGCCGCTGCACGACCGAGAGTCGCTCCTAGGCCCGGCCGCCGCCGCCTCTGCCGCCGCCGTGCGCTCTTCGACCCGGAAGTGCACGGCGCCTCTTCCGGGCTCCTCTGTCCTGCTCGCTGACTGGAACCACTGAGACCAGAGCGGGAAAGAAATGACTGAAGTGAGGAAGGTGCCACTCCTTGCAGCCGGGGGTCTCGAGGCGTTCAAACGGCCTCCCTTCCACCTTGGAAACACTCTTTAATGCAGGACTGCCGCCCGGGGAGACCAATATCCTGGAAGAGCTCGTACTGTTTAACCCGCGACCATGGGCTGGTCCAGGCCGTCCCCCCCGCGGCCGGGACAGCTGGTACCGCCCGGATCTCCGCCCACCGCCCAGAGCGAATGGGAGCTGCTTCCTGTACGTCAGCTCCGCCCCCACGCCCGCAGCCCCGTCCCTCCTCGGGCCCGCAGCCCCACCCCGCCCCCACGCACGTAGCCCCGCCCCCACCCCCGCAGCCCCGCCCCGCCTCGCGCCCGCAGCTCCGCCCCCACGTCTGCAGCCCCGCCCTGCCTCGGGACGGCCGCCCACGGCCCCGCCCCCTCCCTCGCAGCCCCGCCTCACGCCCGCTGCTCCGCAGCCCCGCCCCCACCCTCGCAGCCCCGCCCCCACGCCGCAACCCCGCCCGCAGCTCCTCCCTAGCCCCGCGCGCGGCGGGAGCACCTGGGGAGAAGAGTCCTGGCGTCGCCTGCTACCAGCGCCGCGCTCCTCTGAACAAACACTGCCGGAGCCCTCCGTGAGCCGGCTATTCCAGCCCAGCCCCGCGTCCGCCCGTCCCGCAGCAGGCGCGGTGAATCGTGCGCGCTGGCGGACGAGGCGGGCTCGGCAGGACGCTGCTGTGCCGTCCCGTGTGGATTTGGCTCCAGGTCGTCCTGAGGATGCCGCGCAGAAGCCGTGTGGGCCTCGGGACGCAGGCCTGCGTGGCTGCAGCGCACCAGGGGAGGCTCCGGGGATCCCGAGCTGGCGCGGACTCGCGAGACCCCCTGGCCGCTCTGCGGGGAGCGCTGGGGAGGCGTCCCGAGCGGGCGCCAGAGACCCGCGGGCTCCCCGTGCAGGGGCTGCCTGGGCTGGGGCCCGGGTGGGTCTGCGCAGGTGTGGGAAGTGCCGGCTCCCGGTAGATGCTGAAGGCGGAGTTGCCAGGATTTGCTGCGGACTTTTGGAGAAATGAGGCGGGGAAGGACGAGCTTGAGAACCGACGCCGGAGAGACGGGGAAGACGGGGGAGGCCTGAGCGCGGGCTGGCATGGCTGGGGAGGTTGTGCACTGCCCAAGAATGCTCACTGAGGAGCGTGTTCACGTCTCATCGTGGGTGTCTGTGTTTATTATGACAACTACCAGCAGCCCCCGAGGAGCAGCGACAGATGGAGGTCGGGGGCTCTAAGCTGAACACAGGCGGTCGGTCCTCCTTCCCAGGAGCCTCAGCGTGTGTGTCCGCAGGTGCCCCTTTATCTAGCGCCCTTGGGGGAATGGGACGTGTCAGAGGAGATGCAGTGGGCAGAGGCTGCACTGGATGAAGAGAACTATGTGGGAATCGCATGTGGGGTGTGACTGGGGACCAGTGCCTGAACTCTGGGACTCCAACTTGAAGAGGTTTGGAATCTGCAAAGGAGACTAGGAAGGGGCACAGGGGGTGCTAGGGGTGGGGGCCGGAGGACAAACCAGGAGAGGGGCTTCTGGAAGCCAGAGAGGGCGTGCACACACAGGCGGGGGAGGGAGCCTGGGTGCAGCAGGGTGGGCCACTGCGACTCACCGAGGGCCAGCGGCGCTGGGGCCAGGGGCTGGAGTTTGGAGAGTGAGCAGAGAGCACGCAGGGGCTGTGAACACCAACTTCTCTTTCAGGTCAATTTGCTGCAAAGGGGAAGGTAAAGGTGGAGGTAACTAAGGAGCAGGGCAAGAGAGGGGTGTGGTTTTCTGTAGGGTCCAGCCCTACGGGGGCTTAGCAGGTGTCCTCCCCGTGTGCAGAGACCAGAGATTGTAATAAAGACACGAGATAAAGAGCAGCTGGGCCCCGGGGGACCACTACCATCAAGACGTGGAGACCGGTAGTGGCCCTGAGCGCCTAGGTGCGCTGATATTTATTGCATACAAGACAAGGGGGCAGGGTAAGGAGGGTGAATCTTCTAAGTGATAAAGTGAAGCAAGTCACGTGATCATAGGACAGGGGGCCCTTCCCTCTTAGGCAGCCGAAGCAAAGAGAGAAGGCAGCATATGTCAGCATTTTCTTCTCTGCACTTAGAAGAACGATCAAAGACTTTAAGACTTTCACTATTTCTTCTACCGCTATCTACTACGAACTTCAAAGAGGAGCCAGGAGTACGGGAGGAGCATGAAAGTGGATAAGGAGTGTGATCATTCAAGCACCACAGGGAGGGGGTTAGGCCTCCGGATGACTGCAGGCCAGGCCTGGAGAATATCCAGCCTCCCACAAGAAGCTGGTGGAGCAGAGTGTTCCCTGACTCCTCCAAGGAAAGGAGACTCCCTTTCACGGTCGGCTAAGTAACGGGTGCCTTCCCAGGCACTGGCGTTACCGCTTGACCAAGGAGCCCTCAAGCGGCCCTTATGTTGGCGTGACAGAGGGCTCACCTCTTGCCTTCTAGGTCACTTCTCACAACGTCCCTTCAGCACCTGACCCTATACCCGCCGGTTATTCCTAGGTTGTATTAGTAATGCCACAAAGAGTAATATTAAAAGCTAATGACTAATATTTATAATAATGATTGATAATTTTCCATGATCATCTCTGTATCTAATTCGTATTAGGACTATTCTTATTCTATTTTCTTTATTATACTGAAACAGTTTGTGCCTTCAGTCTCTTGCTTCGGCACCTAGGTAATCTTTCGCCCACAGTTTTCTGTTTGCAATGGGAGAAATAACAGGCACTTATGGGTTCTGAAAATGCCCCTGCAGGAAGGAGGAGTGGATGGTGCCGACGACTGAGGAGGACTCTGGAGCAATCTATTCTCGGTGGGCCAGAGGGGCTGGGTGTCACTGCAGTCACCCAGGCCAGCCACCTGAACTCACGCACTTCAGTCTGTTTCTCAACCTCTGTGTGCCTCTGTGTCCTTGGCTGTGAAACAGGAATGTGGGTGCTCAGGCCTACCTCTTAGGTCACTGTGAGGACGAGATAGGTACGCCTCAGGTGGGGTCCAGTGTGATCAGCCAGCGGGCTGCGGGACCGCCCTCTGCCCTGCACCAGGCACCTCCCCTACCTTTACATGTGCCACGTGCCTGCCTGCTGGACACTAGATGCAGGGGCATCCACAGACACGCCGAGGCTCCTGGGAAGGAGGACGGGATGCCTGGGGGGCTGCTGGTAATTGTCATAATAAACACATGCACCCAGGCCAGGCACGGTGGCACTTGCCCTGTTATCCCAGCACTTTGGCAGGCCACAGCGGGAGGATCACTTGAGCCCAGGAGTTCCAACCTGGGCAACATGGTGAGATTTCCTTTCTACAAAAAAATTTAAAAAATTAGCCTGACATGGTAGTGCACACCTGTAGTCCCAGCTACTCGGGAGGCTGAGGTGGGAGGATTGCTTGAGACCAGGAGGTTGAGGCTGCAGTGAACCGCGATGGCACCACTGCACTGCAGCCTGGGTGACAGAGTGAGACCATGTCTCAAAAACAATAAAGCCGGGCATGGTGGCTCACACCTGTAATCCAGCACTTTCGGCTGAGGCAGGAGGGTTACCTGAGGTCAGGAGTTGGAGACCAACCTGGCCAACACGGTGAAACCCCATCTCTACTAAAACTACAAAAGTTACCTGGGCATGGTTACGCGTGCCTGTAGTCCCAGCTACTCGGGAGGCTGAGGCAGGAGAATGGCGTGAACCTGGGAGGCAGATGCTGCAGTGAGCCAAGATCGCGCCACTGCACTCCAGCCTGGGCAACAGAGTGAGACTCTGTCTCAAAAATAAATAAATGAATAAATAAACGCCAGGTGCGGTGGCTCACGCCTGTAATCCCAGCACTTTGGGAGGCCGAGGCGGGCGGATCACGAGGTCAGGAGATCGAGACCATCTTGGCTAACTGTCTCTACTAAAAAAAAAAAATACAAAAAATTAGCCGGGCGAGGTGGCGGGCGCCTGTAGTCCCAGCTACTCGGGAGGCTGAGGCAGGAGAATGGCGTGAACCCCCAGGGGGCGGAGCCTGCAGTGCCGAGATCACGCCACTGCACTCCAACCTGGGCGACAGCGAGACTCCGTCTCAAAAAAATAAAAAATAAATAAACACAGACATCCACATGGAGACATGAAGGACGTCCTCAGTGAGCATAATCCTTGGTCAGTGCACAACCAACCCAGGTATGTCAGACAGCACTCAGGCTCAGGTGTGAGAAGTATCTCCAGGCAGCTGCCCAGAGCCAAACTAGGCCCAAACTGTGCATAGGTGGTACTTGAGAGCATGAGAGCAGGGGCACATACCAATACCTCCTGACTCCCACCCCCACCGCTACCCACACACCTGACATAAAATGACTCCTTACCTGCTCGCACGTGGATAGATGCCTCACACACCAGCAGGCAGACACCTCCTGTATACAACCCCCTCATCAGTACTGTCACCTCCCCCGTACACTGACGGGTCACCCCCCAACCCCCATCACCTGCTAGTGTCAGTGTGCACACATGTGCATCCTGCCCACACAGCCTCACACAGACCTGTACTCTGAGGCTCCGGCCAGATTCCTGGTCGACACTGCCGTGTGCTGCCCCTGCCCCTTGCAGACGCAAGCATGGTGTGCATGCTCCTGGTGTGCACGGGAGGATGGAGCTGGGCTGGGAGCTCCCTTGCTTCTGTCCCGCCAGGCCAGCTTATCCCGGAGGGCCTAGCCCAGCCCCTTCCCACCCCTGCCCCCCACCCCACCATCAGGTCCGTGTGCACATACAGGGCTTGGTGGGCAATGAGCCCAGTCATCGCCCCCTGCTGAGACCCATCCCACTCCCAGCAGCAGGGAGCCCCAGAGCCAGGTGGATGCCTGGGGGAGGCAGGGGCAGGGGTGGCTGGAGGAGGTGGGTGGGGAGAGAACAAAGGAGTCAAAACTCTCAGAGCTGGGGGAGGGAACAGGCAGGGCTGCATTCTCTACCTAGGGAAGGCAGGTGTCTGTGTGTCCCAGGGCTGTCATATCAAACGGCCACAAACCAGAGCCCTTAGACAACAGAAAGGCATTCTCTCAGTCTGGAAGCCAGCAGTCAGAGATCCAGGCTGGCAGGGCCACCCTCCTTGTTGAGGATCTGGGGAGGTCCTTCTTCTCCCAGCTTCATCTCCAGGCGTTCCTTGGCTATGGCTTCCTATGGCCTCCCTCTGTGTCTGTGTCTCTTTTCTCTTTCTCTCCTTTTTTTTTGAGACAGAGTTTTGCTCTGTCGCCCAGACTGGAGTGCAGTGGTGCAATCTCTGCTCACTGCAGGCTCCGCCCACCGGGTTCACGCCATTCTCCTGCCTCAGCCTCCCGAGCAGCTGGGACTACAGGCGCCCGCCACCTCGCCCGGCTAATTTTTTGTATTTTTAGTAGAGACAGGGTTTCGCTGTGTTAGCCAGGATGGTCTCGATCTCCTGACCTCGTGATCCGCCTGCCTCGGCCTCCCAAAGTGCTGGGATTACAGGCGTGAGCCACCGCGCCCAGCCTTTTTTTTTTTTTTTTTTTTGTGACGGAGTCTTGCTCTGTTGCCCAGGCTGGAGTGCAATGGCGCGATCTCGGCTCACCTCAACCTCCACCTCCCAGGTTCAAGTGATTCTCCTGTCTCAGCCTCCCGAGTAGCTGGGATTACGGGCATGCATCACCACGCCCGGCTAATTTTGTATTTTTAGTAGAGACGGGGTTTCTCCATGTTGATCAGGCTGGTCTCGAACTCCTGATCTCAGGTGATCCACCCTCCTCGGCCTCCCAAAGTGCTGGGATTACAGGCATGAGCCACCGCGCCCGGCCTTCTCTCTTTTTTTGTGTTTTTTGTTTGTCTGTTTGAGACAGAGTCGTACTCTGTTGCCCATGCTGGAGTGCAGTGGCGTGATCTCAGCTCACTGCCAACCTCCCAGGTTCAAGCGATTCTCCTGCCTCAGCCTCCCAAGTAGCTGGGATTACAAGCTCACACTACCATGCCCGGCTGATTTTTTTGTATTTTTAGTAGAGATGGGGTTTCACTATGTTGGCCAGGCTGGCCTCAAACTCCTGGCCTCAGGTGATCTGCCCACCTCGGCCTCCCAGAGTGCTGGGATTACAGGCTTGAGCCACCACACCCGGCCTGTTTTCCCTGTCTTTTATAAGGACACTGATCATTGGATTTAGGGCCCACCCAGAAAGTCCAGGATGATCTCGTTTCAAGATGTTTCCCTTAATGACATCTGCAAAGATGCTTTCTCCCGATGAGGGCACATTTAGGAAGCCTGGGTATTAGGATGTGGATATATCTTCTTTTTGGCGGAGGGACCATCCCACTCACTACAGATGCTGAGAAAAGGTGCCTGTGAAATTGGCAGGACTGGGGGCAGAAGTGGGTTCACGTCAGCAGGGCACGACAGGAACACAGAGCTGCCCTGTCCTCTTGCCCCTTCTTGTCCCCTAGTCTGACTGCCCTAGGAGCCTCTGCCCTGCCATGAAGACGTGGGCCTTCTCAGGGACCCCACTGACTCTTAGAGGCTCCTTCACGACCCACAGGATCGAGGTCTTGCTGACCCCTGACCCCCAATAGAACCGAGTGGCTCCGTGATCCTCTGGGCACCTTCCCCATCCACAGGCAGCCACAGGTGCAAGGAGCCACTCGGTTCTATCGGGGGCCAAGGGTCAAGGGGTCAGCAAGACCTCGGTCATGTCTTGCTGATCATGTCTGAGTCACCCCAGACTCTGCATCTGAATTTTTGTCCCCAGCCTTCAAGCCCCTGAGGACATGGGCTGGTTCGGAAGCTCCCTGGGGCCCCAGCACTTTGCCGCCGGGGCTGGGGCAGGGGGCAGGCTGCGGCCCAGGCCTGCGCGGATGCCGAGGCAGGGAGGTCATGGGGCCAGGGGAGGACAAAGAGCAGGGCGGTGAGTTTAGGGCCAGGGAGCTGAGGGGAGACGGCCCGGGGCCGAGGACCAGGGTGACAGTGCCAAGGGGGGCCGGCGGCCAAATCTCCTTTGGCTGCCACTTTGGAGCCCCACCCCGGAGTCCGATACTTCCACGTCTGAAGCTGGCCCTGCGAGTCCTAACGAAGGTCAAACCGTCAAGGCTCCTTTGATTTTACACGTTTTCAGCGCACAGACAGGATTCTCTCGCCTCGTCCCCTCAAAGACCGGCACAGGGCTGCGAAGACCCCTGAGCCCTTGAGGCACCCCCTCCAGGCTCCAGAGGCTTCCGCGGAGACAGAGCGCGCAGGAGGGACCCAGAGCCCCCAAGGGCGCCCCGTGGGGGTCGCCAGGCAAACCAGGCAGAGCCAGAGCCCCCTCTTCGCCAGCAGGACGGACCCGGGCGTCCTTTGGGGACCCCAAGCCGCCCGGGGGGTGGTGCGTGCGTCCCGAGGACGCCGTGTCCGGGCCCGCGCAGGCCCCACCCGGGTCACGGCCCGGGATACGTGCGCCGGGCGCCCAGCGGGTTGGGGGGGGCGGGCCCGCGGGACGCGGGTGCGGGGCACGGAGGCGGCCGGGTCGTACCACCGCGCCGCGGGAAGAGGGGCAGCTCCCGGCCGGCCCTGCCGCCCCACGCACACCCGCGGGCGGAGGACCCGTCGCCAGGCTGCGCCCCACGCCCAGCCCGGAAGCCCCGCGAGCCCGGGCCATACCACCGCGCGGCGGGAGGAGGACCACCTCGGGCCGTACCATCCGCCCGGCCGGGGGACGCGCCCTGGCCCCGCCGCGCCCTCGCAGCTGGCGCCCCGCAGGCCCCGCCCGGCAGGTGCCGCCCCTCCCCGGGCAGACGTGCAGAAAAGAACGCGCCGGCCTCGCCCGCGAAGGGCCGCGCGGCGGTGGGCGGGGCGTCGCGAACCCCCCTCGCGCCCACTGGCTGCGTTGCGGTAGGGCGGGCCCGGCTAGGCCGGCCATTGGCTGAGGGACCAGGTCATTTGCATACGGGGCTGGGCGTGGAGCCGCGGGGCCCGGGGCCGGTCGGGTCGGGCCGGGGGGCGAGAGGGTGCCAGCGGCCGCAGCTGAAGTTGGGCCGAGAGCCGGCGACGGCCCCGCGCCGGGGTCGCAGGTGACGCGCGAGGGATCCCAGGTTGGCGGGCGGGGCGCCCCTCAGAGGCCGCCCTCCCGCGGGGGCTGCGGGGGGTCGGGCTGGGCAGGCGCGGCGGGGC
The DNA here is from genome assembly GCF_000001405.40 of Homo sapiens. Lineage (NCBI taxonomy): Eukaryota > Metazoa > Chordata > Mammalia > Primates > Hominidae > Homo > Homo sapiens. The sequence continues at coordinate 568,251 of NC_000011.10, read as the reverse complement.
TCGGACGCCCAAGTTGGAGGGGACGGGGGTGGGGTCAATCCCTCCGCCCGCCCACCCGGCAGTGCCTCCAGGCGCAGGGCAGCCCCTGCCCACCGCACACTGCGCTGCCCCAGACCCACTGTGCGTGTGACAGCGGCTGATCTGTGCCTGGGCAGCGCGACCCTCCTGGCCCCGTGTCCGGGTCTGGCGGGCAGGCGAGCGGCCACACGGGGACGCGAGGGCAGCTGGATACCGTGGGGAGGGGGTGCCCTATGGACGGGGTGTGCCTGTCTGGCCAGCAGGGACGGCGGGTGGGGGTAAGCGAAATCATTCGGGGGCTTTGCTGCCCTCCGCTTGGTGGGGCTGAGGCTGGGCCAGATACCCTCTTGGAGGGAACTTTCTTTTCCTTGTGTGTCCAGGGTACCAGTGTGCGGAGTTCCTGTTGCCAAGCTGAAGGTGGCCCTGGGCAGGCACAGGTGTGGTCATATCTTCAGCCAACAGGACCATCCTCCGGAGGGCCACCTCTGGGGACTTCCTACGGGAAGAGAGTGACAGATTTGGTGCTTCTGTGTGTTTCTGCCGCTTCAGTGGGGCCGCTGCGGGAGACAGCGGGTGGATCCTCCAGCAGCCTGTCTGCTGAGCCTGCCTTCTCAAGTCTACTGTTAAAATCAGGACCGGGTCGTGTCCGAGCCTACAGGCCCTGTCTCCGCTCCCCAGGCCTGCAGGAGTTGAGGGCTGCACCTGCTCGCTGGAGAGGGAGAGGCAGATTTAGTGGACGCCTGGCATGGACTCGGACTGGCCTTTGGAAGCTCCCTGCCCTGACGGGGTTGCCTGTCACCACTGCGAAGTGAGGCTTGGCAGGACCTGCACCTGAGAAAGGCTGTGTGTGGTCTTGGGGTCCACACCTGCAGAGCTAACTTACTGCCAGACGGCGACTTACTGTGGGCCACCCTCAGTGAACCGGGGTGTCCTCAGCTGGCCCTACAGAGCACTTCTGTGCTGGGGATGAGTAGGAACTCTGGGCGAGGAGGGTCCCAGCGCCGCCCCTCGATACAGCCTGGCTCTGCCCTCTGCCCGTACTTACACCAGGTGGGATCCCTGCCCTGCATTGCCTGGGGATTGGCTGGGCTTGGGCCCGCCCTGCTGTGGAACTGGATGTTTTCAGGGAGCCCAGCCTTTCCTCATGTCAACACAGTTCACAATATAGTTTTCAAAGTACAGTTTAAAACTCAAAAGTAAACTTTTCAGCAACTCAAAGGTTTGCTGAGTGATCTGAAGCACTCTGGCCACTTTTTGGGGCCATGGGATTTGGTTCACCTGAAACAGCCAGTGAGAGGCCGGGTGTGGTGGCTCACACCCGTAATCCCAACACTTCAGGAGGCAGACGCGGGTGATCGCTCACTTGAGATCAGGAGTTCAAGACCAGCCTGGGCAACATGGTGAAACCTCGTCTCTACTAAAAATACAAAAATTAGCTAGGCATGGTGGTGGGCACCTGTAATCCCAGCTACTTGGAAGGCTGAGGCAAGAGAATCGCTTGAACCTGGGAGGTGGAGGTTGCAGCGAGACGAGATTACGCCGCTGCACTCCAGCCTGGGTGACGAGAGACTCTGCCTCAAAAAAATAAAAAAATGAAACAGCCAGTGAGGAGGAAGGCTCCCCGCCTTCCCCCCGCCGGAACATAGCCATAGCTGCTGCTGGGACACCCTCTTGGTGGGGAAGAAGGCTGGTTAGCTTCATCAGAGCCAGCAGCAGCAGACCAGGGACGGGCACCTAGGCAGTGGCCTCAGAGTGAACAGGAGTTCCTCAGAAACACACACAGGGACGGCGTGGCGCATGCTCTGCCAGCTCCATGCCTCCTTCCCATTGTGGGGCTGGGGTACGTAGGGCAGAGCTCATGACCTCCGGGAGGACATGGGGGTGGGCTCTGGATGGCACCTGGCATTGCCCCCTGCTGGCCTATGTGACGGTGTGGAGGGCTGGTCACAGAGGTACGACCATCCCTCCAGAATGTGGGTCGGGGCTGTGGATGGAGGAGTAGGCCCCTCATATCCCAGGCCTGCTGCCCAGGCACAACCCACTTGGCCTATGCATTCCAGGCTCCATCCCATGTGACTCTGGGCTTAGCCCCTTCTGGGGCCACAGGTCAGGCAGGTCCAGGCCCCAAGGACCTCCCAGTGACAGGCGACTGTGAGCTGGGCAGACAGGAGTGAAGTCAGGTGGGGGTTCTGGCTTGCTGACACCAGCGTTTGGAGCCTCCTGCTGCTGCCTGGCTTCCCTGCATTCCCTGTTCCCTGCCTCAGGCAAGAAATAACCAAGCCGAGTTGCCTCTGCACAGCAGTGAGCTCCTGGTGGCCCTGGCTTCTGGGGAGCCCTGTGGATGGCTTCCTTGCCCAAGTCCAGGCCTTCTTGTTCCCTTTGTGTGCTCCAGAGAAAGGGGGCAGCACCAGATCCAGATCCAGGGCCAACCAACAGAAAGCTGAGTCCATCCCAAACTCGCCCATTCTCAGAGCACAAAGACCCCATGATCTAGGGCAAACTTGTCCAACTGTTGGCCCATGGAACAGCTTTGAATGCAGCCCAACACAAATCTATAAATTTTCTTAAACATTGTGAGTTGTTTTTTGTTGTTATTTTGAGACAGAGTCTCGATCTGTCGCCCAGGCTGGAGTTAGTGGCCCAATCTCGGCTCACTGCAAGCTCCGCCTCCTGGGTTCACGCTCGTCTCCTGCCTCAGCCTCCCGAGTAGCTGGGACTACAGGCGCCCGCCAACACGCCTGGCTAATTTTGGTATTTTTAGTAGAGACGGGGTTTCACCACGTTAGCCAGGATGGTCTTGATCTCCTGACCTTGTGATCTGCCCGCCTCGGCCTCCCAAAGTGCTGGGATTACAGGTGTGAGCCACCGTGCCTGGCCAACATTGTGAGTTTTTTTTACGATTTTTTTTTTAAAGCTTATCAGCTATCATTACTGTATTCCATGTATGGCCCATGTATGGCCTCAGTGTATTCCAATGTGGCCCAGGGAAGCCAAAAGATTGGACACCCCTGACCTAGGGCATCCCCATCCTCTGCCTTCCCATGCATGGCTGTACCCAGGTATAGGGGTCCTCCACATTCTGCTCAACACAAAAGATTTCTCCAGCCCCAACCATGGATCCTGGAGCTGGGAGTGTATGGCTTACCCTTAGAACCAGGAGAGGTGACAGCTAGCCCAAGGGCCCAGGCAGGGGCTGGGCTGTGGACACAATTTTTTTTTATTTTGGAGACAGAGTCTTGCTCTGTCACTAAGGCTGGAGTGCAGTGGAGTGATCTTAGCTCACTGCAACCTCTGCCTCCCAGGTTCAACTAATTCTCCTGCCTCAGCCTCCCAAGTAACTGGGATTACAGGTGCATGCCACCACACCCGGTTTTGTTTTTTTTTTTTTTTGACAGAGTCTTGCTTTGTTGCCCAGGCTGGAGCACAGTGGCGCGATCTCGGCTCACTGCAAACTCCGCCCCCCGGGTTCACGCCATTCTCCTGCCTCAGCCTCCCGAGTAGCTGGAACTACAAGCACCCTCCACCACGCCCGGCCAATTTTTTGTATTTTTAGTAGAGACGGGGTTTCATCATGTTGGCCAGGCTGGTCTCAAACTCCTGACCTCAGGTGATCCGCCTGCCTCAGCTTCCCAAAGTGCTGGGATTACAGGCGTGAGCCACCATGCCTGGCCCCTGCCCTGATTTCAAAGCTGCAAGCTCAGAGCAGACATTTCACACCCACCTGGAGAAGAGGAGGCAGCCCCTGCCCACTGGTACCCATACCCTCCCTGGGGTGGTGAAGCAGCCTGGGACTGGCTGACCTGAGTGTGGGATCCACCCCCACAAGTTCTCAGTAAACCTGACGGGCGGGTCTAGCTTGTCCTGACGTCCTCAGTTCCCGCTGCTGGCGGGGCACAGGCAACATGACAGAGAGTCAGGTGGGAGGGGGTCCAGACAAATGCCTGGGACAGTCAGGCCAGGCTGAACCAGCAGGCCCACCAGGCTGGGGCCCTCACAGGAGAGCCCCTGGGGTTAGGTGAGGCAGAGCAGATGGAATGTGGAGCTCAGGAAGCCCCAGCCCTGGGCCCTACTGAGCACCCTGAGGGATCCTATTCTCAGATACTCCAGCTGTGGTGAGCCCCAGGTGTGTCAGGGTACTGCTCAGTGGCACCCCATGGAGGCTCAAGTTCAAGACCTCAGACCCTGCCCAGCGCAGCCTCCACACACACTCAAGCTGCTTCGGGCAGTTTATTGAGGTTTTCACGTTGGGGTAGGGGAAGTGGCACACACATGCTCTTGCTGTGTACACACAGTGAAGGACCTCTCCCGCAGGCAAGCACATGCCCACAGCTTGAGCACACTGTCCATGCATCTCCTGTCCCCAACAGGCAGTCGTGGCCTTTGGGGCCTGGCAAGTTCCGAGCTGGCTACGCCCCATGCTTCTCCAGGGTGCTGGCGACCTGGCAAGGACTAGGGCAGTCCCCCACTGCACCCCCAGCTCCTGAGGCCAAACCCAGGGCTTCCCACTGCCTGGCAGAGGAGCCCTCTGTGACCGCCAACTCTCCTTCTGTGGTCCGGGCAGGATGGTCTTGCAGCCCTCACTAGGCTGTCACAGAGCCTGGGGCTGGGCTGCCAGAGGACACCACTCTGGGGCAGGAGCTGCTGCTACCTCCAGGAGTTCTGCGTCATGGGGGCCACTGCGGGAGGACACAGGCTGAGGTGGCTGCAGCCACAGGAGGGCCCGGTGCCCCAGGGGGAGGTGGGGCACAGACATACCCTCGGGGCCTAGGCTGGGCACCAGCATGGGACTCAGAGGGAGCGCCCAGGAGGGACTCCTCTCTGGCTGGAGGCAGAGGGCCCTGTGGGTTGGGAAGTCAGCTTGGAGTGGGGCTGGGCCAGGTCCTCACCTCCCAGCCTCCCCCCAGAACCACTCCGACCTGAGTGCCAGGAGGGCCCCTGTCAGGCCGTGGGGGCGGTGGCAGCGCAGCCCCGGTCTGCTGGATGAACTGCTGCAGGTTGCACTGACGGAGCTCTCGGTTCAGCTCCTCCAGCTCCTGAGCCTGAGCCTGGGGACACATGAGATCCTTAGGAGGCACAGCCACTGGGCTCCACAGCCCTTGTGCTCCGGAGGGAGCACTTTCCCTGGTCGGGCCCTGTGACCCCCATATCTGCCCACGTCAGGGGTTGGGGAGTGACAGGGGATCAGGTCCCCGGGCTCACCTGCCTCCCGAGTGGGACCCTGTGACCCCCGTATCTGCCCACGTCAGGGGTGGGGGAGTGACAGGGGATCAGGTCCGCGGGCTCACCTGCCTCCCGAGTCAGACCCTGTGACCCCCATATCTGCCCACGTCAGGGGTGGGGGAGTGACAGGGGATCAGGTCCCCGGGCTCACCTGCCTCCCGAGTGGGACCCTGTGATCCCCGTATCTGCCCATATCAGGGGTGGGGGAGTGACAGGGGATCAGGTCCCCGGGCTCACCTGCAAGGCTCGCTCTGCTGCCTCCAGGGCCCGGCTCACCAGAGCCAGGCTGCCCTGCACCTCCGCACTCTGCCGCTCCTGAACAGCCAGGTCCTGGTGCAGGCGCTCAGTGGCAGATGCCATAGGTGAGGGGGGCCCAGGGGCCTCCGCTGCCAGCTGCAGCTCAGCCTCCAGGGCACGGGCCTGAGCGTCCAGGGCCTGCAGCCGGGCGGCATGCTCAGCAGTGGCCGCACTTAGTGCCTGCAGGCGTGCCTGTCCCTCTCGCTCCCGGGCCTGCTCCCGGCGCAGCTCTTGCTCCCAGAAGGCCTCATGGCCCAGCTCCTCAGCATTCCTCTGCACCCTGAGCTCCAGGCCCCGCAGGTCTGTGCAGCAGCCTGGTGTGGGTGTCACAGGGGCCGCAGGCCCAGGGCGTGAGAGGCTGGGGGCTGGCTCGGGGGTCAGTGTTTTGCGGGGCTCACAGCCCAGCGCAGCCCGTGGCTTTACAGGGAGGCTGGCACGAATTAGGCAGCGTTCCGGGGGTGGACAGCTGTCTGAGGAGGGCCTCCCAGCTAGGCTGGGCCCTGTGCGCCTCAGGACAAACTGGACATCGCTGGCAAACTGTCCGCAGGTGGCCTGGGCGCCCACTGGACACTCTTGTGGCAGCAACTGCCGCTCCTTCTCCCGAAGCCGCTGCACAAGCACAAAGCGGCCAGTCTGGCCTGGGAAGAAGAGGAGAAGGTCAGCCTATGTCCCCCCGACTCTCTGTCCACCTGGCTTGAAGAGTTGGGAAGAACAAAAAGGATCAGCAACCAGCCCCACTCTCCTTGGGGGAGACCATGGAGCTGGACCACCAGGTCCCACTTCAGCTCTACCTGCCCGGCCTGCCTGACCCCGAGAGGACTCACCTATTGCTTGGGCTAGTGCGATGACCACTTCCTGGCAGGTGGTCTGCTCTGAGACCCCACAGACCACACGCTGGATGCCATCCACCCACACCTTCAGCTCCATGGCCGCCAGTCCCAACAACATGCCTGTCCTGTGGGGAGGGCGCAGGCACCGGGTCAGGACCTGCCTACTCCTATCGCAGGCTGGTCCTCCTCTCCTCATCCTCTTGGCCTGCCCTAGAAACGGCTGGGCTGCCGCCCCTCCGCACGGGCCCCACCCTCCTGTGCCAGCCCCACCCGCCAGCCACACATTCCTGGGGTGGCGGCCCTCCGGAGCACGCATCCTCCCCCACTTCACCAGCTTCCTCTTGCCACGCTCGCACTCCCGGAACAAGGCGAATCATTAACCAGATCCAGCATTTCCTACTCGCCTCACCTGGCTCGGAGGACACTGCCCCCTCCCCGGGCGGCGCGGAGGCGCCCGCACGCCAGGCCCCGCGGCCGCCGGCATGGGAACGCCCCACCCCGACCTGCTCAGGCCGCAGAGGCGCTCGGGGTCGCAACCCAGACCTCGACCCTGCAGATGGAGCAGACTCCGGGTCTGAGCAGCCCCCGCCAGCCCGGGGAGCCCCGCCGCTGCCGCCTAATCGCTGCGCTCGCCCCGAAAGTCCCGGTCCCCGCCGCGGGCACCGAAGCCCGCGCCGCGACCCCAGCCTGGCGGGAGCCAGGGCGTCCCCGTTCCGCAGGGCGGGCGCAGGTGCGGCGCCGCCCCCGCTCTCCGTCCGGGCATCGCGGAAAACTCTCCCCAGTTGGAGTCGGCGTCCGGCCGGCTCGAGGCGCGCCCCGCGCTCCCAAGTACCGGGGACCCGGCGCGGCTCACCTGGGCGCTCGCCAGCCTGGAGACCCGCTCCGGCGCCGCCGCAACCTGCCGCCCCCAGCGCCGCGGCGCACCCGGGCCCCGCGCCCCCATTGGCCCGCGGTCCGCACGCCCCGCCCCTAGCACCCCTATTGGCTGCTCAGCGCGGGCGTTCCGCCCCCTCCCCGCGCCCATTGGCTGCCTCTGTCACGCCCCTCCCCGACCCATTGGCTCGTCGCCGCGCCCCGCCCCCCCCGAGACTACAGGTGTGGGCGGGTCGGAGGGGGGCGCCGAGCCGCAGTCCCCGCCCCCACCTCCCGCCTACCGCGAAAAACGCGGAAATGCGGTGGCTGCGGCCCGCGGGCAGGCGTCGGGGTAGGTGTCTGGCCCCGCTCCTGGGCCGACTTCCTCAGCAGCCTTCTAGTGTGGCGGGTTCCCGCCCAGGAAGGGTCTCTGGCTTGAGATCCCGCAACCCCCGCCTGCGTCCAGGGGCAGCGGGGCCAGCCCCTCCCCTCGCTTCCCGGGCCAGCCTTTGGGGCCTACCGCAGCTGCAGTAGTCTGGACGCGCAGGGGTCGCGGGGTCGCAGGGTCACCAGTCCCGGCGAGGGAGGTGGAGCCCTGCGGAGCTGGCGGGCGCAGAGTCCTGGTGCGGGAGGTGCCCGCTCAGAAGGCCCGGACTCTAGCTGAGGCTCTTCTCCGACACCTTCCTGCCCCTTTTGGACCCAGTGCCAGGCCATGCACACAGTGAAGCTGGCTGGAAGCCGCTCCTTCACCCCCTACCCTACTGTCCCGCCCAGGGCCCCGCAGCCTCGCGGTCAGCTGTGTGGGCCATTGATTGTTCTGCCCAGCTCAGAAAGAGTTGTGGGCGTGGGCCTCCTGCCCGCCTGTCTCCTGTGCTCCCCCAGGGAGCCCTTACATAGCCGAAAGTTGCAGAGATGAAGGGTGAAAGCTGGAATGATTGGGTTTTAATGGGTCAGGTCTGGGACCTGGCTTTTCTCCTGGAGCAGAGGGAATACTTGTCATGGTAATGGGGTAGCCCAGAGGGTGTGGACACGGCTGGGAAAAGTGAGGCTTCAGTTTGGGGGTCAGGTAGGTGAGTGCCTGTCACTGAGGTCAAAGGAGCTGTGGGCTGGGCCTGGCGGTGGAGGCGGGTGCCTGTAGTTTCAGCAAGTCAGGAGGCGGAAGTGGGAGGATCACCTGAGCCCAGGAATTCGAGGTTAACGTGCGCTGTCATCACACCGAAGCATTCCAGCCTGGACAGCGGAGCAAGACCCTGTCTCTAAAGAATTAATTATTAATTTAAAAACAGGCTGTGGGCAGGAGTGTACTATTGCCAGTTAGCGTTCAGCACAGTCCCCAGCTTGTCACTGTTACCTGTCTGCTTCCCCCACACACCCATGGCTATGCTGGGCTGGCTCACAGGCAGCAGTGCCCCCCTATTTATCCCGCTGCTGCTGCCAGGCTAGGTAGGGGATGCTGGGGCCTCCCTCAGGGTGTTGGTCACTAAGTGGTCCCCCCGCTAAGCTGAGCAGTGGCTCAGCCTCTCACACCTCCTCCAGGCTGGGCTGGCCCAGAACTCACCTAGGGGCCTGGTCTGGGGTCTCCCTGGAGGCTCCTGGTAACAAACAGCCCCACCCCTTCTGGGTGCTGGTATCCATGGCAACGGTATACAGCCCTTCCCTCCCAGGCCTGCTTGGAGGTCGGGCCTCAGGTGAGTGCTGGGGGTAGGGCCCTGAGCTGGGGGGACAAGAGAGAGAAAGAGGGACACCACATCACAGGCAAAGGGCCAGCACCTGGGTGGCAGGGGTACACGCCAGGGACATGTCGGGTGGTGACCTGCTGCGCCAGCCTGGTCAGAAACACACGGGTGTGGACACCCACATGTGGGTCCCTTCAGAGAGCAACGCTCTGTGAGTAAGTGGTGACGCCTGGGCTGCTCCAACCTGTGTGGCCACACGAGGCGCACACGGCAGACGGGCCCCCCACCCCTCCCAGCTCCCGAAGAACATTGAGAATGGCCCCCAAGTCTGGCCAGGAGGTTGAAGAAACCGAGGAAGAGGCTCTCCTGTCCCCCACAGAGCAAGAGTCGGTCAGTGGTCACCTGGGACCTCCAGCAGGCGCACCTGCAGCCCCCGAGACTCCCACGTGCCTGCCAGACACCACGCCCCACCCCGCACCGGTGGTCTGCTCTGCCGACCCGCAGTAAGGAGGAGAGGGAGGACTGGTGAGCCTCCTGGGCCAGGTGGCCAGGGGCCGGCCTGAGTAAGCAGCAGGGTCTGCTGCCGCTGCAGGTTGGCTCTTGAGTCCCTGGACCCTCGCACACTGCGGCTGCTGTGGAGACAGCGAGAACTGGAGATCCAGGCCTTGCGGTGGGCCATCCAGAATGGCGAGGACGCCCGGCTCTGCCACATCCTGGAAGAGGTGGCGGGGCTTCCGCCCAAGAGGTCTGCAGCACAGTCCCCAGCCCAACCCAACCCCGCCCTGTCCTCGCCCGGACTCCTGGTTTCTGTCTGACCCCAACCCCAACCGCTGAGGCAGATCCTTACCCTCATCCTTGCCCGCGCTGACCCTCCACCCTGATCCTAAGTTAACACGCTATAGCCTCCACCCTAACCCTGCGCATGTGGATGGGTGCTAGACCCTTGTCCAGACCAGCCGGAGGCTGGCCAGCCCCAGCGGGGCTGTACTGTGTGCCCTTGGGGCCAAGGTGGCAGTGGAGCCCCTCCTTCTCCCCTCCTTCGCCACTGACCTGACATTAGGAACCCCTGCCTGAGCAGGGTGGGGGCTGCTGAGGTCACCCCTCCTCCAGGAGCTCCCACAGTCAGGAGAAACTCCTGCAGAACCAGGTCCAGAAGCTGATCCAGGAGTTGAAGGAACAGAAGGAGCGAGCCCAGTGGGTGAGGCAGGGGCACAGGGAGTGGGCAGGGTCCTGGTGTTGGGGAGCCAGGCTGGGGCTGGCCTGGGGGCCTTCTGCAGAAGACACCCCCCCACCACCAACCACAGGCCCTCTCGGAGCAGGAGAAGGAGCACCTGGAGGAGCGGCTGCTGCAGACCACCCGCACGCTCCAGGAGATGGAGGCCGAGCTGCAGAACTTGCAGAAGTCCTGCCTCCTGCAGCTGGCCCGCTCCTCGTGGGTGGGCCGCATGCTACGATCCCAGACTGGCAGTGTGGAGGTGAGCCTGTCCCCCAAGCCCTCCTGCCCCAGGCTGCCCTCCCCAGCCCTCCCCATCTCGTCGGGTGCCTCTGCTGGGGCGCCCTGGCCTGCCTGGAAGCCTGCCCTGCTCAGGTGCCTCTGGAACTCTGGGCTCCAGCAGGGAGGAATCAGGAGGCCTCAAAGCACAGGTGAGGTCAAAGAGGAGAGGTGCTGTAGGGGAGCACCCAGCCCCTGCCCACTGGCTTCCGGTCCCCTCTTGCAGGTAGTGACGGCAGAGACTCTGATGGACCCAAGCGACCTCTCTGAAAACATTCAGGCCCCCACCGGGGAGGTGAGCTAGGCCTCCCACGTGTGTGGTCTGGTATCTGGAGCCCTGCGGGAGGGGAGGACCATGTGCCTCTTGCTTCCTGGCCAGGGCTTTCGGCTGGAGGACGTGGATTGGAACAGCGTTGCCCGCCGGTATCCCAACCTCTTCACCAACATGGAGCCCAGCTCAAAGCAAAAGTAACTGCACAGAGCAGGGACTCCCCAGGGGCCAGAAGGGAGGGCTCACCTTGGCAAGTGAAGACGCAGGACACTAAAGGACCATTTAGTGTCCCTGGATAAGTCTCTTAAACCTTCCAATGCGCGTTCTCTGATCTGTAGAATGCGTTGGGGTTGAGGCAGCCATCACTGTCCTGCCATGAACTGAGCCTGGGTACTGGGAGGCAAGAGGGGCTCCCTGCTGCACTGCCTTGTGAGGCTGGACGGGGGCAGGGCTGGGGTCTGGAGCTGGAGTGGCCATCAAGCAGAGCGTGGTCCACAGGCAGCCCCGGCCCTGGCCACAGCTGGACACAGGGAGCCCAGAGTCCTCTGGAAAGCATTCCGAGCGGCATCACAAGACCGTGGAGTGGGGCTCCCTGCCCTGTCTGAACACCAGCAGCTCAGGGGGCGCTGACTCCGACTCCAGCAGCTGCCGGCCGGGCCTGCCTTCCTTCGTGCAGGTGATAGGGCACCCGCCCCGGGACCACCGCGCTTCCTCCGAGCAAGCGCTGGTGCAGGCCGGCAGCTACAGCAGGGACTCAGAAGGTGCAGTGGGGCGGGTCTCCCCTGGTTACCCTTCACCCACCCTCCACCCCCTCAGAGCTGTGATCTCACTCAGAGCCCTGGAGGTGGCCCTCCAGCCCCCAAGGTCCAGCCACCTTTCCTGCCCCATCTGACCCTGGCCCTGCTCCCTGCCCCGCCAGGCGTTGCAGGCCTGTTCTGACCTCACGGGGAACATCCGGTGGGGACTCCATTCGAGGGTCCCCTCCCCAAAAGCGCTGCTCTCTCTAGATCTCCAGAAAACCCACTCACCCAGGCACGGCGAGCCGGTCCTGTCGCCCCAGCCCTGCACAGACCCGGACCACTGGAGCCCGGAACTCCTGCAGAGGTAAGGGGCGAGTGACCCAAGCCTCCGGCGCCGGACTGGAGCTGGTTTCCGGGCGGGGCGCGCAGCTGTGCGGGTGGACCGGCCGCATCTCCTCACAGCGTCTCCTCTCTTCCCAGCCCGACAGGCCTGAAGATCGTGGCTGTGAGCTGCCGGGAGAAGTTCGTCCGCATCTTCAACCCGTCGCAGGAGAGCACGGCCGACCTGAGCGGCATGGTGCTGAAGCAGCTGGTGCGCGGCTTCCCGGAGCGCCTGTACCGCTTCCCGCCGGGCACGCTGCTGGCCCCGCGGCACCACGTCACGGTGCGCCCCGGCCCGGGAGCCCGGCCCCGACGGCCCGGCCCGGCCGCCCCTCACCCGCCGCTCCACGCCCCTCCAGGTCTGGGGCGAGGCGACCCGCAGCGCCAAGAAGCCGCTGCGCGCGTCCTCGAGCCGGGAGCCCGTTCCCCTCCTCTCCATCCGCGGCTGCGCGACGCTGCTCCTGAGCCCCAAGGGCGAGGTCGGTGCGGGTCCCCGGTGGGGCGGCCGGGGCTGGGGTGTGGGGGTGACCGACGCGCCCCGCAGGTCCTCAGTGAGCACCGGATCCCACGCCGCGAGACTCCGGCCCCGAGGGTCTTCGCCGACGGCACCGACTTGTCCATCGACCGCTTCCCGCTCCCTGAGGCCGGGCCCGGCGCCGACACCCGCAAGCCGCCGCGCCCACCTCGACCCCTGCGCAAAGGCCGGGTGCGGGAGCCCCGGGTCAGTCGCCGGAGACCAGGGTGGGGACCGCGGGTCCCCGGGATCTGGCCTCCCTCCCCAGGCCCCGACCCAGCAGAAACGGTCCCTCGTATCCCCTCGCTAGGACGGACCCCTACTTCCCCAGGCCCCGCCCCGGCCGCCCCCTGGTCCTCCAGTACGCCCCGCGGCCCCTGCCCCGCCCCAGGCGCGGAGCCCTCTAGGGCCGCCTTTCCCGGGCCGGCCGCCGCCCTCACGACCCTCGCCCCACCAGGACGCGGGGCCTGCTGCCCCCAGTGAGCTCGGGGAAGCTCTTCCACGCGCGGGAGGGGCCTGCGCGGCCCGAGAACCCCGAGATCCCCGCGCCGCAGCACCTGCCCGCCATCCCGGGTGACCCCACCCTGCCGTCGCCTCCCGCAGAGGCCGGGCTGGGCCTGGAGGACTGTCGGCTCCAGAAAGAACACCGAGTTCGGGTGAGTGCGCGCTTGCGGGTGCGCCCCCTCCTCTCCCTCCTCGTTCTCCTCCTCTCCTCTCCCGCCCCTCCCTCCCCTCTGTCTCCTCGTCCCCTCCCCTCCGCTCTCCTCCCCGCCCCTCCCCTCTCCTCCCCTCCCCTCCCCTCCCGTCCCCGCCCCGCCCCGCGCGCCTCTCAGCCCCCGCGCCCCCCAGGTGTGCCGGAAGAGCGTGGACCGTAGCTGCCCCCTGGTGGCCCTGTCGGTGCAGAACACGGCGGAGAGCAGATTCGGCTTCCGCTTCCTCAGCTGCCTGCCGGTCACCGCGGACACCTGCCGCGGCGCCTAGGGGCGGAGGAGTGGGGCCGGGACCGCGAGGGAGGGCGCGGGCGGGCGCCGGGGCTGGGCGGGCTGTGTCCGCTGCATCATTTATTGAACCAACGTGGCCTACAAAGTAAACCGCATTTCTGTACACCTGAGAGCTGGAAATGTTGGTTTGGGTTCCGGGGCGTCCTGCGCCAAGAGGAGGGAACGGGCCGCCCTATCGCAGTGCGGGAACCCTACAGATCCCCCGGAGACGGGAGGCCTGGACCGCACCCCCGGCGGCCTCAGGCGAGCAGCTGGGACCTTGGGCCACTGCGGCCTAGGAGGTGGCTCTTACCCTGGGGCCGGCAAGGGAGTGGTGGACTCGCAGCTCCAGCCCCTGCCCCTCGGCCATGCCCAATTCTAGCAGGAGAGGCCTCTCACAGGCCTGCTCGGGTGACCACCCCCCACCCCCGTGCCCGCGGGAAAGCCTGGCCCTAAGGAAGGGCTGGGGAGCCGGACCCTCCCTCCCCAGGCCAAACCCAGTTGGGGGCCTAAACTGGGTTCCAGCCTCTGCTGCCTCCCTGGCTGGTCCCAGTCCCCCACTCCCCTCCACCAAGAGGGTCCTCCCCAGGGCCAGGCACTCCTTCCACCCCCCAACACACCCGCCCAGGTATTCTGTGCTCTGTGACCACATATGTGGGCAAGTCGTGGCCCCAGCACAGGGAAGCCTGGCAGTGGGGGCTATATTAAGTGGGGACGGGGCTGGGGTGAGAGAGTTCAGCTGCCCTGGGAGGTCTAGCTGCTGCATCTGGTGCTGGCTTTGGGCCAGGACATCCCTGGGCTCGAGGGCTCAGGCGTGAGGCCACCTCCAGGGCTCTCAGGACAGGCACTGCAGCCACCCCATCACCCAGGCCAGGCCCCCAGCTGCCCAGGACTCGGAGCCGACGCCCCCTGGACTGCAGGTCTGTCGACCACCGCGGGGAGCTGCTGCCAGAATCTCGTGGCCTTGGGTGCTTGGGAGGTGAAGGGACCAGGTGCTGGCTCGAGGTCCCGGAGGGCTCTAGAAAGCAAGCAGAGTGATGGGACGTCAGAAAGGCTGTCAGGGAAGGGAGTCACCCGGTGGGGAGGCCACAGCCCACCCGTGGCCCTGCAGCCCCGAGGCAGTGGTCCTTGGGGGTCCACAGGCAGCAGCACCCCTGCACCCCACTTTCTGTGTTCCCAGCCCTGTGACCCCTGACTCGCATGGGCGGGCCCACCTCTGGGGCAGGCAAGGAGGCCACGAAGCCTGGTTCTGGCCCTGGGTCCTCTGTGTCCTGTCCCTGAGAAGGAGACCACAAGGCCTGGCTCTGACCCTCGGTCATCTGTGTCCTGACCCTGAGAGCCTGTTCACTGGCTGACCGCCCCGGGCCGGTTCCCAAGCCTTGGGTCCCCCAGCACCCGCCTCCACCGGTGTCTGGAGCCCTGGCATGCCTTTGTCCTGACCCTGCCCTGAGGCCACTGCAGCTCCCCTCCTCCTGGCCGCCCTGCCTGCCCTCCCTCCACCCCTGCAGGTCACGGCCACTAGGTAACCAGCTGTTGACCCCTCTGTCTGCCCCCTCCACAGACACCCACCACCATATGGAAGAGCAGAGGCTTGGCCTGCCCTGTTCCCTGCCCATCCCAGCCCCCTTAACCAGGCTCCTGCACAGAGGAGGGTCAGCTGCCCACCGTGGGGTCGCCCCTGCTTACACTGCCCCCTGCCCGGCCTGCCTGCCCGCTGAGGGAGGGTCCTCTCTGCTTTGCAGCTGTGATCACACTGAAGTCAGTGTCCTTCGTAAAGGGCACTGCATGGCTTAATTCTATGTCCCCAAGTGCGCGTGCCATCTTCAGGGTGAAGCGGCAGCACCCTCCTGCCTTGGTCTCCCAGTGGGGCTGCTGGCCGCCTTTCCTCCCAGCCCCCGGACTCATGCCTGTGTCCCTGAAAGCTGCCCAGTGGCCATGTTCTGCCTGCTGGTGCCCTGGGGTGGCTCCTTCTTTCTGTCCCGACTCCTCTGGACTCTGTTCATACCCCCTTTTGTGGAACGCCTCTCTTTCGTCCAGCCCGGGTGGCACACAAGGTCACAGGGATTGGACCGTGGCTTGGGAGAGGACTTGGGTTGGGCCTCCCTTGGTCGTGAGCCCCCCACCCCCAGAAGGGGGCCTCCCTGTTACAGTCCCTCTCAGAGCATGGCTGAGGAAGCAGGGCCAGGTTGACACATCTGATCTGGGGTAAGGGCCCCCCTATAGAAGTGGGGTGTTGGTCACTCCCAGGCACTGGGGGGCAGGCGGGCAGGCTCAGTACCTGAGGCCAGGCTTGGGGGGCTGGAGGGAGTCTTGGGCTCTGCCTGGTGCACTTGCTCTTCAGGGACCCTCCGTGGGCCCCAGGGGGCTACAGCCCCTTCCTGTTGGGACTCCGGGTGCCTATAGGGGAGGGGGCTAGGGTGGGGAGAGGAGGAGAAGCTCCAGCCCTGATCCCCCCACGGGACAGGACACATAGGGATGGTCCATGAGCCTTGGGACTGGGGATGACTCAGCCAAGGTAGCCCCAGCCCTGATCCCCCCACGGGACAGGACACACAGGGATGGTCCACGAGCCTTGGGACCAGCGATGACTCAGCCAAGGTAGCCCCAGCCCTGATCCCCCCACGGGACAGGACATGCAGGGATGGTCCACGAGCCTTGGGACTGGGGATGACTCAGCCAAGGTAGCCCCAGCCCTGATTTCCCCACGGGACAGGACACACCCAGTGGAAGAGCTGGAGGGACACCCACCGCACGCCATGTTCCCTCCAGGCCCTGAGCCCAGCCAAGGCCAGGAAGTCAGAGCTGTCTGCAGGGTCAGGCTCTGGGGTGGAAGTGCTGGCGGCCGGATCTCCTGGCCTGTGTTGGGGCAGCTGCTCGGGGGGCTCCCTGGCCTGGGGAGGAAAAGGGACTGCTTTAGGGATTCTGGCCCTGGAATGGCGGCAGGGCAGGGCACTGTCAGGGCCGCAACCCTGGACACTGGTTCTCGTGGGGGGCTGGTCCCTGTGGGCTGTACCTGGCACTGGTGCCTACGCTCCCGCAGGCCCTTGGTGGGGTTCCCACAGAGGACTTGGCCAGCACCTGCAAGAGACAGCATGGCTGGGCCTGGTTCGGGGCCGAGGGGCTGCAGGGTCAGCTTTGAGGCAAGTCAGTTACCATGGGTGAGGCTGCTGGTGTTATCTTCTGGGGCCAGGTCCTCAGAAAGCAGGCCTTCAGGCAGGGGGCCCCCACGGACCAGCAGGGAGAAGGGCCAGGGCCTGGAGGCCCGGGACTGCGTCTCAGGCAGGGACAGCTCGGGGTCAAGTCTCCGGATGGGGGCTCCACGGGGACAGTCTGCCCGAGGTTCAGAAGCAGAGGTCACCAAGGCCCAGCCTGAGAGCGCCCCCCAGACTCTGTCCACAGACCAGGGGCCCCAATCCCCATGCTGCATGGCCTGAGGCTGGCCTCTCACGCTGCAGCCTTCTAGAGAGGCCCTCATCTTCAGACCTTCCTCTCCCTCTGTGGGCTGCTCAGAGACAGTGTCCTGGCCTGGGGCCGGGTGTGCACAGCTCTGGGGACCGGGGTCAAGGCTGGAGAAGCGCATGAGATGTGGCTATCCGTTTCTGAGAAGCCTGGGGTGGGGGCCTCTTCCTGGGGGGAGCTGGGGCTCAGCAGTGGGTCCTCCGGGCGCAGCTGCCGTACCCAGCGGGGGAAGGCCGTTGCCCTTCTTGATGGCCTCCTTCACCGCAAGCCAGTCCTGGCTCAGCCGCGGGGGGGCCGGTGGGCCTGTGTGTGCGGCCGGCACTTCGTCCAGGACCTGCAGCTGGGGAATGAGCTTCCTCACCTCTGCCCTGTAGTTGTAGCCCCTGGGCACCTGCAGGGGGAGGGGGAGGGGGAGGGAGGGCAGGTCTGGGTCCAGTGTTTCCTTCCGGCCAGCTCTTTCCCTGGCTCCCTTTCCCAGACCCACCGTGGGGCAGGGCAGGGGCCCAGAGGTGGGGATGCTGCCTACCCTGCAGGGGTGGGCTTGGGTCACTCTCACACCCCAGGGACTGAGGGACTGGGCTCTCACCTGCTCAGGATGTAGGACCCCACTCTCCAGACCCAAGGCCGGGTCCAGGGATGCCCTCTGGCCCATGGAACTGCCCTCAGCTCAGGGCTCTGGCCCACGGAGCAGTAGCTACTGGGCACTGGTAGACGCTGACCTCAGCATGTGGCAGCACCAAGCAGCAGCTAATGAGGCTAGCACTGTGAGCTCAGGGCAGATGTGCCCTGTGTAGGGTCTGTGAGCTACGCCAGGGCCTGCACGCACAGGTGTGCCAGCTCTGAGCAGGGCACGCAGAGCCCCGAGATACTGCATAGGGTGGTCTGTGGGGCCTGTGGGGCTGGAGGTGGCTCTGGACAGGGCGTACACAGGTGTGTGTGTGCACACATCCGTGTACACGTGGTTCTTTGTGTTTCCACGTGGCTTATGTGTGGACCTCACAGGTGCATATGTGGGTTAAGGGACATGGCGTGTGTGCAGGTGACCCTGTGGGATCTAGCGGGGCTGGTCCAGGAGGGTGTCCTGGGAGCCGTCAGACTTCCAGTGACAGAGGAGGTGAACTCATGGTGAGCAGGCCATAGGGTGCGGGTGGGCACAGAAGTACCTGGCCAGAGGAGGGGCCCCGGGGCTGGAGCCACAGGGAGCCTCTCCTGGCCATGCACATGCTGGCCGGGTGCCCGGGACACGCACCTTGTTGGTGGGGCCAGGGGCCGGCTGTAGGCACACCAGGTTGCCCTCCAGGGTGAGCATGGCCAGGCGTGGGCACAGCTGCAAGTAGCGCACCTGCCCCAGGTCCTCCACGCTGTTGCCCTCCAGGTCCAGCACCTCCAATTGTTCCAGCAGGCACAGTGGGCTCAGGTCCGAGATGTTGTTGTAGGAGGCGTAGAGTTCCTGGGCAGCGCGGGGCTCTGAGCCAGGGCCCGGCCCAGCCCAGGCCTCCCCAGCCCAGGGTGCCCAGACTCACCTTAAGTGCTGGCAAAGAGGCGATGCCATCCAGGTCAGCGAGGCCACAGCGAGCCAGCCACAGCACCTGCAGGTGGCCCAGAGACGTGCCCAAGTCCCTGCAGAAGGCAGGGTTTGGTGGTCAACATGTGCCCAGCCCTGTGCTCAGCCACCACCTGCCTTTGGCTGTCTTCAGGGGTAGGGGCAGGTGTGACCACCTATGGTGGCCTCTAGACTGAGGAAGGGGCTCTCTGCCTTGGCCTTCTGGCTCTGGTGTGGGTACAGTGTCCCCCACCTTCTCCAAGCCCTGGAGGGCCTGGCTTGGGGAGCTGCCCTCGTGACCGGTGGCTCAGCTGTGCCCAAGGCGCTGCCCTCATAGTGGGTGGCTCAGTCCCCTCCCTGGCAGGCTGCAGGCATCACCTTTCTCTTTCTAATTGTCTCCTCAGTAGCGTTTGGGGCACTCGAATTTGGAGTAAGGGTCTGGAGTGCTGCCTGGGAGCCTGAGCCCCTGGACACCGATGTGGGGGGCTTCGCTGGAGGCTGACCCCGTGCTGAGCTGGCAGCTTTTGTGGGGACCAGCTGCTGGAGGTGGCGGTGGGTCAGGGCGGCTTGATGTGTGCAGGGACAGGTTGCTTCCTGCCGGGCCCACCCTGTTCCCACTGTAGCCACAGTGACTTCACCATGCGCTGTCCCCAGGGACCCTGCACCTGCCCCTCTCGGCTGGGAGGCCGTCCCTTCAGCGCTGCTACGCCATCTCTGCACCTCTCCTTGTGAAAGGGCCACCTGAGCTCACAGGCTTTCCCTGAGGAGCCACAGATTCCTCCAGGGCTGGGTGATTTCTTCGGAAATCTTCTTTCTGTCCAGTTCACGGCACCCGTAGGCTGTGACTCACCTGGGCTTCATTCCGCCCACTGTGTTTTCAGCTTCCTTCTGTGGGCCCTCAGGTGCATTCCCGGTGGTCCGTCCTTTCGCGCTGTGGAGTCAGTGTCTGTCCTCAGCCTGCTGCCTTCAATGGCTTTTCCACTCCGCTCTGAATTGGCTGGGATTTGTGTCTAGTGATTTCTTCAAGAGCAGCTAATGGAAACCCCTTGATCTCTGACTCACAGATGTTTGCTGGCTGTGAGCTTATGCAGCCATTAGGCTGGGTGTCAGACTCTCAGTTCACGCCTCTTCCCAGGAGGCTGCAAAGCCTTTCGTTCCAGTGTCCACTGTGGCGACGTCTAAGGAGCACTTCGTTATTTCTGTCCTTAAAAAACCACTTGAGGCCGGGCGCGGTGGTTCACGCCTGTCATCCCAGCACTTTGGGAGGCCGAGGCAGGCAGATCACGAGGTCAGGAGATCTAGACCGTCCTGGTTAACACGGTGAAACCCCATCTCTACTAAAAATACAAAAAAATTAGCCAGGCGTGGTGGCGGGTGCCTGTAGTCCCAGCACTTTGGGAGGCTGAGGCAGGAGAATCGCTTGAACCGGGGAGGTGGAGGTTGCAGTGAGCTGAGATTGCGCCACTGCACTCCAGCCTGGACGACAGAGCGAGCCTCCGTCTCCAAACAAACAAACAAACAAACAAAACTTGAGGCTGAGCACAGTGCTTCATGCCTGTAATCCTGGCACTTCAGGAGGCTGAGGTGGGAGGAGCACCTGAGCCCAGGAGGTCGAGGCTATTGTAAGCCATGGTCGCACCACTGCACTCCAGCCTGGGCGACAGAGTGAGACCCTGTCTCAAAGAAAAAAAGACAAGTCAATCTCTTTTCTTGGCTGCTCCAACTTTTTACCTTTATCTTCATGCCAGTAACTTTATTAGGATATGTTTCAGTGCCAATAATTCAGTTTGTTTTTCCTTTCAGTCTTTTATTTATGACAAGTTCCTTTGAAATTTTTTAATTTTTAATTTTTTTTTTGAGATGGAGTCTCTGTCACTCAGGCTGGAGTGCAGTGGCACGATCTTGGCTCACTGCAACCTCTGCCTCCCAGGTTCAAGCAATTCTCCTGCCTCAGCCTCCCGAGTAGCTGTGATTACAGGTGCCCGCCACCACACCCGGCTAATTTTTGTATTTTTAGTAGATACGGGGTTTCACCATCTTGGCCAGGCTGGTCTTGAACTGCTGACCTCATGTTCCACTCGCCTTGGCCTCCCAAAGTGCTGGGATTACAGGTGTGAGCCACCGCACCTGGCCTGAATATATTTTTTATACAATTTATGACCTAGTCATTTTTCCTTTGGAACTATTTTGTTTTGTTACAGGTAGTGCATCATATTTAATTTTATAGTACCTTCCACTGCTCTTTTATATTTTGTGTATTTATGTGCTTTTTATATTTTTTTGTTGTTCTTAGAGCTAATTTGTTGGTCTTAACAATAGAGGCTTCTGGCCGGGCGTGGTGGCTCACGCCTGTAATCCCAGCATTTTGGGAGGCCGAGGCGGGCAGATCATGAGGTCAGGAGATCGAGACCATCCTGGCCAACGTGGTGAAACCTCGTCTCTACTAAAAATACAAAAAATTAGCCGGGCGTGGTGGCAGGCGCCTGTAGTCCCAGCTACTCGGGAGGCTGAGGCAGGGGAATGGCGTGAACCCGGGAGGCGAGATTGCAGTGAGCCGAGATTGCGCCACTGCACTCCAGCCTGGGCAACGGAGTGAGACTCTGTCTCAAAACAAAAAAAAACACAAAATAATAGAGGCTTATTTGTTAAGCTAAAAAAAAAAGTACAGCCATCTCCATTAGAATATCATTTACTCTTGTATTAGGGGCACTTT
Organism: Homo sapiens; assembly: GCF_000001405.40. Lineage (NCBI taxonomy): Eukaryota > Metazoa > Chordata > Mammalia > Primates > Hominidae > Homo > Homo sapiens. The sequence goes on along the minus strand of NC_000011.10, from coordinate 547,265 downwards.
TTTTGTTCTTTGTTTTTGTTTTTTACGGTTTTTTGAGACGGAGTCTTGCTCTGTCACCCAGGCTGGAGTGCAGTGGCGCGATCTCAGCTCACTGCAACCTCCACCTCCCAGGTCCAAGTGATTCTCATGCCTCAGCCTCCTGTGCAGCTGGCATTACAGGCATGCACCGCCAAGCCCAAGCCCAAGCCCAGCTAATTTTTTTTTTTTTGAGATGGAGTTTTGCTCTTGTTGCCTAGGCTGGAGTGCAATGGAGCAATCTTGGCTTACTGCAACCTCCGCCTCCTGGGTTCAAGCAATTCTCCTGCCTCTGCCTCCTGTGTAGCTGGGATTACAAGCGCACACCATGCCTGGCTATTTCTTTTTTTTTTTGTATTTTTAGTAGAGATGGGTTTTCACCACGTTAGCCAGGCGGATCTTGAACTCCTGACCTCGTGATCCGCCTGCCTTGGCCTCCCAAAGTGTTGGGATTACAGGTGTGAGCCAACCCGCCTGGCTGGGAGACATGTTTCTAAGAAGTCCATTTTCCAAACCCATCCTAGTTTCTCGTTCGCGGTGTCGTCTGGGTGCCTGCTGCAGGCCTGACTTCATGTCCAGGCCCCTCTCTGTTCCAGTTCTGTGGGCTGCCCACTGTGTCTTTGACCCCAAAGTGTTTTCCAACTTTCTTCCATTTCCAGATCTTCATGTATTTTTTTTTTTTTGAGACGAAGTCTCACTCAGTCGCCCAGGCTGGAGTTTAGTGGTGCGATCTTGGCTCACTGCAAGCTCCGCCTCCTGGGTTCACGCCATTTTCCTGCCTCAGCCTCCCGAGTAGCTGGGACTACAGGCGCCCACCACCACGCCCGGCTAATTTTTTGTATTTTTAGTAGAGACGGGGTTTCACCATGTTAGTCAGTATGGTCTCAATCTCCTGACCTCGTGATCTGCCTACCTTGGCCTCCCAAAGTACTGGGATTACAGGCGTGAACCACTGTGCCTGGCCTACTTTATTTTTTTGAGGCAGAGTTTCGCTCTGTTGCCCCGGCTGGAGTGTAGTGGTGTGATCTCAGCTCACTGCAGCATCTGCCTCCCGGCTCACTGCAGCGACTCTCCTGCCTCAGCCTCCTGAGCAGCTGGGGTTACAGGCATGTGCCACCATGCACGGCTAATTTTGTATTTTTAGTAGAGATGGGATTTCTCCATGTTGGTCAGGCTGGTCTCGAACTCCTGACCTCAGGTGATCTGCCCACCTCGGCCTCCCAAAGTTCTGGGATTATAGGCGTGAGACACCGTGCCCGGCCCATTTTGATATTTGTTTGATAAACAGAAGTACAAATAAGGAAAATCAAGAAAACATTCAAAGAGAGGTTGCTTAATGAATACCCTTATCCTCATCTGGAAATAACTAGATGTGGCCCTTGGAGCCCAATTCACACAGCTGGAGAATGTTCTAGAATTCTGCCTGGAATTCCCCTGCCTTATGCTGCTGGGAACAGGCTACATAAAACCAGCAGCGTTTTCACAAAACCCACTTTGCCCAAACCCCCAGAATAAAGTCGGATGTTCCTTCAGCCTTGTTCTTTCCCTTCCGATGACGTGAGAGCCGCCAACGTCTTCAGCTCCGAATGTTGTGAGTTGCTGTGGGGCACGGAGCTTCCTGTGCTTCTCCTGGGAGCTGGTCCGGGTTCTGTACACAGGCTCTGCTGTGCCTCTCCCGGGAGCTGCCGTCTGGTCCGGGTTCTGTACACAGGCTCTGCTGTGCCTCTCCCGGGGGCTGCCGTCTGGTCTGGGTTCTTTACACAGGCTCTGGCTGTGCCTCTCCCAGGGGCTGCCGTCTGGTCTGGGTTCTACGTGCAGGTTCTGGCTGGTGGTTGCCGTTCTTGCCCAAACCCCAAGCTCGTGGCCTCATGGTGCAGCCAAAGTCCTGGGCTGCAATGAGCCGTGCGGGGGCCAGAAGGCCCCCAGTCCTTGGTTGGCTTTGGGGTGTTCACCAGGGACACCTCAAGGTGGGAGCTCTGGGCCCAGGTCAGGGGCACCTTTGTGGAGTTTGCTGGCCACACGACCTGGCATGACTGCCTTGGCCCTGGCCCCAGCTCTGAGTGAGGTGCTACCTGCAGCAGGGGCTCCCACCCATTGCAGACACAAGAGCTCCATGTGTAGGGGTCACACGGCAAGTGGGGGTACATCTGGGCTGAGCCAGAGACCACAGGGCATAGGCAGGACCCCCGGGAGTCAGGCTGGCCCAGGACCTCGTCCTTTCAACAAAGACCCTCTCAGAGACCCCCTCACACCTGCCTGAATGTCCCAGGCTCCCCCCACCTGCCCATCCACCCTCCACAGGGTCACGTGGGGTCAGGCAGCCAGCAGGATGGAGCTCTCTAGACCCCTGGGTCCCTGGTCCCAGCCCAAGTCCCCCCACTCCCACCAAGTTCTCCCCCCATCCCTGCAGGGCCTGTCCCATCGGACCCCCTCATGGCAGGGCCCCAGCCCACCCCCCTCAGGCGCTCACCTCAGGGAGCCCAGGTGGCTGCCGTTCAGCTTCAGTTGGTCCAGGTTGGGCAGGTGCACCCCTGTATGGCCACAGGAGGAGGAGGTTGGCCCGGCCCCTCACCCCGCCCACCTCTGCACCCTCCTTCACCCCTAGGCATCAGCACCCCCGGCCCCTCACTGCTCGTGGGCCAGCCTCACAAGCCTCCCTCCACACCACAGGAGGGGTTACGTGGCACCCAGGAACTGCTCCAGGGCTGCGGGCTCCTCTGGCCACCAAAGGGGTCTGCTGATTCTATGGGGCCTGGTAGAGGGTCTGGCTCAGTGGCCCTGAGCCCCCAAAGCCTCACGGCTCCGCGCCCCTCGTCTGTAGCCAGCCTGAATGCAGCACAGCATGGAGGGGTGTCCACACAGCAGGGAAGCTCAGACCATTGTCTATGGACTGCAGGAGGCCACTGGGCTCCAAGAGTTGGCTCAGAGAACTGGGGCCAGGCTGGCGTGGCTGGGTGGTGCTCCCTTGGCTCAAAGTCTGGGCCCCACCCCCAAGCTGCCTCCACACCCCTCCCCTGGCATCTCAGACCGTCATGCACAGTCCCACACACAACACAGGACCAGATCACTGCACGCCCCAGCCTGTGTTTCTGCACAGCCCAAGGCCCCAGGAAAAGGCTCTGCGTTCGGAGTCTTTTGTAGGATGGGGCATATGCCCCTGTGAGGCAGACAGAATCCCTGCATTGTGAGAAGGGTTGCAGAGTGGCTGGGTGCGGTGGCTCACGCCTGTAATCCCAGCACTTTGGGAGGCTGAGGTGGGTGGATCACTAGGTCAGTAGATCGAGACCATCCTGGTTAACACGGTGAAACCCCGTCTCTACTAAAAATACAAAAAATTAGCCGGGTATGGTGGCGGGCGCCTGTAGTCCCAGCTACACGGGAGGCTGAGGCAGGAGAATGGCGTGAACCCGGGAGGTGGAGCTTGCAGTGAGCCGAGATTGCGCCACTGCACTCCAGCCTGGGTGACAGAGCGAGACTCCGTCTCAAAAAAAAAATAAAAGAAGGGGCGCAGAGTGTGTGGGTACAGGCGCTCCAAGACCATGCCTGTGGGAAGGGCTCGAGTGAGTGCAGATGGCTGCGGGTTAGCCACACACAATGGTCAGGGACTTCACAGGCCATTGCAAAACAATACAAGACCAATCAAGATGGGCCTGGTTCACCTCAGTCAGTTGGAGAAATGCAGACAGCCAGTGATCCTGGGTGGGAAGACGCTTCCCTGCTCTAAAGGTCACTGTGGGGCCTGGCGTGGTGGCTCACACCTATAATCTCAGCACTTTGGGAGGCCGAGGCGGGTGGATCACCTGAGGTCAGGAGTTCAAGACCAGCCTGGCCAACATGGTGACACCCCATCTGTACTAAAAATACAAAAATTACTCGGGCGTGGTGGCACACACCTGTAATCCCAGCTACTCAGGAGGCTGAGGCAGGAGAATTGCTTGAATTCAAGAGGCTGAGGTTGCAGTGAGCCAAGATTGCACCACTGCACTCCAGCCTGGGCAACAAGAGAGAGACTCTGTCTTAAAAAAAACAACAATGAAAAAAACAAAAAACAGGCCAGGCGCGGTGGCTCATCCCTGTAATCCTGTAATCCCAGCACTTTGGGAGGCTGAGGTGGGTGGATCACTTGAGGTCAGGAGTTCAAGACCAGCCTGGCCAACATGGTGAAACCCCGTCTCTACTAAAAATACAGAAATCAGCTGGGCGTGGTGGTGAGTGCCTGTAATCTCAGCTACTCGGGAGGCTGAGGTAGGAAAATTCAACCTGGGAGGCAGAGGTTGCAGTGAGCTGAGATTGCGCCACTGCACTCCAGCCTGGGCGACAGAATGAGACTCCATCTCAAAAAAAAAAAAGTCACTGTTGGGACAGCTGGTGACATTTGAATATGGTCTTCAGCATGGCTAAGAGTCATGTACAGGTGTAATTCCTGACTTTGGCCATCGCACTGCATTTAAGGGAATGTCCTCCCTCTCAGGAAATACACACTGAAGTGTCAGTAGATAAAGGGGTGTTGCATGTCCAACTCTCAACTAGTTCAGGAAAAAGAACAGTGGCCTGACGCGCTGTGCACGCACGGGAGGGAGCAGGGGCCAGCACCACCGTGAACACGGCGAAAGAGAAGGAACCTGGCGGAGGGCGGGGAGGGAGTGTTTTTTTTTTTTTTTTTTTTTTTTGCGACAGGGTTTTGCTCTGTCGCCCAGTCTGGAGTGCAGCGGTGCAATCTCAGCTCACTGCAGCTTGACCTCCCCACCTCCTATGAGTAGCTGTGACTACAGGTGCCATCATGCCTGTCTAATTTTTTATTTTTAGACACAGGGGTCTTGCTATGTTGCCCAAGCTGATCTCAAACTCCTGGGCTCAAGTGATCCATCCACCTTGGACTCCCACGGTGCTGGGATTACAGGCGTGGCCCCTGTGCCTGGCTGAGATTATTTCAAGATGAGTTTCAGGAGACACCAAGTGGCACTCAGCACCATTTTGGCCTTTGTTCCTCTGTGATGCTGGCGTGGGTGTGTGGGGCACTGAGCGTGCCGGGGGTACTGGCGTGGGTGTGTGGGGCACTGAGCGTGCCGGGGGTACTGGCGTGGGTGTGTGGGGCACTGAGCGTGCCGGGGGTACTGGCGTGGGTGTGTGGGGTACTGAGCGTGCCGGGGGTACTGGCGTGGGTGTGTGGGGTACTGAGCGTGCCGGGGGTACTGGCGTGGGTGTGTGGGGTACTGAGCGTGCCGGGGGTACTGGCGTGGGTGTGTGGGGTACTGAGCGTGCCGGGGGTACTGGCGTGGGTGTGTGGGGTACTGAGCGTGCCGGGGGTACTGGCGTGGGTGTGTGGGGTACTGAGCGTGCCGGGGGTACTGGCGTGGGTGTGTGGGGTACTGAGCGTGCTGGGGGTACTGGTGTGGGTGTGTGGGGTACTGAGCGTGCTGGGGGTACTGGTGTGGTGTGCGGGGTGCTGAGTGCATTGCCCTCTGCCTGTACCTGACACAGACCTCAGGTCAGAGGCCAACCCTAAGGAAGCCGATACGCGGCCCGAGAGGTGAGGACAGCTTTGTCGTCATAACCAGGAAACGTGTGTTGTTTACAGGGAGGCGTGGCCGTGGCCGTGGCCATGGCGGGGTGGGAAGAGGCTCACCAAAGTTCCCCAGGCTGCCCTCACGAGTGTCCACACACATCTCCAGCGTCCTCACCAGCCGAAGGTCATCCACCCGGGCCAGGGCCTGCTGTAGAAACCAACCGGGGGTCAGCGCTGGTCCTGGCTCTCCCCACTTTAGTTCCATCCTTGCTTCTGGCTACAGGACTCTGGGGCTCCCGCTGGAGCAGGCACCGACGTTTCCCTGCCTGGGCCATGTTGGCCCTGGCCTGGGTGGTGGGATGGGAGTGGATGTGACAGGAGCAGAGCTTGTGCTGCACTTGGCTGGGGGGTCATTGCGGGAGAAGGACCTGCCCTGGGGGCTGCCCGTCTCCAGAGAGACTCCCAGGGCAGACACACCACACCCGGCACCCAGAGCCCGGACCGCGCCGGGCCCTGCCCTGAGCTTTGAGCCATCTGGTCTCCCGCTTGAGTGAAGGACCCCCCTCTTTGGTTGGAGGATAATGGATGCTCAGCCCCTACTTGTGGGTTCTGGCCTGGCTCAGTCCTGTCTGTGACCCAAATGCCTGGGGACGTCTGTGTCACTGAGCACCTGGTGTTGCTGGTGTTTTGGGGCCTGGTAGGGGTCCCAAGGGCAGAGTGGGTGGAGCAGACCCAGCTGCAGGGGCTGGGCTGAGGCCAACCATCAGCAGGCAAGACCAGCAGGAGGGGGACAGAGGGCAGGCTGGACCATCAGCAGGAAGGAGCCCTGGGATGTCACCCCACGGAGGCCTCTGTGGCCACAGCCCCCAGCGCCCACACTCACCAGCCGGGCAGGGGACAGGTACTCTTCCACCAGCTGCTCTCCAAGTCTGTCCCTCTGACTGCCAGGGCCCTTGCTCTGTGGGCAGGGGTTGTGCAGGCCTTGCCAGCTCAGCTCCCGCACCCGGACGCTGGAGGTGCTCCGCCGAGGCCCACGGGATCTGTCCCAGCCCAGATCCATTCACATGTCACCTGCTGACAGAGGCACAGTGCAAAGCTCCACGCTGTTGCTCCTCCTCCTCTGCAGCCCGGCTGAGACCCTGGCCCAGCCCTCAACCCCCCGCCCCCGTCACAGCAAGCCCTTGGCACCCACCCCCACCCCGAGCCTAGAGAAGGCTCCTAGCTTGGCTGGGCCTCATGGGGCCCTTGTCTGCTTAGTTCCAGCCTGGAGGGCCTCACGCTCCCCTCCCCCAGCCTTGGCTCGACCCCCTCTGCTTCGTAGGACACCCTCCCTGTGTTTCTGCCCATCCTCAGGGTCCATGCAGGGAGTGCTGGCTTCAGGCCTCCCCACCTGAGGCCCACAGGGGCTGTGAGCCTGGGGTGCCGGGCCAGCTGCCGGTGGCTGTGGGGCTCCCGGCACTGCCTCAAGCTGTGGGCTATGGGTCCTTCTCCACCTGATGGTCTCTGAGCCTGGGGTCCAGGATCAAGTCCCAGGCCTTCCCCTACCCCAGCCCTGTGCCAGCCGAGCCCCTTCACCTGCAGGCAGCTGCCCTCTCCTGCTGTGGGTCAAACATCCAGGCAAGGAGGTGGCATGTACCCTCAGGCAGTACCTGCAAGAGTCAGAGTGGCTTCCTGGCCAGGTTACTGTGCCCATGGGAGCCTGGAATGGGCCAGGCTGAGGTCACAGCACCTAGAGGTGAGCAGATCAGCCCAGGACCTGACTATCCACGGACCCAGCTGGCGAGGAGGAAGAGAGTCAGGTGTGTGACCGATGCTGGGGTACCTCTGGGTCCCCCAACACAATGCCTGCTGCTCATCCAAATCCCACTTCCCTCCTTCTCCACAGGGGTCCTCTCTTGCACCCTGTTCTTCCTGAGCCCCTCCCCAGGCCTCTGAGGGTATTGGCCCAGTGTGTCCCTCTCTTGCATCCCATTCTTCCTAAGCCCAGTGTGTCCCTCGACTACGTGCATCAGGCTTACCTGGTGTTGCCCCTTAAAGATGCAGACGTCTGGCGGGGCGCAGTGGCTCACGCCTGTAATCCCAGCACTTTGGGAGGCCGCGGCGGGCAGATCACGAGGTCAGGAGATTGAGACCATCCTGGCTAACACGGTGAAACCCTGTCTCTACTAAAAATACAAAAAAAAAAAAAAAAAAATTAGCTGGCGTGGTGGCAGGTGCCTGTAGTCCCAGCTACTTGGGAGGCTGAGGCAGGAGAATGCCATGAACCCGCGAGGCGGAGCTTGCAGTGAGACAAGATCGCGCCACTGTCCTCCAGCCTGGGCAACAGAGCAAGACTCTGTCTCAAAAAAAAAAAAAAAAAAGGCTGGGTGCGGTGGCTCACACCTGTAATCCCAGCACTTTGGGAGGCTGAGGCGGGCAGATCACAAGATCAGGAGATCAAGACCATCCTGGCTAACGAGGTGAAACCCCATCTCTACTAAAGATACAAAAAACATAGTTAGCCAGGCGTGGTGGCGGACGCCTGTAGTCCCAGCTACTTGGGAGGCTGAGGCTGGGGAATGGCATGAACCCAGGAGGTGGAGCTTGCAGTGAGCCAAGATGGCACCACTGCACTCCAGCCTGGGCGACAGAGAGAGACTCCATCTCAAAAAACAAACAAACAAACAAAGATGCAGACATCTGCCTCGGCCCCAGGCCCTGGAATCATGAGCTCCAGGCGTGGAGTGACAAGTGTGCTCGGAGCGTCCAGTGTCCTCCTCCCTGACCACCTTCATGTGTCTTCAGTCTGGACCTGGACTGATCCCCTGACTGCACTCCCCACCCAGCCTTCCCAGATTTATCTTCCTGATGAGACGAGTTCCCTTCGGAGCCCTGTGTGTCTTACTACGTGTTCGGTTGAGGGCCTGCCTCGCCCCAGAGCTGTGGGCTGCACGTGGCCTGCACGTGGCCTGCGTGCTCCTCTGCTGTCCACAGTCGCAGGAGGGGATGCTCAAATATTTGTCGAAGGAATCCGTGAACAGGCAGATGCACATGTAGCCACTTAGAACGTTCTGGCCATGGCTTTTATCTGTTGACCACGTGTGGACACTGAAGATGCATCCTCTCCATCCCGTCTAGAGCTGCCCCTGTGCCAGGCGAGTTGGCCGGCTGTTGACAGAGGTGGTGGGTGGGAGTGTTGGAGCGGGGCAGTGGCTCAGGCTCTGGGTGCCTCACTGGCCTGGTCTGGAAGGTGACCATGCACCAAGGATCAAAGAAGTGAAGCCCAAAGCAGAATCTCATGGAGTTTCCAGCCCAAATCTCCCCCACTGCCTGCCTTTCTCCAGCCAGTGCAAGGCCCCAGGCCTCACAGCAGGACCCCAACACTGCATCCCCCCAAAGACTCTGGCCACCTCCATCCCAGGCCTGCCAGCCTCGAGCCTCATGGAGGGCGTGAGCTGGCGGGGTCACGGGCAGCCCCTGGACACCTATGGGTGACACTAAGGGCTGAGTCAGCTACCCTTGTCTCCTCTGTGCCCAAGAGCCCCAAGCATCAGACTGGTCTGAGCCCCAAGGCCTGGGGGTGCAAGGGGTTGGAGGCTGTGGGATCCAAAGACCCCATTGAACTCCCACCTCAGACACTGCACCTAGTGTTCTCACCCAGGCCTGAACCCATCCACACACTTCACGGCCCTGCTCCCACCCTGTGTCCCCTCTGCAAGCCCCCATGCTCCCCAAATTGGTAACTGGGGGGCCTGTCTCCACACCCCTGCTAGTGCCATTCCCTGGTGGGTAGCCATCACCTCTGGGTCCCCTGCTGCCCTCGCCCCTTCACCATGGGGGCTCGGAAGGCAGAGCCCGCTCCCCTCCTGAGCCCCACCCTGGAACCCTGAGCACCCTGGGTCATTGCCTCTGAGTCTCCCTCAGGGGCAGGGCTTGGGGCCCCTCCTGTCTCCTGACAGGGAGCCCTTTCAGTGCAGGGCCAGGGGGTGGTGGAGGCAAGGGTCCTCAGGGGACCAGATCTGACATGCGGGGCCATCACTGGGTCCCCGATGGCTGTGCTGCTTCGTCCCCGCGCCCACGCCTCGGCGCAGGTTCCCTCCTGGCACCGGTCATAGGGCGAGGCTTGCGGCTCCCACCCCAAGGGTGCGCTCGGCTCTCACCTGAGGGCTCAGCCTAGGTGTCCGGCCCTGGCAGCTCGGCCCTGGGCGCCCTCCACCTCCAGGCGCTGTCTCCTACTCCAGGCTGTTCTTCCGGCCGCCGCGGGGTTGCGGCCTGGGCGCCATAGCAACGGGAGCCAGGCCTCATTTGAATACGCAAATATTTATAAGTCGCCGGGGGCTCGGGTTCCGTGCGGCTGAGCCACGCCCCTTAGCAACGGTCGCTAGGGCGGGGCCACGTGGACTGGCACGTGCGTGGGCGCCCCTGCTGCGGGCGATCCCAGGGGAAGGTGACGCGCCACCAACTCGAGTTGGGTGGGCGCAGGCGCGTCAGGTGCCAGCTTCCTGCGGCTCCGTGCCTGGGCCGTCGCGATGCACGTGTCGCGTTTCCTCGCGATCCTGGCGCTTCCCACGCGGGGCGGGTAAAGGCGGTCTCTGCTGGAGGCTCGCGCCCACCTTTCCCAGGTGGAAGGGTCGCCCCTGGGGCCGAGGCCTGCCGTCCTGACCTTCGGTTGGAAGTGAGGCCGACGGCAAAAGGAAGCACCGGGGGAAGCGCCCCCGAGGACCAGGAAACACACACCGGACGCCGGAGCGCACCCGAGTGCCCGGCCCGCGGGACACGCTGCCGCCCGCCGTCCAGTCGCCGCTTCTCACTCGCGTTCATGCGTGTCCGCCCCGAGCCGAGCTCTGACTGCGACCGCGCGGTGGACGGACGGCAGGCGGGACCCCCGGGACCGCACGTGGGTGGAGCCCCGGGTCAGCAGCGACCGGCGCAGGAGGGCGAGGCGGGCGCTGGACTGGGCAGAGGCAGGGTTTGCCTGACTGTAAAACGCCTTTTTTGTTTTGAGACGAAGTAGCGCTCTGTTGCCCAGTGCAGTGGCGCGATTTCGGCTCACCGCAACATCCGCCTCCCGGGTTCCAGCGATTCTCCTGCCTCAGCCTCCCGAGTAGCTGGGACTACAGGCGCGCGCCACTGCAGCCGACTAATTTTTTGTGTTTTTAGTAGAGACAGGGTTTCATCATGTTGGCCAGGCTGGTCTTGAACTCCTGACCTCAAGTAATCCACCCGCTTAGGCCTCCCGAAGTGCTGGGATTATAGGCGTGAGCCACCGCGCCCGGCCCTTTTTGTTTTTTAATGAGGATGTATTTCTGATTCCTTTGCAATTTTAAAAAATGTTAAAAACATGTCTTTTTGGGTTTGAAAGAGCTAGGATGTGCGTCTATGTGCTTGGGGTGAGCCCTGGGCACTTCGCTCCCCTGTGGCAACTTGTGGGTACGGTTTAACTGGACCACGCTGAGCTTCTGCAGCGTTGGAACCTCAAGTTTGGGGGGACTGGGCGGGCAGGGTCGCCTGCCACGCAGGCCCGAGAAAGAGGAGAGTGGTGGAGGGGGCGTTCTCACGCCTGGCCCCAGGGCACACGGCTGCGCCCGCCGCCCGGAACCCCACCGGGGCTGCAAGCGTCCTCGGGGTGGGTTGCGGTGGGAGTAGGGGAGCTGGGGTGCGTGGTGGTAGGTGGGGTGCGCGGCCGCTCCACCTGCGCGGAAGGGCAGCCGGGCAACCGGACCCCGCGGCCACCCGGGGGCCCCCAGCTCCGAGCATCCCGCCTTGGTCCCGGCGGATCCCAGCCTTTCCCCAGCCCGTAGCCCCGGGACCTCCGCGGTGGGCGGCGCCGCGCTGCCGGCGCAGGGAGGGCCTCTGGTGCACCGGCACCGCTGAGTCGGGTTCTCTCGCCGGCCTGTTCCCGGGAGAGCCCGGGGCCCTGCTCGGAGATGCCGCCCCGGGCCCCCAGACACCGGCTCCCTGGCCTTCCTCGAGCAACCCCGAGCTCGGCTCCGGTCTCCAGCCAAGCCCAACCCCGAGAGGCCGCGGCCCTACTGGCTCCGCCTCCCGCGTTGCTCCCGGAAGCCCCGCCCGACCGCGGCTCCTGACAGACGGGCCGCTCAGCCAACCGGGGTGGGGCGGGGCCCGATGGCGCGCAGCCAATGGTAGGCCGCGCCTGGCAGACGGACGGGCGCGGGGCGGGGCGTGCGCAGGCCCGCCCGAGTCTCCGCCGCCCGTGCCCTGCGCCCGCAACCCGAGCCGCACCCGCCGCGGACGGAGCCCATGCGCGGGGCGAACCGCGCGCCCCCGCCCCCGCCCCGCCCCGGCCTCGGCCCCGGCCCTGGCCCCGGGGGCAGTCGCGCCTGTGAACGGTGAGTGCGGGCAGGGATCGGCCGGGCCGCGCGCCCTCCTCGCCCCCAGGCGGCAGCAATACGCGCGGCGCGGGCCGGGGGCGCGGGGCCGGCGGGCGTAAGCGGCGGCGGCGGCGGCGGCGGCGGGTGGGTGGGGCCGGGCGGGGCCCGCGGGCACAGGTGAGCGGGCGTCGGGGGCTGCGGCGGGCGGGGGCCCCTTCCTCCCTGGGGCCTGCGGGAATCCGGGCCCCACCCGTGGCCTCGCGCTGGGCACGGTCCCCACGCCGGCGTACCCGGGAGCCTCGGGCCCGGCGCCCTCACACCCGGGGGCGTCTGGGAGGAGGCGGCCGCGGCCACGGCACGCCCGGGCACCCCCGATTCAGCATCACAGGTCGCGGACCAGGCCGGGGGCCTCAGCCCCAGTGCCTTTTCCCTCTCCGGGTCTCCCGCGCCGCTTCTCGGCCCCTTCCTGTCGCTCAGTCCCTGCTTCCCAGGAGCTCCTCTGTCTTCTCCAGCTTTCTGTGGCTGAAAGATGCCCCCGGTTCCCCGCCGGGGGTGCGGGGCGCTGCCCGGGTCTGCCCTCCCCTCGGCGGCGCCTAGTACGCAGTAGGCGCTCAGCAAATACTTGTCGGAGGCACCAGCGCCGCGGGGCCTGCAGGCTGGCACTAGCCTGCCCGGGCACGCCGTGGCGCGCTCCGCCGTGGCCAGACCTGTTCTGGAGGACGGTAACCTCAGCCCTCGGGCGCCTCCCTTTAGCCTTTCTGCCGACCCAGCAGCTTCTAATTTGGGTGCGTGGTTGAGAGCGCTCAGCTGTCAGCCCTGCCTTTGAGGGCTGGGTCCCTTTTCCCATCACTGGGTCATTAAGAGCAAGTGGGGGCGAGGCGACAGCCCTCCCGCACGCTGGGTTGCAGCTGCACAGGTAGGCACGCTGCAGTCCTTGCTGCCTGGCGTTGGGGCCCAGGGACCGCTGTGGGTTTGCCCTTCAGATGGCCCTGCCAGCAGCTGCCCTGTGGGGCCTGGGGCTGGGCCTGGGCCTGGCTGAGCAGGGCCCTCCTTGGCAGGTGGGGCAGGAGACCCTGTAGGAGGACCCCGGGCCGCAGGCCCCTGAGGAGCGATGACGGAATATAAGCTGGTGGTGGTGGGCGCCGGCGGTGTGGGCAAGAGTGCGCTGACCATCCAGCTGATCCAGAACCATTTTGTGGACGAATACGACCCCACTATAGAGGTGAGCCTGGCGCCGCCGTCCAGGTGCCAGCAGCTGCTGCGGGCGAGCCCAGGACACAGCCAGGATAGGGCTGGCTGCAGCCCCTGGTCCCCTGCATGGTGCTGTGGCCCTGTCTCCTGCTTCCTCTAGAGGAGGGGAGTCCCTCGTCTCAGCACCCCAGGAGAGGAGGGGGCATGAGGGGCATGAGAGGTACCAGGGAGAGGCTGGCTGTGTGAACTCCCCCCACGGAAGGTCCTGAGGGGGTCCCTGAGCCCTGTCCTCCTGCAGGATTCCTACCGGAAGCAGGTGGTCATTGATGGGGAGACGTGCCTGTTGGACATCCTGGATACCGCCGGCCAGGAGGAGTACAGCGCCATGCGGGACCAGTACATGCGCACCGGGGAGGGCTTCCTGTGTGTGTTTGCCATCAACAACACCAAGTCTTTTGAGGACATCCACCAGTACAGGTGAACCCCGTGAGGCTGGCCCGGGAGCCCACGCCGCACAGGTGGGGCCAGGCCGGCTGCGTCCAGGCAGGGGCCTCCTGTCCTCTCTGCGCATGTCCTGGATGCCGCTGCGCCTGCAGCCCCCGTAGCCAGCTCTCGCTTTCCACCTCTCAGGGAGCAGATCAAACGGGTGAAGGACTCGGATGACGTGCCCATGGTGCTGGTGGGGAACAAGTGTGACCTGGCTGCACGCACTGTGGAATCTCGGCAGGCTCAGGACCTCGCCCGAAGCTACGGCATCCCCTACATCGAGACCTCGGCCAAGACCCGGCAGGTGAGGCAGCTCTCCACCCCACAGCTAGCCAGGGACCCGCCCCGCCCCGCCCCAGCCAGGGAGCAGCACTCACTGACCCTCTCCCTTGACACAGGGCAGCCGCTCTGGCTCTAGCTCCAGCTCCGGGACCCTCTGGGACCCCCCGGGACCCATGTGACCCAGCGGCCCCTCGCGCTGTAAGTCTCCCGGGACGGCAGGGCAGTGAGGGAGGCGAGGGCCGGGGTCTGGGCTCACGCCCTGCAGTCCTGGGCCGACACAGCTCCGGGGAAGGCGGAGGTCCTTGGGGAGAGCTGCCCTGAGCCAGGCCGGAGCGGTGACCCTGGGGCCCGGCCCCTCTTGTCCCCAGAGTGTCCCACGGGCACCTGTTGGTTCTGAGTCTTAGTGGGGCTACTGGGGACACGGGCCGTAGCTGAGTCGAGAGCTGGGTGCAGGGTGGTCAAACCCTGGCCAGACCTGGAGTTCAGGAGGGCCCCGGGCCACCCTGACCTTTGAGGGGCTGCTGTAGCATGATGCGGGTGGCCCTGGGCACTTCGAGATGGCCAGAGTCCAGCTTCCCGTGTGTGTGGTGGGCCTGGGGAAGTGGCTGGTGGAGTCGGGAGCTTCGGGCCAGGCAAGGCTTGATCCCACAGCAGGGAGCCCCTCACCCAGGCAGGCGGCCACAGGCCGGTCCCTCCTGATCCCATCCCTCCTTTCCCAGGGAGTGGAGGATGCCTTCTACACGTTGGTGCGTGAGATCCGGCAGCACAAGCTGCGGAAGCTGAACCCTCCTGATGAGAGTGGCCCCGGCTGCATGAGCTGCAAGTGTGTGCTCTCCTGACGCAGGTGAGGGGGACTCCCAGGGCGGCCGCCACGCCCACCGGATGACCCCGGCTCCCCGCCCCTGCCGGTCTCCTGGCCTGCGGTCAGCAGCCTCCCTTGTGCCCCGCCCAGCACAAGCTCAGGACATGGAGGTGCCGGATGCAGGAAGGAGGTGCAGACGGAAGGAGGAGGAAGGAAGGACGGAAGCAAGGAAGGAAGGAAGGGCTGCTGGAGCCCAGTCACCCCGGGACCGTGGGCCGAGGTGACTGCAGACCCTCCCAGGGAGGCTGTGCACAGACTGTCTTGAACATCCCAAATGCCACCGGAACCCCAGCCCTTAGCTCCCCTCCCAGGCCTCTGTGGGCCCTTGTCGGGCACAGATGGGATCACAGTAAATTATTGGATGGTCTTGATCTTGGTTTTCGGCTGAGGGTGGGACACGGTGCGCGTGTGGCCTGGCATGAGGTATGTCGGAACCTCAGGCCTGTCCAGCCCTGGGCTCTCCATAGCCTTTGGGAGGGGGAGGTTGGGAGAGGCCGGTCAGGGGTCTGGGCTGTGGTGCTCTCTCCTCCCGCCTGCCCCAGTGTCCACGGCTTCTGGCAGAGAGCTCTGGACAAGCAGGCAGATCATAAGGACAGAGAGCTTACTGTGCTTCTACCAACTAGGAGGGCGTCCTGGTCCTCCAGAGGGAGGTGGTTTCAGGGGTTGGGGATCTGTGCCGGTGGCTCTGGTCTCTGCTGGGAGCCTTCTTGGCGGTGAGAGGCATCACCTTTCCTGACTTGCTCCCAGCGTGAAATGCACCTGCCAAGAATGGCAGACATAGGGACCCCGCCTCCTGGGCCTTCACATGCCCAGTTTTCTTCGGCTCTGTGGCCTGAAGCGGTCTGTGGACCTTGGAAGTAGGGCTCCAGCACCGACTGGCCTCAGGCCTCTGCCTCATTGGTGGTCGGGTAGCGGCCAGTAGGGCGTGGGAGCCTGGCCATCCCTGCCTCCTGGAGTGGACGAGGTTGGCAGCTGGTCCGTCTGCTCCTGCCCCACTCTCCCCCGCCCCTGCCCTCACCCTACCCTTGCCCCACGCCTGCCTCATGGCTGGTTGCTCTTGGAGCCTGGTAGTGTCACTGGCTCAGCCTTGCTGGGTATACACAGGCTCTGCCACCCACTCTGCTCCAAGGGGCTTGCCCTGCCTTGGGCCAAGTTCTAGGTCTGGCCACAGCCACAGACAGCTCAGTCCCCTGTGTGGTCATCCTGGCTTCTGCTGGGGGCCCACAGCGCCCCTGGTGCCCCTCCCCTCCCAGGGCCCGGGTTGAGGCTGGGCCAGGCCCCTCTGGGACGGGGACTTGTGCCCTGTCAGGGTTCCCTATCCCTGAGGTTGGGGGAGAGCTAGCAGGGCATGCCGCTGGCTGGCCAGGGCTGCAGGGACACTCCCCCTTTTGTCCAGGGAATACCACACTCGCCCTTCTCTCCAGCGAACACCACACTCGCCCTTCTCTCCAGGGGACGCCACACTCCCCCTTCTGTCCAGGGGACGCCACACTCCCCCTTCTCTCCAGGGGACGCCACACTCGCCCTTCTCTCCAGGGGACGCCACACTCGCCCTTCTCTCCAGGGGACGCCACACTCCCCCTTCTGTCCAGGGGACGCCACACTCGCCCTTCTCTCCAGGGGACGCCACACTGGCCCTTCTCTCCAGGGGACGCCACACTCCCCCTTCTGTCCAGGGGACGCCACACTCCCCCTTCTCTCCAGGGGACGCCACACTCCCCCTTCTCTCCAGGGGACGCCACACTGGCCCTTCTCTCCAGGGGACGCCACACTCCCCCTTCTGTCCAGGGGACGCCACACTCGCCCTTCTCTCCAGGGGACGCCACACTCGCCCTTCTCTCCAGGGGACGCCACACTCCCCCTTCTCTCCAGGGGACGCCACACTCCCCCTTCTCTCCAGGGGACGCCACACTCCCCCTTCTCTCCAGGGGACGCCACACTCCCCCTTCTGTCCAGGGGACGCCACACTCGCCCTTCTCTCCAGGGGACGCCACACTCCCCCTTCTCTCCAGGGGACGCCACACTCCCCCTTCTCTCCAGGGGACGCCACACTCCCCCTTCTGTCCAGGGGACGCCACACTCGCCCTTCTCTCCAGGGGACGCCACACTCGCCCTTCTCTCCAGGGGACGCCACACTCGCCCTTCTCTCCAGGGGACGCCACACTTGCCCTTCTGTCCAGGGAATGCCACACTCCCCCTTCTCCCCAGCAGCCTCCGAGTGACCAGCTTCCCCATCGATAGACTTCCCGAGGCCAGGAGCCCTCTAGGGCTGCCGGGTGCCACCCTGGCTCCTTCCACACCGTGCTGGTCACTGCCTGCTGGGGGCGTCAGATGCAGGTGACCCTGTGCAGGAGGTATCTCTGGACCTGCCTCTTGGTCATTACGGGGCTGGGCAGGGCCTGGTATCAGGGCCCCGCTGGGGTTGCAGGGCTGGGCCTGTGCTGTGGTCCTGGGGTGTCCAGGACAGACGTGGAGGGGTCAGGGCCCAGCACCCCTGCTCCATGCTGAACTGTGGGAAGCATCCAGGTCCCTGGGTGGCTTCAACAGGAGTTCCAGCACGGGAACCACTGGACAACCTGGGGTGTGTCCTGATCTGGGGACAGGCCAGCCACACCCCGAGTCCTAGGGACTCCAGAGAGCAGCCCACTGCCCTGGGCTCCACGGAAGCCCCCTCATGCCGCTAGGCCTTGGCCTCGGGGACAGCCCAGCTAGGCCAGTGTGTGGCAGGACCAGGCCCCCATGTGGGAGCTGACCCCTTGGGATTCTGGAGCTGTGCTGATGGGCAGGGGAGAGCCAGCTCCTCCCCTTGAGGGAGGGTCTTGATGCCTGGGGTTACCCGCAGAGGCCTGGGTGCCGGGACGCTCCCCGGTTTGGCTGAAAGGAAAGCAGATGTGGTCAGCTTCTCCACTGAGCCCATCTGGTCTTCCCGGGGCTGGGCCCCATAGATCTGGGTCCCTGTGTGGCCCCCCTGGTCTGATGCCGAGGATACCCCTGCAAACTGCCAATCCCAGAGGACAAGACTGGGAAGTCCCTGCAGGGAGAGCCCATCCCCGCACCCTGACCCACAAGAGGGACTCCTGCTGCCCACCAGGCATCCCTCCAGGGATCCCTCATTGTCCACAACTGCTGGAGAACAGAGGGCTCCGTGTCTGGCTGTCCCACAGTGAGCAGCAGTGAGCGCATCTGAAGTCTGAGCTGCTGAGACCCCCTCCTGCAGGAACCCATCTTCTGGCAAAAACCTGAACTGAGGATCACCCTCTGCCCACACCCACAGGGGCCCATCCTGGTGGCTCCTCCAGTGCCAGGCTCTGCCCCATCAGGGTCTGGGGTCTCAGCCAGATTTGTGTCCAGGGCAGGGAGGCTGCAGAGGTTAGGTTGGGTCCAGCACAGGACAGGGCTGGAGAGCACAGCCAAGGAAGGTCGGGTCCGTCTCCTCCCCTCTGACCTCGGACGTCTCGCCTGTCAAATGGCGTGAGTTCGTATCCACCCCACGGGGTCGCCGTGAGGTGAACGAGACAGTCATTTTCATAGTCCGTGTGGAACAGGCACCCGCTGAGTGCTCAGGGATGGCCCTTGGCAGCCACGTGGAGGCCAGCGCAGGCCACCTGTTAGTGACTGTCACCATACCATGGGGGAGGGCAGCTGTGTTGAGACCCACCTCTCACCTCCGGACGCAGAGCCCCCCCTCGGACACCCACTGTGTCTCCAACTGCTCCGCACACAGCCGGCACTTGGCACCGGTGACGTCATGGGGTGGCTGCACACATCACAATAGGGCCCCGCGCAGGTCAGCTGGGCCTGGAGTCAGCGTCCTCCACCCCCTGAACTGGCAGCATGTGTGTGCACGTGTATGTGGGTGAACGTGTGCGTGTGTGTGTTTCTTCTCCAGCTAGGCCTGGCTGCCCCACTAACGTGCACACAGGTCCTTGTCACTGTCACCCCCGTGGCTCGAGACGATCGTCAGAGCACCCGCGGAGGCACCACACTCGGCCCTCTCCACCCGGGGTGGTCCTGGGGATGCAGACGCGGGGAGGGGGTTGGCCCCCTTCCTCGGTGGACTCAGGTCTTCTGTAAAGGGCTGGGTTCAGTGTCCCTCTGTCTCACCTTCTTGAGCCCTGCTGGGTGTCATGAATGTCCCCCCTTGCTGGAGGCCCTGCGGACAAGCCCCCCTGCCTGAGGTCCCCTAGCAGCCAGCTGACCAGGTCCCACTGATTGACAGGCCCTGCTGGGCTGCCGAGGGGGTGGAGGAAGCCTGTGGGGAGGTGGGGGACTCACCTGTGTGACGTCAGCTTCTGTCCCGGGCGCCGCCTGCCCGTCGGATCACATCCCTGCTCAGGACTCGCCACCAGCTGCCTCCTTACGATGGAGTGATGGAGCCCTCTGATAGCTGAGAGTCCGCCACAGCGATCCCACAAGGCCACGCGTAAACTCTCCCAACATCCATCCAGGGAGGCCTGGATAAAAATGTAGAGTTTCAGGCCGGGCACGGTGGCTCAAGCCTGTAATCCCAGCACTTTGGGAGGCTGAGGCGGGTGGATCACCTGAGGTCAGGAGTTCAAGACCAGCCTGGCCAACACGGTGAAACCCTGTTTCTATTAAAAATACAAAAATTGGCCGGGTGCGGTGGCTCACGCCTGTAATCCCAGCCCTTGGGAGGCCGAGGCGGGCGGATCACCTGAGGTCAGGAGTTCGGGACTAGCCTGACCGACATGGAGAAACCCTGTCTCTACTAAAAAAATACAAAATTAGCCGGGTGTGGTGGTGGATGACTGTAATCCCAGCTACTTGGGAGGCTGAGGCAGGAGAATCGATTGAACCCAGTGGGTGGAGGTTGCGGTGAGCCGAGATCGCGGAATTGCACTCCAGCCTGGGCAACAAGAGCGAAACTCTGTCTCAAAAAAAAAAAAAAAAAAATTAGCCGGGCGTGGTGGCGGGCGCCTGTAATCCCAGCTACTCGGGAGGCTGAGGCAGGAGAATGGCGTGAACCTGGGAGGCAGAGCTTGCAGTGAGCCAAGATAGCGCCACTGCACTCCAGCCTGGGGGACAGAGCAAGACTCCGTCTCAAAAAAACCAAAACTAAACAAAACCCTTACCCTATCGTTTTGCCAAGTGCATGACTCTCTGCTGTGAGGCAGTCAAACTCAGAAGCAGAAAGTAGGGTGGCCGTGGGCAGGGGCTGGGGAGGGGAGCTGGGAGTTGCTGTTCAACTGATAACAGATTTCAGTCTGGGAAGATGCGTGAGTCCCAGAGTTCACTGCGCAAGGTGCTCGTGGTTAGCACAGTGCCACACGGCACGTTGCAAATTTTTTTTTTTGAGATGGAGTCTTGATGTTGGCCAGGCTGGCATGCAGTGGCGCGATCTCAGCTCACTGCAACCTCTACCTCCTGGGTTCAAGTGATTCTCCTGCCTCAGCCTCCTGAGTAGCTGGGATTACAGGTGCCCGCCACCACACCCGGCTAATTTTTTTGTATTTTTGTAGAGACGGGGTTTCACCGTGTTAGCCAGGATGGTCTGGAGCTCCTGACCTCATGATCTGCCCGCCTCGGCCTCCCAAAGTGCTGGGATTACAGGCGTGAGCCACCGCACCTGGCCAGTCCCAAAATTTCTAACATTAGAAGATTGGTGTGTGTGCCTGTGCATTTTTGCTGAACAATATTTCTTTTTTTTTCTTTTTTTAGACGGTGTCTCGCTCTGTCGCCCAGGCTGGAGTGCAGTGGCGTGATCTTGGCTCACTGCAACCTCCGCCTCCCAGGTTCAAGCAATTCTCCTGTCTCAGCCTCCCCAGTAGCTGGGACTACTGGTGCCCACCACCATGCCTGGCTAATTTTTGTATTTTTAGTAGAGACGGGGTTTTGCCATGTTGGCCAGGCTGGTCTCCAACTCCTGACCTCAGGTGATCCACCCACCTGGGCCTCCCAAAGTGCTGGGATTACAGGCATGAGCCACCGTGCCCGGCCACTGAGCAGTATTTCTTTGTAGGGATGTAGCACAGGTTGTTCACCTGCTAAAGAATATTTAGTTTGCTGCCAGATCTTGCCTGTTACGACTGGAGCCTCCTCCATAGGCATTTGTGTACCGTGCCCCCCGAGGACGTAGACTTTCAGTTTGTTAGGGGAGACACTGGGGGCGGGGTTGCTGGGTCCTGTGGTATGTGCCTGACTCTGCACCTGACTGTCCAGCGTGCCGGGCCCCTTGCCTTCTCAGCCGGGATGCATCGGAGTCCTGTCGCCCGTGATTTTCATCTTGGGCGTGTTGCGGGATCTCGTTATGGTTTCAGTTTGCAGTTGGCTGGTGGCCACAGCCTGGACGTCTCCTTAGCGCTGTGTGCCTGCTGCAGGTCCCCTTTGCTGAAGTTTTTGTTCAAGTCTTCATCTTATTTTTAGTTTTGTTTTTATTTTATTACTTTTGAGACGGAGTCTCACTGTCGCCCAGGCTGGAGTGCAGTGGTGCGATCTTGGCTCACTGTAGCCTCCGCCTCACAGTTTCAAGCGATTCTCCTGCCTCAGCCTCCCGAGTAGCTGGGACTACAGGCACCTGCCACCACGCCCGGCTAATTTTTTATACTTTTAGTAGAGACACGGTTTCACCAGGTTGCCCATACTGGTCTTGAACTCCTGACCTCAGGTGATCTGCCTGCCTTGGCCTCCCAAAGGGAAGGATCATGCCGGGATTATAGGTGTGAGCCACCGCGCCTGGCCTATTTATTTATTTGTTGGAGACAGGGTCTGGCTCTGTCCCCCAGGCTGGAGTGTGGTGTGATGGTAGCTCACTGCAGCCTCAACCTGCCTGGCTTAAGTGATCCTTCTGCTTCAGTCTCCCGAGTAGCTAGGACTACAGGCGTGCACCAGCATGCCTGGCTAAATGCTTTTTTAATTTTTCGTACAGACCAGGTCTCACTATGTTGGCCAGGCTGGTCTCAAACTCCTGGCCTCAAGTGATCCTTCTGCCTCAGCCTCTCTAAGTATTCGGATTACAGGCATGAGCCACTTCACCCAGCCCTTTGTTCATTTTGGAAACTGGTTTTTTAATTTGGTTATGTTTTTGAGATTTTTTTTTTTTTCTTTGAGACAGGGTCTCACTCTGTCACCTCTGTCACCCAGGCTGGAGTGCAGTGGCGCGATCTCGGCTCACTGCAAGCTCCGCCTACTGGGTTCACGCCATTCTCCTGCCTCAGCCTCCCGAGTAGCTGGGACTACAGGCGGCCGCCACCACGGCCGGCTAATTTTTTGTGTTTTTAGTAGAGATGGGGCTTCACCGTGTTAGCCAGGATGGTCTCGATCTCCTGACCTCGTGATCCGCCCGCCTTGGCCTCCCAAAGTGCTGGGATTACAGGCGTGAGCCACCGTGCCTGGCCTGATTTTTGTATTTTTAGTAGAGACAGGGTTTCACCATGTTGGCCAGGCTGGTCTCAAACTCCCGACCTCAGGTGATCTGCCCGCCTCGGCCTCCCAAAGTGCTGGGATTACAGGTGTGACCCACCGCGCCCGGCCCCAAGTTGTCTATTTTTTTTTTTTTTTGAGACGGAGTCTTGCTTTGTCTCCAGGCTGGAGTGCAGCGGTGAGATCTTGGCTCACTGCAACCTCCACCTCCTGGGTTCAAGTGATTACCTTGCCTCAGCCTCCTGAGTAGCTGGGACTACAGGCAGGCACCACCACGCCCAGCTAATTTTTGTTTTTGTATTTTAGTAGAGATAGGGTTTCACCATGTCGGCCAGGATGGTCCTGATCTCCTGACCTCATGATTCACCCGCCTCGGCCTCCCAAAGTGCTGGGATTACAGGCATGAGCCACTATGCCCCACCAGTTTTTATATTTTATACTTATACAAGATTGTCTCAAAATGGATCATAGGTCTAAGTTATGACGTTTAGGTCAAGATTCATTTTTCTGCATAAGAATGCCCAGTTGTTCCCACACTGCTTGTTGAAAAGATTTTCCTTTCTCTTTTTTATTTTATTTTAATTAATTAATTTATTTTTTTGAGACAGAGTTTCACTCTTTTTGCCCAGGCTGGAGTGCAATGGTGCAATCTCGGCTTACTACAACCTCCGCCTCCCGGGTTCAAGCGATTCTCCTGCCTCAGCCTCCCGAGTAGCTGTGATTACAGGCACCTGCGACCATGCCTGACTAATTTTGTATTTTTAGTAGAGACGGGGTTTCTCGATGTTGGTCAGGCTGATCTTGAACTCCCGACCTCAGGTGAACCACCCGCCTCAGCCTCCCAAAGTGCTGGGATTACAGGTGTGAGCCACCGCGCCCGGCCAGATCTTCCTTTCTCTACTGAATTGCTTGTGTACCTTGGTCAATAATCCATGAGCCATATTTGTGTGCGTCCGTTTCTGGGATCTCCATCGTCTTCCCTCGGTGTGTGTCTGCCCCTTCTCCAACACCAAGCTGGCCTCACGCTGTCACTCCACAGTCAGTGTAACGTTGGGTTATGTGAGTCTTCTTTCATTTTTCCACGTGTGGTGCATTTAGAATCAGTTTGTCTAAATCTACAGAAAGTCCTGCTGGGATTTTGATTGGAATTGCAATGAATCCATAGATCAATTACCGAGAACCGATACCTGTATGATAGTATGTCTGCATGTAAGAATGTGGTATGTCTCTCCATTTA
Source organism: Homo sapiens (assembly GCF_000001405.40). Classification (NCBI taxonomy): domain Eukaryota; kingdom Metazoa; phylum Chordata; class Mammalia; order Primates; family Hominidae; genus Homo; species Homo sapiens. The sequence goes on along the minus strand of NC_000011.10, from coordinate 523,995 downwards.
TTTAGGTCTTTAAATTTTTTTCTTCAGATCTTGTAGTTTTCTTTTTATTTTGTTTATTATTCTTTTTTGAGACAGGATCTTGCTCTGTCACGCAGGCTGGAGTGCAGTGGCACAATCTCGGCTCACTGCAACCTCTGCCTCCCAGGTTCAAGTGTTTCTTCTGCCTTAGCCTCCTGAGTAGCTGGGACTACAGGCGTGCGCCACCACACCCGGCTAATTTTTGTATTTTTACGGACAGGATTTCACCATATTGGCCAGGCTGGTCTTGAACTCCTGATCTCATGATCCACCTGCCTGGGCCTCCCAAAGTGCTGGAATTATAGGCGTGAGCCACCGCGCCCGGCCCCCCAACCCCGGCTTTTTTTTTTTTAGATGGAGTCTCTGTTGCCCAGGCTGGAGTGCAGTGGCGCAATCTTGGGTCATTGCAACCTCCACCTCCAGGGTTCAAGCGATTCTCCTGCATCAGCCTCCTGAGTAGCTGGGATTATGGGTGCCCACCACCACACGTGGCTAATTTTTGTATTTGTAGTAGACATGGGGTTTCACCATGTTGGTCAGGCTGGTCTCAAACTCCTGACTTCATGATCTGCCTGCCTCAGCCTCCCAAAGTGCTGGGATTACAGGCATGAGCCACCACGCCCGGCCCCCAGATTGCTTTTTAAAACTATATATTGCTGGGCGAGGTGGCTCATGCTGTAATCCCGCCTTTGAGACCAAAGCGAGCGAATCACCTGAGTTCGGGAGTTCGAGACCAGCATGACCAACGTGGTGAAACTCTGCCTCTACTAAAAATACAAAAATTAGCCAGGCATGGTGGTGCGTGCCTGTAATCCCAGCCACTCAGGAGGCTGGGGAGGGAGAATCGCTTGAACCTGGGAGGTGGAGGCTGCAGTGAGCAGAGATGGCGCCATTGCACTCCAGCCTGGGTGATATAGCGAGGCTCAGTCTCAACAAAACAAAACAAAAAACTATATATTGTTGTTTTACAACAGTAATAGATTATCTCTGTACATAGAAAATATATACAGAGACCAGCTTGGCCAACATGGTGAAACCTCGTCTCTACTAAAAATACAAAAATTAGCCGGGCGTGGAAGCACATGCCTGTAATTCCAGCTACTTGGGAGGCTGATGCAGGAGAATCGCTTGAACCCAAGAAGTGACGGTTGCAGTGAGCCGAGATTGCGCCACTGCACTCCAACCTTTGCGCTTTGGAACGAGTGAAACTCTGTCTCAAAAGAAAAGAAAATGTATACAGAGAATGTCAGAATTTATTTACCAGAACAAAACAAAAAAAGGGCAGGTGAGGTGGCCCACTCCTGTAATCCCAGCACTTTGGGAGGCCAAGGTGGGCGGATTGCTTGAGCTCAGGAGTTGAGACCAGCCTGGGCAACATGGTGAAACTCCATCTCTACAAAAAGTACAGAAATGGCCAGGTGCGGTGGCTCACGCCTGTAATCCCAGCACTTTGGGAGGCCGAGGTGGGCGAATCACGAGGTCAGGAGATCGAGAGTATCCTGGCTAACACAGTGAAACCCCGTCTCAACTAAAAAATACAAAAAATTAGCCAGGCGTGGTGGCGGCCGCCTGTAGTCCCAACTACTTGGGAGGCTGAGGCAGGAGAATGGCCTGAACCCGGGAGGCAGAGCTTGCAGTGAGCTGAGATCGCGCCACTGCACTCCAGCCTGGGCGACAGAGTGAGACTCTGTCTCAAACAAAACAAAACAAAACAAAACAAAAAAACCAGAAATCAGCCAGCCATTGTGGTGCGTGCCTGTAGTCTCAGCTACTCTGGAGGATAAAGTGAGAATCACTTGAACCCAGGCGGTTGAGACTGCAGTGAGCCGTGATCGTACCACTGCACTCCAGCCTGCATGACAGAGCAAGACACTCTTTCAAAAAAAGAATTGATTAATATGCTTGGACCATTTGCATTTAATGTAATTATTGATATATTTGGATTTAGATTTTTTTATTTTTCCATTCATGCTATTTGTTTCCTGTATCTTATCTTCCCTTTTCTGCCTTCATTTGGGTTATGAGAGCTGTTTTGGGCAGCTGATTTTAATCGTTTTTTTTTTGAGACGGAGTCTTGCTCTGTCATCCAGGCTGGAGTGCAGTGGCGTGATCTCGGCTCACTGCAACCTCTGCCTCCCAGGTTCACGCCATTCTCCTGCCTCAGCCTTCCGAGTAGCTGGGACTACAGGCGCTCGCCACCACGTCCAGCTAATTTTTTGTATTTTTTAGTAGAGACGGGGTTTCATCGTGTTAGCCAGGATGGTCTCGATCTCCTGACCTCGTGATCTGCCCGCCTCGGTCTCCCAAAGTGCTGGGATTACAGGCGTGAGCCACCTCACCGGGCTGTAATTGTTTTTGAAAATATCTCTTGGCTGGGTGCAGGGGCTCACACCTATAATCCTAGCACTTTGAGAGGTTGAGGTGGGCCAGTTGCTTGAGCTAGGAGTTCAAGGCCAGCCTGGAAAACATGGCAAAATCCCGTCCCTGCCAAAAATACAAAAATTAGCTGGGCACAGTGGTGTGTGCTTGTAGTCGCAGCTTCTCGGGAGGCTGAGGCAGGAGGGTTGCTTGAGCCCAGGTGGTTCAGACTGCAGTGACCTGTGATCATGGCACTGCACTCCAGATGCCTGTCTCAAAACGCACAAAGCAAAGGGTAGGAACAGGCAGAACCAAGCGGAAGTATGCCTGACTAGTACTTGGTGAAATGCCAGCTAGACCCATGGTGAGTTACCATTTCATATTCTCATGACTAGGGTGGGGACAGGGAGGCCTGAGGCAGTCGAACCAGTGGCTAGTGAAGGTCTGGAGCGGGGAGGGAGCCTGTGCCCTGGGGCGGGAGCGTAAATTCTGAGAGCCACCGCTGGGGGGCGATTGGGCCTGGCAGGGCGTCTGCCCCGTGTCTGGGCACACAGAGGTCCGGAGTACGCTGGCGGTGGCAGTGTTTGCATAAAGTCAGACAAGACGAGAGCATCGGTGAGTAAATGCCGGTGTTCAGGCAGCGGAGTAGTCAACAGCAGCTGAGATGAATAACCGACGCGGTCTCAATATGGACAATTCCCACCCCAATTCTGTTGAATGGAACCAGCAGCTGGCGGGTGGGTGCGCATTGTGCAGCGTTTCCAAATTGTTCAGAGGCGCAGGAAAGGCCCTCGCCATCTGGGAAGGCGTAGGGGTGAGCACGGCCTCAGGGAACAGAAAGGACGGAGACAGAACTCAGGCGGCAGAGGCCTCCAGGAGACCCTGGATGGAGGGGAGAGGGCGACTCGGGGGGCTCTGAGCATGTGTTTAAGGGGAGAGGTCAGGCATGGGGCTCATTATTTTTAAAAAACCTGTTTGTATGTTTGAAATATTCAATACTAGGCCGGGCGCGGTGGCTCATGCCTGTAACGCCAGGACTTTGGGAGGCTGAGGTGGGCGGATCATTTGAGGCCAGGAGTTTGAGACCAGCCTGGCCAACATGATGAAACCCCGTCCCTACTGAAAATACAAAAAAATGAGCCGGACGTGGTGGCGCACGTAATCCCAGCTACTCGGGAGGCTGAGGCAGGAGAATCACTGGAACCCGGGAGGCGGAGGTTGCAGAGAGCCGAGATCGCACCATTGCACTCCAGCCTGGGCGACAGAGCGAGATTCCCCATAAAAAAAAAAAATCAGTAATAAAGCTCACCTGTGTATCAGGCCGCGTTCTAATAAAGCTCACCTGTGTATCAGGCCGCGTTCTAATAAAGCTCACCTGTGTATCAGGCCGCGTTCTAATAAAGCTCACCTGTGTATCAGGCCGCGTTCTAATAAAGCTCACCTGTGTATCAGGCCGCGTTCTAATAAAGCTCACCTGTGTATCAGGCCGCGTTCTAATAAAGCTCACCTGTGTATCAGGCCGCGTTCTAATAAAGCTCACCTGTGTATCAGGCCGCGTTCTAATAAAGCTCACCTGTGTATCAGGCCGCGTTCTAATAAAGCTCACCTGTGTATCAGGCCGCGTTCTAATAAAGCTCACCTGTGTATCAGGCCGCGTTCTAATAAAGCTCACCTGTGTATCAGGCCGCGTTCTAATAAAGCTCACCTGTGTATCAGGCCGCGTTCTAATAAAGCTCACCTGTGTATCAGGCCGCGTTCTAATAAAGCTCACCTGTGTATCAGGCCGCGTTCTAATAAAGCTCACCTGTGTATCAGGCCGCGTTCTAATAAAGCTCACCTGTGTATCAGGCCGCGTTCTAATAAAGCTCACCTGTGTATCAGGCCGCGTTCTAATAAAGCTCACCTGTGTATCAGGCCGCGTTCTAATAAAGCTCACCTGTGTATCAGGCCGCGTTCTAATAAAGCTCACCTGTGTATCAGGCCGCGTTCTAATAAAGCTCACCTGTGTATCAGGCCGCGTTCTAATAAAGCTCACCTGTGTATCAGGCCGCGTTCTAATAAAGCTCACCTGTGTATCAGGCCGCGTTCTAATAAAGCTCACCTGTGTATCAGGCCGCGTTCTAATAAAGCTCACCTGTGTATCAGGCCGCGTTCTAATAAAGCTCACCTGTGTATCAGGCCGCGTTCTAATAAAGCTCACCTGTGTATCAGCCCGCGTTCTAATAAAGCTCACCTGTGTATCAGCCCGCGTTCTAATAAAGCTCACCTGTGTATCAGCCCGCGTTCTAATAAAGCTCACCTGTGTATCAGCCCGCGTTCTAATAAAGCTCACCTGTGTATCAGCCCGCGTTCTAATAAAGCTCACCTGTGTATCAGGCCACGTTCCTTTAGGAAGAAACACGGAGATCTAAGGAATGCGCGCGGCTCAGGGGTGAACTGCGGGTGATTTTCCCTCTTCTTATTTGTACTTGTATGTTCTGAAAATGTCGTCTAGCTTTTGGGTAGTTCTTACCTGAGAAAAGCCAGACAGCAGGTTTTTGGCGGAAGGACCGGTTTGCACAGCGGACACACGGGAGCTGCCCTCGCGGCTTTCGGAGAAGCCTCCCCCGTGCGGCGCCTCGCGCGCCCTCGTAAGCGCGCCGCGTCTTGGGGCCGCAAGTTCCCCTCGGTTTGGGGGCGGGGTTTCCAGGTCACGTGACCGGGAGACACGCCCCCCCGCCCCGGTCCCTCAGAGCGGCCGGCAGAGGGCGCCCGAGTCCCGGCCTCGCTCGCGCGTTCGGGGCGGCTCCTTCCTCGCGCGCCGCCGGCCACATCCAGGAGGGGGCGCCGCGAGTCCTCTCCGGCGGCCCCGTCGTGGGCAGCCCGGGGCCGGCTCCTGGGCGTCCGGTTCCGCGCTGGCTGCGTTTCCTGCCCCACCTGCTGGTGTCGGCTCGTGCGTGCCTCCTCCCCTGGGTTATGGGAATGGAATACGGTCTCCAAGTAATAAAGTGAACAGGCGGCCGGGCAGGGTGACTCACGTCTGTAATCCCAGCACTTTGGGAGGCGGAGGCGGCCGGATCACGAAGTCAGGAGTTGGAGACCAGCCTGGCCAAATGAAACCCCATCTCTACCAACAATACAAAAAAAATTTAAAAAGCTGACCTGGCGCGGTGGCTCACGCCTGTAATCCCAAGCACTTTGCGAGGCCGAGGCGGGTGGATCACGAGGTCAGGAGATCGAGACCATCCTGGCTAACACCATGAAACCCCGTCTCTACCAGAAATACAAAAAATTAGCTGGGCGTGGTGGCGGGCACCTGTAGTCCCAGCTACTCCTAAGGCTGAGGCAGGAGAATGGCGTGAACCCGGGAGGCGGAGCTTGCAGTGAGCTGAGATGGGCCACTGCACTCCAGCCTAGGCGACAGAGCGAGACTCCATCTCAAAAAAAAAAAAATTTTATTATTATTATTTTTTATTTATTGATCATTCTTGGGTGTTTCTCAGAGAGGGGGATGTGGCAGGGTCATAGGATAATAGTGGAGAGAAGGTCAGCAGATAAACACGTGAACAAAGGTCTCTGGTTTTCCTAGGCAGAGGTCCCTGCGGCCTTCCGCAGTGTTTGTGTCCCTGGGTAGTTGAGATTAGGGAATGGTGATGACTCTTAACGAGCATGCTGCCTCCAAGCATCTGTTTAACAAAGCACATCTGGCACCGCCCTTAATCCATTTAACCCTGAGTTGACACAGCACGTTTCAGAGAGCACGGGGTTGGGGGTAAGGTTATAGATTAACAGCATCCCAAGACAGAAGAATTTTTCTTAGTACAGAACAAAACGGAGTCTCCTATGTCTACTTCTTTCTACACAGACACAGTAACAATCTGACCTCTCTTTCTTTTCCCCACATTTCCCCCTTTTCTTTTTGACAAAACTGCCACTGTCATCATGGCCCGTTCTCGATGGTCGCTGTCTCTTTGGAGCTGTTGGGTACACTTCCCAGACGGGGCGGCCTGGCAGAGGCACTCCTCACCTCCCAGACGGGGTGGCCGGGCAGAGGTGCTCCTCACCCCCCAGATGGGACGGCCGGGCAGAGGCGCCCACTTCCCAGACGGGGCAGTCGGGCAGAGGCGCTCCCCACCTTCCAGATAAGGCGGTGGCTGGGCAGAGGTGCCCCTCACTTCCCAGGTGGGGCGGTCGGGCAGAGGCACCCCTCAACTCCCAGACGGGGCAGCCAGGCAGAGGCGCCCCCCACCTCCCAGACGGGGCAGCTGGGCAGAGGCGCCCACTTCCCAGACCGGGCGGCCGGGCAGAGGCGCTCCTCACCTCCCAGACGATGGGCGGCCGGGCAGAGATGCTCCTCACCTCCCAGACGGGGTGGCGGCCGGGCAGAGGCTGTAATCTTAGCACTTTGGGAGGCCAAGGCAGGCAGCTGGAAGGTAGAGGTTGTGGCGAGCTGAGATCACGCCACTGCGCTCCAGCCTTGGCAACACTGAGCATTGAGTGAGCAAGACTCCGTCTGCAATCCCAGCACCCCGGGAGGCCGAGGCGGGCAGACCATTGGAGGTCAGGAGCCGGAGACCAGCCCGGTCAACAGGGCAAAACCCCGTCTCCTCCAAAAATACAAAAACCAGTCAGGCGTGGCGGTGCATGCCTGCAATCCCAGGCACTTGGCAGGCCGAGGCAGGAGAACCATGGGAGCCCGGGGCAGGGAGGCTGCAGCAAGCCGAGACCACAGCAGTACAGTCCAGCCTCGGCAACAGAGGGAGACCGAAGGGAGAGGGAGAGGGAGAGGGAGAAAAAAATAATTAAAAAGCTTTATAAGCCTGCTGGATTCTGTCAAATGCCTTTTCTAAGTCTACTGAAATGATGATGTATTTTTGTCTTATTTTATTTATTTAGAGACCAGGTCTCACTATGTTGCTCAGAATCCTCCTGCTTCAGCCTCCCAAAGTGCTGGGATCACAGATGTGAGCCACCACGTCCGGCCGTCTTTTTGTCTTTTAATCTGCTTATATGGTGAATTCCATTGGCTCATATTTCATGTTGAACCAGCCTTGCATTCCTGTGATAAATTTCACTGCGTCATGGTGTGCACTTATATTTGTATTATACATATATGTGTGCTCATGGGCCTGTGTTTCAGTGTGTGGCAATGCTGTGGGCCTACAATCATCAAAACAGCTCTGGAAAACAATGGTCAAGTGAGAGGGCATTCTATGCCTGGCTTCAAGATTTGGGTTTTTTTTTTTTTGAGATGGAGGCTCGCTCTGTCACTCAGGCTGGAGTGCAGTGGTACGATCTCAGCTCACTGCAGCCTCCGCCTCTGGGGCTCAAGTGATTCTTGTACCTCAGCCTCCCGAGTAGCTGGGATTACAGGCGTGTACCACCATGCCTGGCTAGTTTTTGTATTTTTGGTAGAGACGGGTTTCGCCATGTTGGCCAGGCTGGTCTTGAACTCCTGGCCTCAAGTGATCCACCCACCTCGGCCTCCCAAAGTGCTAGGATTACAGGCGTGAACCTTTGCACCTGGCCCAAGATGTGTTATAAAGGTTCAGAAATCCAGACAGTGTGGCATTGGTAACAGGATAGACAAATAGATCAGTGGAACAGAATAGAGGATCGAGAGTAGACCCTCACATACATGCTCAACTGATTTTGAAATAAGTGTAAGCAAATTCAGCAGAGAAAGGAGAATCTTAGCAACAAATGGTACTAGAATGACGGGGCTACACATATGAATGGAAGCTTCAATCTATACATGACAGTACATATATAAATCCATTCAAAATTTACTATTAATTTTTTTGAGATGGAGTCTCACTCTCTCGCCCAGGTTGGAGGGCAGTGGCACAATCTTGACTCACTGCAACCTCTGTCTCCCAGGTTCAAGTGATTCTCCTGCCTCAGCCTCTGGAGTAGCTGGGATTACAGGTGCCCGCCACCACACCTGGCTACTTTTTGTATTTTTAGTAGAGACGGGGTTTCACCATGTTGGCCAGGCTTGTGTCAAACTCCTGACCTCTGGTGATCCACCCGCCTTGGCCTCTCAAAGTGCCAGGATTACAGGTGTGAGCACTGTGCCTGGCCTCAGAACTTATTATAAGCCAAAATGTAAGGCCTACAACTGTAAAATGTGCGTTAAGAATGAAAAGGAGGATGTCAGTGTGACTTGGGTTAGAGAAATGATTCTTAAACACTAAAAGCATGACACATAAAGGAAAACCTGATCCACTGGACATCATGAGAATGAAGGGTGTGTGCATTTTGAAAGGCCCTGAGAAGACAAGCCCAGGCTGGCAGAGGCATTAGCAAATATCCCGTCTGAGGAAGGACTCATCTGCAGCATCTATGACAAGCTCCCAGGAGTCATGGGGTGCTGTGCTCTCGGCAGATATGGGAGAGCCTCCCATCCCATCATTCGTGTCTCCGGAGCAGCACTGCTCAAAGTCCCCTACCAATGCCCTCCTCAGCCGACAGACCTGACCCTCCCCACATGTGCACCCACAGGCCAGGCCTTGTGGGTCTTCTTGGGACATGACCCCAACTTCAGGAGGAGGAAAGTAAGAAGAGGAAAATCAATGAAAAGAAAAAAGAATTTACTGGTGGCCCTTTCAAGTCTTTCTGTCAAACGGCCCAATTTCAGGTTCAGCCAGGCAGTGGTGACAAGGCAGCCCTGTGTTCTGCCCAGTTCCAAGGGCTCCACCGCCTCTGTGGGTGAGAAGCAGCAACCAGCCGGGGAGAAAACCATCTAGCTGCGTCAACCTCGGTAGTGCTGGAAGTTAGCACAGGCGGGCCTGGGTTACCACGGTTCAGTTCTAGACACCGCAATAACACAAATGTCGCAATAAAGCCAGTCGGAGGGATTTTTCGGTTTTCCACTGCATATAAAAGTTATGTTTATACCACAGTGCAGTCAGGTGTGCAATAACATTATGTTTACAAAACAATGCATATGCCTCAATTTAAAATACTTTATTGACCACTCCTCACTCCCTCCCCAACTGGGCTCCCACCACCCTACCCTCCCTCAAGACCAAAAAAACAATAAATAATAATAATAATAGGCTGGGCACAGTGGCTCACACCTGTAATCCCAGCACTTTGGGAGGTCAAGTGGGCAGATTGCATGAGCTCAGGAGACCAGCCTGGGCAACATGGTGAAACCCTGTCTCTACCAAAAATACAAAAAATTAGCCGGGTGTGGGGGTGTGCACCTGTGGTCCCAGCTACTAGGGAGACAGAGGTGGGAGGATTGCTTCAGCCTGGGAGGCAGAGGTTGCCGTGAGCCGAGATAATGTCACTGCACTCTAGTCTGGGCAACAAAGCAAGACCTCGTCTCAAAAAAAAAATGGCTGGGGGTGGTGGCTCACACCTGTAATCCTAGCACTGTGGGAGGCCAAGGTGGGCGGATCACCTGAGGCCAGGAGTTCGAGACCAGCCTGGCCAACATGGTGAAACCCCGTCTCTACTAAAAATGGAAAAAAATCAGCCGGGTGTGGTGGTGCGTGCTTGTAGTCCCAGCTCCTCCGGAGGCTAAGGTAAGAGAATCGCTTGAACCTGGGAGGCGGAGGTTGCAGTGAGCCGAGATGGTGCCACTACATTCCAGCCTGGGCAAGAGAGTGAGACTCTGTCTCAAAAATTAAAAAACAAACAAACAAAAAACTAAGATACTGATAGAAAGTGCCAGCAATCACCTGAGGCTTGAGGAAGTTGGGATCTCTTTGCTGGTGGAAGGTCTTGTTTGTGGCTGCTGACTGATCAGGGTGGTGGTGGCTGAAGGCTGAGGTGGCTGTGGCAATTTCTTCCTTTTTTTTTTTTTTTTTGAGATGGAGTTTTGCTCTTATGCCCAGCTGGAGTTCAATGGCGTGATCTCGGCTCACTGCAACCTCTGCCTCCTGGGTTCAAGTGATTCTCCACCACACCCGGCCAGCAATTTCTTAAAATAAGACAACAATAAAGCTGGCCACATTGAGCTTCTTCCTTTCACAAAAGATTTCTCCGTAGCACGCGATGCTGTTTGGTAGCATTTTGTCCACAGCAGACCTTCTCTCACAACTGGAAAATCCTCTCGAACCCTATCGCTGCTGTACCAACGAAGTTTATGGAATATTCTAAATCCTTTGTTATCTCAGCAATGTTTAGAGCATCTTCACCAGGCGCAGATTCCATCTCGAGAAAGCACTTTTGCTGGGTGCGGTGGCTCACACCTGTAATCCCAGCACCTCGGGACACTGAGGCGGACGGCGGGCAGATCACTTGAGGCCAGGAGTTCGGGACCAGCCTCGCCAACATGGTGAAACCCTGTCTCTAATACAATACAAAAATTAGCCGGGCATGGTGGCGTGTGCCTGTAATCCCAGCTACTCGGGTGGCTGAGGCAGAATTGCTTGAACCCAGGAGGCAGAGGTTGCAGTGAGCCGAGATTGCGCCACTGCGCTCCAGCCTGCGTGATATTCAAACTGGAAGAGCAGAGCGAGACTGTCTCGAAAGAAAAACAAAACAAAACAGCTTGAAGCGGCAGGGTTACAGCTCTGCGACGGCCCCTGCAGGCGGGGTGTGCTGGGCAGAGTGTGCTGAGAGCAGCAGCTCAGGACAGTTCTGCAGCCACATTTACACCCACTTTTAATTTCATGTAGATTAAGGGGCAGCCCAGGCAAAAGTTTCTAGGGAAGGGGTAGTAACTTTTGGGTCGTGGGGTCATTGCCATGGAAAGGGGTAGTAACTCCCACCATGCCTGGCCTGTTTACTTTCACTTCCAGCTTGCCCTTGAATTGTTTCCTGGGCAAAGCCAGGAACCCTCGAGGGGCTCAGCCCCACTGTGGGTCTTGCCTGCCCTCCATCAACTAGAAGGCGACGTAGCATTGAGTTAATCCACCATTACTTTAAATGGCATGGATACCACTCATATAGTATTGAGAAAAGGAAGTCAGATACAAAAGAGAACATGCAATATAATTCCATTTATATAAAGTTCAAAATAGGCAAAGTTAGTATGAGGGCTAGAAGAGTGGTGATTTTAAACCTCCGGGCCTTTGTACACGCTGTTCCATCTACCAAGGGTGCCCTTTCCTCGCACCATGTAAACGCAAACGTATGGATCAAGTTACCTCCTTGCCAGGCGCGGTGGCTCAGTGTCATCCCAGCACTTTGGGAAGCCGAGGCAGGCAGATCATTTGAGGTCAGGAGTTTGAGACCAGCCTGGCCACCACGGTGAAACCTCATCTCTACTAAAAATACAAAAAATTAGCCAAGTGTGGTGGCGGGCACCTGTGATCCCAGCTACTCAGGAGGCCGAGGCGGAGAACTGCTTGAACTGGGATGCAGAGGTTGCAGTGAGCTGAGATCATGCCACTGCACTCCAGCCTGGGCGACAGAGCGAGACTCCATCTCAAAAATGAAAACAAAAAGGCTTTGTGGCTCACACCTATAATCCCAGCACTTTGGGAGGCCAGGGCAGGCAGATAACGAGGTCAAGAGATTGAGACCAGCCTGTCCAACGTGGTGAAACACTGTCTCTACCAAAAATACAAAAATTAGCTGGGTGTGGTGGCACGCACCTGTAGTCCCAGCTACTCGGGAGGCTGAGGCGGAAGAATCACTTGAGGCCAGGAGGCGGAGGTTGCAGTGAGCCGAGATCACGCCACTGCACTCCTGACTGGGTGACAAAGTAAGACTCCATCTCAAAAAAAAAAAAATTCGCCTCCTAACCTCACTGAGTTAACTGATCAAGACCTCTCATGCTCTGCCGCTGCACAGCTGTCCCTCCAGCGCCTTGTCTGTGTGTGTGGGGGGTGGCTGGTGTTTTGAATATCTTCCGGTTCCCAGAGGCTAGCTCAGTGTCTGACAGGGCCCTGTGGGAGTGTCTAATTCTCACAGCATCTCCGTGCAGGAGGGAAGGAGAGGGTCACGCCTGGGCCCTGAGGCATCTTGTATCTGAGGCCCCCACATCAGCACGGATCTCCAGAGGCATATACTGTCCTGCCGACTGGTCTGCTTTCTGTCTGATTGAAATTGGAGGCTCAAAGCCAAGACCTTCTCACTTGCAGTGAAGAACCCTTATGGGGCAAAGTTTTCCCCTCAACCTGCTCTATCATGAGCTCCTCCTGCTAAGTGGCAGAGCTTAGCCCGTGAATCAGAGGATACGCTACATTTCAAACCTTAGGAGCAGTCCTGTCACCAAAATTCAGCTGGTCATTGTCAGTTTAACTACCCACTACGTAACCACTCACGTATGAACCTGCAACAGCCACCAATCAAGTTGAATTCTCAAATATTTGCTACTTCATCCTCAATGTTTTCCCATTTCTTTTTTTTTTTTTTTTTGAGACGGAGTCTAGCTCTGTCGCCCAGGCTGGAGTGCAGTGGCGCGATCTTGGCTCACTGCAAGCTCCGCCTCCCGGGTTCACGCCATTCTCCTGCCTCAGCCTCCCAAGTAGCTGGGACTACAGGCGCCCGCCACCACGCCCGGCTAATTTTTTGTATTTTTAGTAGAGACGCGGTTTTACCGTGTTAGCCAGGATGGTCTCGATCTCCTGACCTTGTGATCCGCCCGCCTCGGCCTCCCAAAGTGCTGGGATGACAGGTGTGAGCCACCGTGCCGGGCCAGTGTTTTCCCATTTCACGTGCTGCGTGTGAAAATCCACTGCGTGCGACACTTGCGCTATGTGCACTTTATGTACACATCTCATACTTTGTTAAAAAGGCACTTTCAGACAAACATATTATTTATTTATTTAGAGACATGGTTCACTCTGTCACCCAGGCTGGAGTGCAGTGGTGTGGTCTCTGCTCACCGCAACCTCCACCTTCTGGGTTCAAGTGATTCTCCTGCCTCAGCCTCCCAAGTAGCTGGGATTACAGGTGCAGGCCACCACGCCCAGCTCATTTTTTTGTATTTTTTTTTTGAGATGGAGTTTTGCTTTTTGTTGCCCAGGCTGGAGTGCAATGGCGTGATCTCGGCTCACCAGAACCTCTGCCTCCTGGGTTCAAGCGATTCTTATGCCTCAGTCTCCCGAGTAGCTGGGATTACAGGCATGTGCCACCATGCCTGGCTAATTTTTGTATTATTAGTAGAGACGGGGTTTCTCCATGTTGGTCAGGCTGGTCTTGAACTCCCGACCGCAAATGATCTGCCTGCCTTGGCCTCCCAACATGCTGGGATTACAGGTGTGAGCCACTGTGCCCAGCCATTTTTTTGTATTTTTAGTAGAGATGGGGTTTCACCATGTTGGCCAGGCTAGTCTTGAACTCCTGACCTCAAATGATCCGCCTGCCTCGGCCTCCCAACGTGCTGGGATTACAGGCGTGAGCCACCGTGCCTGACCTGAGTATATTTATAGAAGTAGAACAGGCACAGGACTCTCCACCCAAAGTCACCCTGGTGCCTCTCTCCCCGGGGTCTGACTTAGGCCTTCAGCACCACGGTGTTTTCTCTAGATGGCATCTCATGAACACTGGGGGTCTCTTGCCTCAGCCTGTCCCTGGATTCCCTTTCATGGGGAATGTAAAAGCTCCCTATTTAAGCTAACGTGTAGGCTGGTGGGGCTGGATGTGAGGGAGGGGCAGGTGGAGAAGGAAAGGGCAGCATCCCTCAGATCTGTGTGGAGCAGGATCGGAAGGAAAGGCACACTCGAGTCGGCCAGGACCCGGGGAAATGAGCGAGAATGGTCAGCTCTGGGGCGGTATATAAAACTGGGGGTGGGAATACTTCCATATACTCCCAATTCCACAGTGGGTGAACTGAGTAAGTTTAAAAATAAGATAAAGACATAACGAGGTGAGGCAGGTAAGTTCAAAAATAAAAATGAAGGCCAGGCACTTTGGGAGGTTGAGGCGGGCGAATCACAAGGTCAGGAGCTCGAGACCATCCTGGCTAACACGCTGAAACCCTGTCTCTATTAAAATTACAAAAAAAAAAAAAAAAAAAAAATTAGCCGGGCGTGGTGGCAGGTGCCTGTAGTCCCAGCTACTCGGGAGGCTGAGGCAGGAGAATGGCTTGAACCTGGGAGGCGGAGCTTACAGTGAGCCGAGATCGCGCCACTGCACTCCAGCCTGGGCGACAGAGCGAGACTCCATCTCAATAAAATAAAATAAAAATGAAGACATACCTTTCAGGGGCTGTGGCCGCACTGTCCAGGAGGGAGGCCCGGCCACAGACACCATGCTGGCCGTGCGCTCAGCACCTATACATACCTGGGCACCTTCCCCACAAGGTGTCACAAAAGGGAGCCCAACAGCCATTTTAAACATTTTCTTCACTCTTATGAGAATTGCCACGAACAAATCTAAGAGATCATGGCAAAGAAAAGAATGAAATGAAACCAGAACATTTCAGCAGCTTTTGCAAAGATGTCAAGAGAACCAGTCCAGGAGTCAGACTGGCGGCATCCTTCCAGCTTCTTGTCATGAATTCTAAACCTCACATCCAGACTCCAAAGCTTAGAGAGTTAAAGAATCAGCTACTGGTCACCAAGCTCACGTGTGCAGGATGAGGGTCACAGCCAGGTTGGCTGCCTTCCAGCCCTGAGCTTTCTTGGGGGTGTGTGTGTGTGTGTGTGAACCACCTTCTTTTTGAGACGGAGTTTCTTTTTTCTTTTTTGAGATGGAGTTTCGCTCTTGTTGCCCAGGCTGGAGTACAGTGGCACGATCTTGGCTCACTGCAACCTCTGCCTCCTGGGTTCAAGTGGTTCTCCTGCCTCAGCCTCCTGAGTAGCTGGGATTACAGGCATGCACCACCATGCCTGGCTAAGTTTTTGTAATTTTAGTAGAGATGGGGTTTCATCATCTTGGCCAGGCTGGTCTTGAACTCCTGACCTCAGGTGATCTGCCTGCCTTGGCCTCCCAAAGTGTTGGAATTACAGGTGTGAGCCACCGCGCCCAGCCAGAGTTTCATCTTGTTGCCCGAACTGGAGTGCAATGGTGTGGTCTAGGCTCGCTGCAACCTCTGCTTCCCGTGTTCAAGCGATTCTCCTGCCTCAGCCTCCCAAGTAGCTGGAATTACAGGTGCCCACCACCATGCCTGGCTAATTTTTGTATTTTTAGTAGAGATGGGGTTTCACCACGTTGGCCAGGCTGGTCTTGAACTCCTGACCTCAGGTGATCCACCCTTCTCGGTCTCCCAAAGTGTTGGGGTTACAGGTGTGAGCCACCACGCCCGGCCAGAACCACCTTCTTTAAAGATGATCAGGCCGGGTGTAGTGGCTTATGCCAGTAATTCCAGCGATATGGGAGGCTGAAGCAGGAGGATCACTTGAGCCCAATTCAAGACCAGGCTGGGCAACACAGGGAGACCTCTTCTCTACATAAAATACAACAATTAGCCAGGCGTGCTGGCGCCTGTGGTACCAGCTACTTGGGAGGCTGAGGCGGGAGGATCACTGGAGTCCGGGAGGTGGAGGCTGCAGCGAGCTGGGATCGCGCCACTGCAGTACAGCCTAAGCAGTGGAGTGAGACCCTGTCTCGAAAACAAATACCTAATAAAGGCAGTCAGAGGAGAGGTTTAGCAAATTGCTAAAGAACAAATCTGAGATACCGTTAGTTTCCTTACTTGCAATCTTCATCTGCCAAAATGTCAATTCTGTGAATTGCGGACTAGTCAAAAACTTAAAGAAAACCCACTTTTGTGGAGGTGGGGTCGCTTTGCGTTTCCCAGGCTGGTCTGGAACTCGGCCTGCGCCCCTCAGTGCCAGGGCTCCAGGCGACGCTCGGGTGTCGGCAGCAGAGTGGACGCAGGAGCAGCTCGGACCGCGCTCAGAACACTCGGGACGAGGCCGCGGCTCCGCAGGCCTTGCGGGCTGGGGTCCCACGAAACAAAGGCGGCAGCCAGTGGCCAGGACGGGCAGCGTGGTTCACGGGGCCGTGGCTCCCTCGGGGGTCGCGAGCTCGGCGCAAACGAGCCCCTCTACCAAGGTCGCCTAGAGTCGCGACCCCGACATGCGGAGCCGCCCCAGGGGGGTTTCTCCCGGGTCCCTCCTGTCCCGAGGCGGCCGCTTTCTCCGGGGGCCGCGCCCCGCGCCCCAGCAAGGCCCGACCCGCGCCTGCGATTCCGCCCCCAAGGCGCTGCCGCACCGGGCCCCGGCCTCTTCCTCCGAGGATTCTCAGGAATTGCTGAGACTTGCGTGCCAGTGCGAGGCCCACAACACGCACACGCGCCCGCGCCCGCCAGACCCCGCCCCCGGCACCAAGCCCCGCCTACTGGGGGAGACCACGCCCCCAAGCGAGACCTCCCTCACCGAGCCACGCCCCACCAGGCCCCGCCGCTGCGCCAAGACTGTGCTTAGCCGAGCCCCGCCCGCCGGGCCCCGCCCCGACCCCGAGACTACTCCCGCCAGGCCCCGCCCCCGCGCCGAGCCCCGCCCAGTAGTCCCCGCCCACGCACCTGACCACGCCCACGAGCCGGCTCGAACACGCCCGCGCCGCTGACTGGCGGGTGGGGTTGTCGACACGTTCAACCCGTTCTGCTGGCTCGAGAACGAAGTAGGCCGTCTCGCTCTGGGTCTCCAGGCCCGCGACCGTCCGCCAGTCGTCCCGAGGTCAGTAGCTCCAGCGGTGCGTCAGCGTCTAGCCAGGCCTCGCCCACGCCGGCCTTGGTCGGGCTTCTTGTAGACGCGGGCCTGGCGCTATTGAGGCCGTTGCTGCGCGGGCGAGTGGCGCGCTCCCGTGGCGGGGCGGGGTCGGGCGGGGCAGGGGTCCGGGGCTATCGAGGCGGGGCCGAGGTTGCGCTGGGCAGCTGCGCCGCCGGGCGGACGTGGCGCGCCTTGAGGACGTCATCGCGGTGCACGCTCCCCTTTGGGGCTTGCCGGAAGTCCTTGCCCGGGGCGCGGGGCTGCGCCTGCGTGGTTCGTCCTCACGTGGCCGTCAAGCCCTCTAGTGCCTTAGATTCCAGCGAGCTACGCAAGCAATCCTGGCCCAGCCGAGCTTGCTTCCCCAAATCCCGTAATCCTTGACCTTATTCCCCCAAAGAAGCGGCCTCCCGGGAAGGAGCGCCCTGGCGGAGAAGACTCGAACGGCTCCCACAGCCGGGCGTTGGGGGAAAGGTGGGCGGTCTTGGTCGTGCGAGGTCGGGGAGGGAGGGTCCTCCGCTCTCCATTGCGGAGCTTCGCTCCGGGACCACCGGGGGACCGGACGCCGGGCCGCGAAGCTGCCGCCTGGGGCTGCGGGGAGGAGAGCAACATAACTGGAATGGCACTTAGGGGCCGGTGTCAGGGTTGTCACCGGGGTTGGCGGAAATGACGAAGGGGCCCCAGGCACGTCGTGTTACTGGGCGAGGTTCCAGCCAAGGTGCCCACGCGCCTTGGGGGAAACCAGAGGACTTCTGCACCGTTTCCCGAGGACAGTTTGGCAGTGTTTCAGAAGGGCCTTAGAACCAGGCAGGCCCCCTTCTAGGATGGTGGAAAGCCTAAAGATCTGAAAACGGTCTCAAGTGTCGTCTTAGCGATTGGCTGACTAAACCGAATGCAAGCCGGAGACTGCACACGATGTTGCCGTTAACAGTTACACTGGGCCGGGCAGTCAGAGGCAGGCGGATCACCTGAGGTCAGGAGTTCGAGAACAGCCTGGCCAACATGGTGAAAACCCGTCTCTACTAAAAATACAAAATTAGCCGGGCGTGGTGGCAGGCGCCTATAATCCCAGCTACTTGGGAGGTTGAGGTAGGAGAATGGCTTGAACTCAGGAGGCGGAGGTTGCGGTGAGCCGAGATCGTGCCACTGCACTCCAGCCGGCTGACAAGAGCGAAACTCCTTCTCAAAAAAAAAAAAAAAAAAAAAAAGTTACATTAGGCTGGGTGCGCTGCAGCCTGTAATCCCAGCACTTTGGGAGGCCGAGGCGGGCGGATCTCTTGAGCCCAGGAGTTTGCGACCAACATACTGAGTTTGGCCAAAATAGTGAGACCCCCGTCTCTACAAAAGATAGAAAAAATTAGCCAGTTGCGGTAGTGAACGCTTGTAGTCCCAGCTACTTGGGACGCTGAGGGAGGAGGAGCACTTGAGCCCTGGAAGAGGAGGCTGCAGTGAGCTATTTTCTCATCCCTGCTATAACGAATTTGTCACAGGCTGTTTTATAGGCCTGGAGCTCAGAAGCCCGAAGTGAGTTTTAGGAGGTTAAAATCAAGGTGTTGGCAAGGGTAGTTCCTTCTGGAGTTTCCCAAGGAGAATCTGCTTCTTTTCCTCTTCCAACTTCTAGAGGCCACCTTCTTCCATCTTCAAAACCTACTGTCTCTGCATAAGAACTCTCATGATTATATGCCGGCCGCCCAGACACCCCAGGGTAGCCTTCACATCTCAATATTCTTAATATTTGCAAAGTCCCTTTTGCCACTTAAGGTAACACCACAGGTTTGGAGATTAGGAGGTGGACATCTTTCAGGGCCATTCTTATTTTAAAAAATGTACTGTCGATAAGAATAGTTAAAATGTAAAATATTTGAAGGGATTTATTCTGAATCGAATATGAGTGACCGCGGCCGGTGACACAGCCCTCAGGGGATCCTGGGAACATGTGCCCAAGGTGGTTGGGGCAGTTTGGTTTTACATGTTTTAGAGAGACATGAGGCATTAATGAAATACATTTAAGATATCCATTGGTTTGGTCCAGAAAGGCGGGACCAAACAAAAAAAAAAAGATTTTGAACATGCTTCCCGAGCTCAGGCATGAAGAACTCTTGACTGACAGAAACGGAGGGTGTGTCCAAAGTTTTGAGGACGGCCGAGCGGCGCTCCAAAACCCGTCCTCACAGCCTCGCCCCGTTCGCCTCAGCTACAACAAATCATCGTCAACCTGTTCCACCTTCTCCAGTCTGGTAGCAAAAAGGGGTGTCTCAGGTTTGCTTTATTTTATTGTTTGGGCAATTCCTGGAATCCGGCCTGCTTGTGGGAGGAGGCAGGGGCCGGTCCCTCGAGGGTGGTGGGAGCTGCCAGAGCTGGAGGGATGGTCTGGGGGAAGGCGGCTGTACGGTGGAAAGGCTGGTTGGGGCCAGAGTGGGAAACGGGATGCGGACGTCAGGCTTCACCCCCGACCCAGGGGGGAGTGGGAAAGCTGGGGTAGTAGCTGGGACGAGGCCCGGGGGCTGAGCCCAGAGGGTCGAGTGGGCGACGACTAGCGGGCGCGGCCCCCAGGGTGGACTCCCCGCCAGCCCCGGCCTGGAGGCTCCGCCCGCCCCCGCCTGGGCGGAAGGAACGCGGAGCGGCTCTGGCCTTGGGTCTGCGGCGGCGGCGTCGGGTGAGCGTCCCGGGCGGAGCGGGCGCGGGCGGGGGCAGAGAGGCAGGGGAGACCCCCTTCGTGTTTTTGTGAGGTTTCCTCCCAGCCCTTTAGTCTGCAGCAGGGTGTCCAGAACTAGCAGGTTCGAGGGACTCGACGCGGGCGCGGGCGGGGGTCCCAGGGACCGGGAACTTTTGCGCGTCGCCTGAGCGTGGCCCGTGTCTCCCTAGAGGGTGGCCCCGCGCCCCCGTCACGTCGGAACATAAGGACCTGAATTGGCCTCCAGACGGCCCCTCCCATGTGGCTCCCCAGGGTGGGGCCCAGGCCTTGGGTGCTGCGGAGACCTCCCTCCGTAAGGTTGAGAAAGTCTGGTCTCCGGATAAGGGACCGTTAGGGCCTCTGTTCAGATCCCTGCCTCAACCAAAGCAGGCTGCCAGCTGGTGGTAGTGGGTTCCTGAATGTGCTTTTAGCTTTGGCTGTGTAGGGAGCCAGGGACTTCTCCAGTCACAGAGAAGGGCGTTTACTCCCGCATTTTCATGGGGTCCTCAGTGGGATCCGTGACCCACAGAGATTCAGAAGGGCCTTTCTGGGATACAACAGGGTCTGGCCAAGCCTGAGGGGTAGGGACGGGGCTACTCCCGCAGCGCTAGTTGCAGATGGTCACGGGAGCACTGGCCACCCTGAGCTCCCACCAAGCTTTCCCAGGAGGAGGACACCCTGGGGCCACCTTTCATCTGGCTGCAGAGGACACAGGAGTGTCAGGCTGGATTTGGGGAGCGTGTGCACCCTGGGCAGCCCCCTGAGGCTCTCCTTCCACCCGCCCTCCCGCCCACAGTGCCTCCTGATGACTAGATTCTGGAGTCAGAATTTGGGTGACCACACCCTGGTCGGTTTTGCTCACGTGCTTCGGGTCGGTTGGATTCAGTTCCTCCATGTGGGGCCGTGGGATGTCACCACCCTTTGCCACTGTCCTTGCAGGCCGGGCGCCCAGGCGTGTGGACCCGAGCCCAGCCTTGCGTCTTTCCTCCCAGTTGGTACCAGGGGCCTCTTGCCTCCACTCATGCAGAGTGGACCAGCCGCCTCTGAAGCAGCCCCGGGGAGAGGAGTGCCAGGCACACAGACTCAGGAAGCTGGGGGTGTCAGGGCACCAGGAGCCTCTCAAGCGGTCCTGTTGGCCGTCTTTCTGAAGGGCAGCTGGGGTTGCATCATTTCCCCAAGTGGATCCTGCCAACTTTCTGGGGCTTCTGGATGAGAGCCCTCTCCCCACCCCACCCACCCCTCCCCGCATTGTGGCATCAGTGCTGCTGCTTCCAGGGAGCCTTCCTGGCCATCCAAGCCTCCTCTCCAGGTTCCTGCCCTGCTGTAGTCCCCAGGCCAGTGCTTGGCAGGTGCTCAGGGAATGTATCCACCAACCAAGGTTTGGGGTGGCTGTCTCTGCCTGACCACTTTCCCCAGGCCCCTGGCGGGTACCTGAGCTGTGCTCTCAGGGCCTCAGGAACCTCCTTCCATATTCAGGGCCTGTGCCTGGGGAGGCTTCAGGGTGTAGCAGCTGTGCCCATCCCAGGCTGACCCACCCAGCTTGCCTGGTAGCCCAGCCTCTGGGCTAGTGTGCCGTGGGGCAGGGGATGTGCTGTAGCCTGGTGCAGAGTCCCCAACCCCAGAAGGGGGCCATGGAAGCTGACACCCCAAGTGGCCGCCCCCCTGCTCTGTCTTGCTTCGGACACTGTGGCCGGGTCCAGGATCCTGGCATCCTGGGAGGTCTCTGGCTTTGTGGGCAGCCTGCCTGGCCCGCACAGTCTGCCTGTCCTGAGGGTGAGACACAGGTCAAGCCCACAGACCCCCTTGCTCCCCTGCTGGGGCCTCCAGGCTCACAGACCACCCCACCCTACCCTGTCCTTGCCCAAGCAAATGAGAGGCAGGGGCTTCCCGGGCTGCTGCTGTCCCGCCCTCTGTGGGGCAGGAGGAGGTGCCCACAGAGGCTGGGTGGTGATAGCCAGGAGATGGGCTGGCATCTGCATTACCCAAGCTCTGCTGCCCATGGTGGCCTTTCTGGGGGTGGGTGCTGGTCCCTGCCCCCTGCCCCACCCCTGATGTCTGCTCCAGAGACAAAGGTGGGGAGGGTGCTGAAGAGGAAGTGTTTGCCCAGGGAGAGGCTGCGGCTCCTCCTGAAACATCAGCCCTGTGGGTCCTGTTTGCAGAATCTCCGGCCTGTGAAACTGTGAGGGGATTCGGCCAAGACGTCCTCTTCCCTCTGCCTCCCACCCAGGCCACTCTTCACCTCCACCATGAGCCTGGACATCCAGAGCCTGGACATCCAGTGTGAGGAGCTGAGCGACGCTAGATGGGCCGAGCTCCTCCCTCTGCTCCAGCAGTGCCAAGTGGTCAGGTACGCTTGCTCTCGGGGTGGCCTTGGGGTGCTGGTGGGGCAGGCTGGCGGGTGGCGGCTCCCTCTGAAGGGTGCATTGCTCTGGAACGCCTTGTTTGTGGACATGAAGTATGAATTCTGTGCAGCTACCACGTGCATGAGATGTGATTCTTGTGTTTCTTTTTGACAATTTAGGAATGTAAAACCCATTCCAGGCTCATGCAGCATGGGCTGAGGTGGGCGGGCCGAGGTGGGCGGCCACTGGCCAGTGGGTCTCTGGCTCCGGTGTCTCAGCTCCTCTCCCTCCCTTGGAGACACGAGGGCAGGACACAGCTTGGGTCCCCTCCGTGAGCCTCCATGGGGCGCTGCTTGTCCCTGCCAAGCTGGGGGCTGGGAGTCCTCGGCCCTCGAGGTCCTCACAAACCCAGCAGCTTCACAAGCAGGACACGAGTGCCTGGGTGGGCCGCATCTTTTCTCTTTTTACCTGGTGATTTCAAGTAGTGTCAGGTTTGCGGAGGAGTTACGAGGACCGGACGGGGCTCCCTGGTGAGGTGGTCCTGTGTACCTGCGGACGCTAGCTCTGGCCCAGCACCTCCAGGCAGGGTCTGCTTTTCCGCCCTGCCCTTTTCGTCTTCCTCACTGGTCCAGGATTGCGTGGCCCTCAGCCCTCTGTCTCCTTAGCCCTCTCCCGTCTGTGACTGTCCCCTCGTCTCTCTGGGTTCTTGGTGGTCTGAGGGTCTGGCCAGGCTCCTGCAGGACGTCCTCTGTTGGGGCTTGTCTGGTGGTTTCTTGTGGTTGAAGTCCTACAGTTTTGGCAGGAATGCAGGGAGATGCCGTGGGGCCTGCCAGGAGCGTCCTGTCACAGGCGCCGTCTGCCACCCTCTCCACTGTGACGCCACTGCCTTTCCTCCTGTGACTGATCAGTGCCTTCGAGAGATACTTTAAATTCTTTTTATTTTTAGAGACAGGGCATTGCTCTGTCACCCAGGCTGGAGTGGCTCCCTCATGGCTTATGCGGCCTCAACCTCCTGGGCTCAAGTGATCCTCCTGCCTCAGCCTCCCGAGTAGCTGGGATTATGGGCATGCGCCACCACGCCCGGCTACTTTTGTATTTTTAGTAAAGACGGGGTTTCTCCATGTTGGTCAGGTTGGTCTTGAACTCCCGACCTCAGGTGATCTGCCTGCCTCGGCCTCCCAAAGTGCTGGGATTACAGGCGTGAGCCACCGCGCCTGGCCACGTGCGAGCATCTTAAACAAAACTTTCATGGAACAGTTCCTCCTTTTTGTTTCATTTCTGAAATGTCTTGTGTGACTTGCCTTGCTGTCTTCTGGGCCCACTGATAGGTTGTAACCTGCACGTGGGGTGGTGGTGGAGGCTGAGGCCAGTGCTGTCTGCGTGGTCCACATGACCCTGGGGTCTGCTCACAGGCTGGACGACTGTGGCCTCACGGAAGCACGGTGCAAGGACATCAGCTCTGCACTTCGAGTCAACCCTGCACTGGCAGAGCTCAACCTGCGCAGCAACGAGCTGGGCGATGTCGGCGTGCATTGCGTGCTCCAGGGCCTGCAGACCCCCTCCTGCAAGATCCAGAAGCTGAGGTGAGGCGGGGCCTGGCACTGCCTCTGGCCTGGTGCAGTCTGCTTTGGTAGCCCGGCAGCAGGGGACAGAGCCGCCAGGGGCGCGTGGGCAGCTGCAGGTGGACAGGCAGTGGCAGCAGACATTTCCAACATCAGCCAGAGGCACACAGGCCTGGCGGTCTCACAGCGGGGGGGACAGGGCCCTTCCTGCCTTATCCCAGCCCCCGCACCCAAGATCTGGCCCTGCCCGCCATCCCTAGCCTTCCAGCATCACCACAGACCCCCACTGAAAGGTGTGTCTGCAGACAAGGTTTCCCTGGGTCGAGCCACATGCGTGCCCTCCTTCACTCGGCCTGGAGACCCCAGACCCCAGAGCCCCGTCCAGGGAAGGAGCAGGTATAGACCTGCCGCCTGAAGAGTGCTGCTCCGGGCTCTGGGCTCTGGCAGGCGAAGGGCGTGGCAGCTTGGCTCAGGGGAGCCCTGCTGACAGCCAGGTATGCTCCAGCCTCCAGAACTGCTGCCTGACGGGGGCCGGCTGCGGGGTCCTGTCCAGCACACTACGCACCCTGCCCACCCTGCAGGAGCTGCACCTCAGCGACAACCTCTTGGGGGATGCGGGCCTGCAGCTGCTCTGCGAAGGACTCCTGGACCCCCAGTGCCGCCTGGAAAAGCTGCAGTGAGTTTGTGTCCTGCCCCAGGGCCCATGCTGGCCGCTGCCTGTCCCCCAGCCAGCCCCCTACATAGAACATCGCCTGCCAGGAGCCGTGAGGAGGGGACTCAGGTCACAGGGGCCTTGTGGTGCTCTCCTTTCCCCATGATGCTGGGTCTGGGGCCTTGTGGTGCTCTCCTCTCCCCATGATGCTGGGGCTGGGGGGATCTGTCATCACCCTCCCTCCCCATCCAGTTGTCCTTTGCAAGGCACAGCTGCCCCAGGACCCGACGGTGGGAACAGATGCCTGGCCGTGAGTCAGGTTCCACTCACCGCCTCAGTGTGTGTGGGGGACCCGGCCATTGTGAGTTGACCACAGCCTGGGACGTGCAGGTGGCCCTGCCCTCCAGAGGCTGGTTTCTTTCTCCCGGGCCTGGTTGGGCCCCAAAGTCTGAGGTCCGGGAGGGGGTGAGGGGTTTCCAGAAGGAATGCCGGTGTCCACAGAGGCCCGGGCCTCTGGATGAGTCTGTGGGGGTCCCTCAGCACTGACACCTGATGCCCAGGCAGAAGACTGAGGGGAGATGAGACACCAGCACACCCCGTGCTCCCTGGTATCACACCCTTGGCTGGTGCACATTCCTGTGTGGTGCTGAGCTCTGCTGTCCCCCAGGCTGGAGTATTGCAGCCTCTCGGCTGCCAGCTGCGAGCCCCTGGCCTCCGTGCTCAGGGCCAAGCCGGACTTCAAGGAGCTCACGGTTAGCAACAACGACATCAATGAGGCTGGCGTCCGTGTGCTGTGCCAGGGCCTGAAGGACTCCCCCTGCCAGCTGGAGGCGCTCAAGTAGGCACTGGGCCTTGGGGGGGTGCGGGGTGTGGGCTAGGGGGGGTCCCGTGCTGCCTCACGTGTGACCCGTGTCCCCAGGCTGGAGAGCTGCGGTGTGACATCAGACAACTGCCGGGACCTGTGCGGCATTGTGGCCTCCAAGGCCTCGCTGCGGGAGCTGGCCCTGGGCAGCAACAAGCTGGGTGATGTGGGCATGGCGGAGCTGTGCCCAGGGCTGCTCCACCCCAGCTCCAGGCTCAGGACCCTGTGGTGAGTCATCTCCGCGAGGCCTCCTTCCCGGAGGGTCGGGCGGCGGGCCGTCCTCAGAGCTCTCCCCCGCCCCTGGGCTCATCTCAGGCCATGAGACGGTGCTGAGGAAAGTCTGTGGTGGTCCATGTCCTGCAGGATCTGGGAGTGTGGCATCACTGCCAAGGGCTGCGGGGATCTGTGCCGTGTCCTCAGGGCCAAGGAGAGCCTGAAGGAGCTCAGCCTGGCCGGCAACGAGCTGGGGGATGAGGGTGCCCGACTGCTGTGTGAGACCCTGCTGGAACCTGGCTGCCAGCTGGAGTCGCTGTGGTGAGTGTGGCTGTCGGGGCAGGGCCCTGTCGCCCAAGAGAGGGCCAGGGTGACCGAGGAGACCAGGGGAGGAGTGAGCGACTCCAGGGAAGCTGCTGGGCTCAGCTCCGACCTTCAGAATGCATAGGCCAGGGAGCAGCCTGTGGTTTGATGGGAACAGTGCTTGGGGCCAAGGACCAGGTGTAGGTGCCCACTTGCTGGGAGGCTGTCAGATGTTTTTGCTCAGGTCCACGTGGGGCCTTCAGGGGAAGGGCCAGTCGCAGCTGTGGGCCAGCCTGGGCCCCTGCCAGGCGTCAGTCCTGTCTGTGTCCACAGGGTGAAGTCCTGCAGCTTCACAGCCGCCTGCTGCTCCCACTTCAGCTCAGTGCTGGCCCAGAACAGGTTTCTCCTGGAGCTACAGATAAGCAACAACAGGCTGGAGGATGCGGGCGTGCGGGAGCTGTGCCAGGGCCTGGGCCAGCCTGGCTCTGTGCTGCGGGTGCTCTGGTGAGTGTGTGAGGGACACGAGTATGCACATTTGGGAGATCATATGCCCGTGTGTGCACACAAGGGCGAGAGTGCACGAGTATCTGTGTGAGCACGAGTGTCCGTGTGTATGTGAGCACACATGGGTGAGGCGAGTGTGAGCACGTGTGTGAGCATATGAGTGTGAGCATGGGTGTCCGTGAGCATGTGAGAGTGAGCACGTGTCCGTGTGAGCACGTGAGTGAGCACGAGGGTCCGTGTGTGAGCACATGGGCAAGAATGAGCACGAGTGTCCGTGTGTGAGCACATGGGTGAGCACGTGTGTGTGAGCACATGGGTGAGAGCACGAGTGTCCGTGTGTGAGCACGTGAGAGTGAGCACGAGGGTCAGTGTGTGAGCACATGGGCAAGAATGAGCACGTGTCCGTGTGTGAGCACGTGAGAGTGAGCACGAGGGTCCGTGTGTGAGCACATGGGCAAGAATGAGCACGAGTGTCCGTGTGAGTGTGAGCACATGGGCGAGAGGGAGCACGAGTGTGTGTGAGCACATGGGCGAGAGAGCATGAGTGTCCGTGTGTGAGCACATGGGTGAGAGCACGAGTGTCCGAGTGTGAGCACATGGGTGAGTGAGCATGAGTGTCCGTGTGTGAGCACGTGAGAGTGAGCACGAGGGTCCGTGTGTGAGCACATGGGCAAGAATGAGCACGAGTGTCCGTGTGTGAGCACATGGGCGAGAGTGAGCATGAGTGTCCGTGTGTGAGCACATGGGCGAGAGTACGTGAGCACATGGGTGAGAGTGAGCACGAGTGTCCGTGTGTGAGCACATGGGTGAGAGTGAGCATGAGTGTCCATGTGAGTGTGAGCACATGGGCGAGTGAGCACGTGAGTGTGGCACATGGGCGAGAGTGAGCACGAGTGTCCATGTGAGTGTGAGCACATGGGCGAGAGTGAGGGTGCATGTTCATGTACTGGGAAAGGCGGGCTGGCGGCACCACTCTGGCTTAGTTCTCATTTTAACTCTGAAAGTCAGAGGTCATGTTTCATGAAGCCTGAGAGCTTCACGGAGCTCCAGCCTACCTGGCCACCCTGTGGTCCATCTTCCTGGAAGCCCCGCCCACCTTTCTCCCTTGCGGGAACCCCGCCTGTGTCAGGATGTTTTTCCAGATTTGTTTTCTTTGTTAAAGCACGTTCTTTTGCAGCTTTCTAAGAAAAGGTTTTGCAGGAGGTAATTTTTGGGGTCTTGTGCCCCTGTTCTGTCCTTGGATCATTTAGCCGGGTATAGCATGCACCATTATGCCCGGCTAATTTTATTTTGTTTGTTTTTTTGAGAGAGTCTTGCTCTGTCGCCCAGGCTGGAGTGCAGTGGTGCGATCTTGGCTCACTGCAAGCTCCGCCTCCCAAGTTCATGCCATTCTCCTGTCTCAACCTCCCGAGTAGCTGGGACCACAGGCGCCCGTCACCACACCAGGCTAATTTTTTGTACTTTTAGTAGAGATGGGGTTTCACCGTGTTAGCCAGTATGGTCTTGATATCCTGACCTCGTGATCCGCCTGCCTCGGCCTCCTAAATTGCTGGGATTACAGGCGTGAGCCACCACGCCTGGCCTAATTTTTGTATTTTTAGTAGAGATGGGGTTTCACCATGTTGGGCAGGCTGGTCTTGAACTATTGACCTCAAGTGATGAGCCTGCCTCAGCCTCCCAAAGTGCTGCGATTACAGGCGTGAGCCACTGTGACCTTGTGTGCACGATCTGCTTTTTCTCGTTGGCAGCTTTTCAAGCTCTCTTTGTTCACTGTGTTAGGGGTTCCATGTGCTTGGCCTTGATGGGGGTCTTGGTTCTTTGTGCTGGATACTTGGTTCTACTAAGAAAATATACCTTTGGTGATTTTTTTCTCTCTCCTTTCTTATGTTTCTTTTTTGGTGTGCCCATGAGCCTGTCCTGATGTCTTGTGGAGTGACCCTCTAATTATGTTCTCCAAATTTTCTTTTCGATGTTTTGTTTTATTTTTGGGAGATGTTCTCATTTACCAGCCAGTCTACTGAATTTCCACCCTCAGTGTTTTGTCTTTTGTTTGCTGTTTCCCGTGTGCCTCTCGCCAGGGGCTTTCCGTGGGTGGCTGGTCATCCTGGGCTGGGCACCAGGTGCAGAGTGAGGCCCGGGAGCCCTGGACAGTGAGCCCTGCAGGCCGAGTCATGGCTGCGTTTCTCGAGGGCTTCCTCCTGATGGGGGATTTTCAGTTCCCTGCCAGGGGACACCATCCTGGCTGCCAGGACCTTGTGGGTGTTCCAGATGTGGAGAGGAACCTTGGGTCCTGGTCACTGCAGACTTGTTCCCCCTGAGCCACTCACAGGGTGGGGGTCCTGCAGCTTCCCTGGCCCCCACCTTGGAGAGGTCCAGTGCAACTCCTTGGCCCTGCTGTCCGGCCTGTGGCGGCTCCACCCCGGGAAGTGGGTGTTGGGTCTTCTCTATCCCATCCTCTTTTGTCTGACCCGTTCTCTTGTCTCTCTCTGGAGCCTAAAGTCTGTTGTCCACTCTGTTCTTGTCTTGGTACCCTCCATACCCTCGTTTCCCCACAGCTGCTCCTCAGTCTCTGGCTGGCTTCTCCTTTGAAGCCCACGCAGCCAGACGGTGTCGAGGTGACAAGGGGGTGGGTGTGGCTCTCTGGGTGGACGACATCTCTCTCCTGTCCTTTCTCCTCCCTGCAGAAGATCTCAGGCGAGTGAGGCTGCTTGTGCCTCGCTTGTCTGTGCCTTCCTTGTCCGTGGTGGGGAACCTGCCCAGGGCCACAGGGACGGTGAGCCTTGGGGACGGCCCCACCTGAGGGTCCTGAGTTGCCGAGCACAGGTGTCCGTCGCGCCCCCCAGGCCCAGGCCTGCTCTGCCGGTCAGTGCGGTGCCAGGCACGCCCGGCACCCTGACCCCCGCCCTGCTTCACCCAGGTTGGCCGACTGCGATGTGAGTGACAGCAGCTGCAGCAGCCTCGCCGCAACCCTGTTGGCCAACCACAGCCTGCGTGAGCTGGACCTCAGCAACAACTGCCTGGGGGACGCCGGCATCCTGCAGCTGGTGGAGAGCGTCCGGCAGCCGGGCTGCCTCCTGGAGCAGCTGGTGTATGTGCACGCGCTGGGCGGGTGGTGCGGCCAGGGCTGCCCAGGGAGGAAGGCGGGGGTGGGGGAGGACACGGGCCCATGCCTCCCTTCTGGCCTGTGTGCAGCCTGTACGACATTTACTGGTCTGAGGAGATGGAGGACCGGCTGCAGGCCCTGGAGAAGGACAAGCCATCCCTGAGGGTCATCTCCTGAGGCTCTTCCTGCTGCTGCTCTCCCTGGACGACCGGCCTCGAGGCAACCCTGGGGCCCACCAGCCCCTGCCATGCTCTCACCCTGCATATCCTAGGTTTGAAGAGAAACGCTCAGATCCGCTTATTTCTGCCAGTATATTTTGGACACTTTATAATCATTAAAGCACTTTCTTGGCAGGAGAGGCTCTTGTCCTTCCTGGGGTCCTTGCGAGGCGCTGGCATTGGAGACGACACCACCCCACTTGGCTTCTCTCCCTGCCTAAGGGACCCCGCACCAGGGAAGCAGCCCAAGGCCCTGGCTGTGCTCAGCTGGGTCCCCTGAGCTGCACCCACCCACACTGGGGAGCACAGGGCAGGCCCTGCCCAGGGTGGAGGGATGCCCCTTGGCTCTGTTGCCCGTGCAGGGTGACGCCTGCTGGGAGCTGCCTGCAGGCCCAGCTGCTCCCGCAGCTTCCACCCCGGAGCCTCAGGAGCCCCCAGCACTGCCCTGACTGCCCCCCAGCCCAGCCCAGCCCAGCCCAGCCCAGCCCAGCCCAGCCCAGCGCGGCCCAGCGCGGCCCGGGTTCCTGCCCGGAGCCCAGTGCTCGCCCCAGCTCTGTGTGGGATGATGGGGCAGCCCATCTTGCCCACGGGTGGACAGCTGACCAAGGTGGGCCAGCCCGGGGTGCCCTGCCCTGCCAAGCCAAGAGGGGGACGCTCACCAGCTTTCAAAGGTCCGATGCTGAGTCAGCAACTACAAGTTCATTGCAAAGAAGCTGCCTGGCAATCCCCCTCTTTTGGACAGGGTCTCTCTCTTGCCCAGGCTGGAGTGCAGTGGCGCAATCTTGGCTCACTACAGCCTGGACCTCTGGGACTCAAACCGTCCTCCCACCTCAGCCTCCCAGGTAGCTAGGACTACAGGCATGCACCACCACACCTGGCTAATTTTTGTACTTTTTGTAGGGACAGGGTCTTGCCATGTTGCCGAGGCTGGTGTTTGGTCTTGGCCTCCCAAAGTGCGGGTATTACAGGTGTGAGCCATTGCACCTGGCTATAAAGCCCTTTAAAGTGACCCAGGGGCTGGGCGCGGTGGCTCATGCCTGTAATCCCAGCACTTTGGGAAGCTGAGGTGGGCGGATCACTTGAGGTCAGGAGTTGGAGACCAGCCTGGCCAACACGGTGAAAACCCATCTATACTAAAAATACAAAAATTAGCTGGGTATGGTGGCGCATGCCTGTAATCCCAGGTACTCGGGAGGCTGAGGCATGAGAATCGCTTGAACCTGGGAGGTGGAGGTTGCAGTGAGCTGAGCTCACGCCAGTGTACTCCAACCAGGGCGACAGAGTGAGACTCCGTCTCAAAAATAAATAAGTAAAATAAAGTGACCCAGGATCTTAGTTTCTTAACTATGACCTCCAGTGGGGAACAGAGCTCCTTGGGGAAATGGGTGACGCCAGGCCTGGGGCGAGAGATGCCCAAGGTGAGTCCGGAGCATCTCAGCGCGTGAGGAACCAGAGCCCCTGGGCGCTGTCTGGGGTTGAGTTGCTGCCGGAAGGGCTCCCAGGGGCTGCCTTTGGGACACGGGCGCCGGAACACAGGACTTTAATCACAAGCCCTGCCTCGCCCTCCTCGGGAAGAGCAGATGGAGACCGTGAGCGGGGCGCCACCCCCACCTGCTACCACCTGGCTCAGAGCATCAGCGGGGATGGACAGCGTGGGTGGAGTGACAGGACCCGCAGCGCGTGAGGGGGGGAGTGGGGGCCCCTGCAGTGGGGAGATCAGGTGGCAGTTCCTCCTGAGCGATCAAAGCTGCCACCTGCAAAGAGCAGAATGCTAAGGCCCCATGTGTCCTGCAGCACGCAGGGCAGGGCAGCTGGAAGAACTCATCCGTGCAGGGCCACGGAGGCCAAAGCTGTGAGTGGCCGTGACTGGAAAGAGGACTGCTAGGCGCGGTGGCCACACCGGACGTCTTCCTGCTGAGCCCCAGAGGCTGCTCTTGTGTGTGCTCCACATTACAGCCCTTGACTTAGAGGGCTTGAAATTTTCCCCAAAAGTAGTCAAGGAAAAATACTAAAAGTAAAGCTTTTTGACGCCCGGGGCCCCGAGGCAGACCCGGGGGTGTGGGTGCAAATGGCTCCCGGAGTCCCCCCAGGCTGTGTCCAATCAGCCATCAACACCCCTTACTACCCCCTCCAGCTAGGAACAGGGCTCAGGGAACCCCTTTTCTCTCCATTTGTGTTTGAAAATTTTCATGGTAAAGTTTTAGAAATAGTGGCCTGGCTGGGCGCGGTGGCTCACGCCTGTAATCCCAGCACTTCGGGAGGCCAAGGCGGGTGGATCACCTGAGGTTGGGAGTTCAAGACCAGCCTGGCCAACATGGTGAAACCCCATCTGTACTAAAAGTACTAAAATTAGCCGGGCATGGTGGCATGCGCCTGTAATCCCAGCTACTTGGGAGGCTGAGGCAGAATTACTTGAACCTAGGAGGCAGAGGTTGCAGTGAGCCAAGATCACGCCACTGCACTCCAGCCTGGCTGACAGAGTGAGACTCCATCTCAAAAAAATAGTGGCTCAAGCTGGGCATGGTGGCTCACGCCTGTAATCCCAGCTCTCAGGGAGGCAGAGGCAGGAGGATCACTTGAACCCAGGAGTTCGAGATCTGCCTGGGCAATATAGCGAGACCCCGTTCTCCACAAAAAGGAAGGAAAGAAAAAGAAAAAAAAACATAAAAATAGTGGCCCGAGAAGGCGGCTGCCCCTCCCCAGGAATCCTGTGTCCACTGCCCAGTGTCTGCCAGCCTGGGACAAACACAGCACCCCAGGAATCCTGTGTCCACTGCCCAGTGTCTGCCAGCCTGGGACAAACACAGCACCCCAGGAATCCTGTGTCCACTGCCCAGTGTCTGCCAGCCTGGGACAAACACAGCACCCCAGGAATCCTGTGTCCACTGCCCAGTGTCTGCCAGCCTGGGACAAACACAGCACCCCAGGAATCCTGTGTCCACTGCCCAGTGTCTGCCAGCCTGGGACAAACACAGTACCCCAGGAATCCTGTGTCCACTGCCCAGTGGCCGCCAGCCCTTGGACAAGCGCAGCAGAGGGTGGGTGCCACCTGGACCCTCCTGGAGAATGGGAGAGGGGCTGCATCTGGCACCTGCTCTCTCTGGGGGGTGGGGCGGGGCAGGCGCCAAGTCTTTGCTCAGGTGCAGAGGCTGAGTGCCTCCTGTCCTCTGTGTGGTTTTCCCCAAGTGGGCACTGGGCATGAGGGCAGGCTGGAGGGCTGCACTGGACCCCAAAGCAGGACACGGGGAGCTGGGGGGAGGGCTGGAAGCCTCAGACGTTCGTTGTCACTTTATTGGTTCTCTTTGCTCGTGAAGATGACCCTCACCTTGGAGCCACGGAGGCAGCATGACCCCAGCACCCGGGTTCCAGGCCCCCTTGAGGGGCAGCTCAGTGATCTCTGACCCCATCATCCACGTGTCCTCCGGGGTGGTCTGTGTGAAAGGAAGGCTCGGAGGAGGTGGCTCAGCATCGCTGCCTGGATCCGCTGCCTCTCAGCCACGGAGTGTTTGTGGACGAGCGCCCACACGAGCTGCGGGGGAAGTGGATGTGGAGCCAGTGTAGACGCCTCCAGGCCTCAGCGCACCCAGGGCCCACGGAGTGCAGAAAGGGTACCGAGATGTCCCTGCCTGGACCACACCATGGCTGGGTGACAGGGAGCTTGGTGGGCCAGAGGCCACGGGGCTGACCAGGCAGAAAGGGGAGGGAGGACCCTGGTTCCTGAGGGACACACTGCCCCAGAGCATGCCCTTGCCACGCCAGCCAGCTCCCAGCTCTGGAGAAGCCTCGGAGCCCAGAGCACACGTGCACACCACAGGCGGCCACGCATGTGTACACACGCGCGTACACACGCGTACACACACGCATACACACGTACACACGTGTACACATGGAGATGAGGCTGTGCTGGGGCCTCCTCCACCCCTCGCCTTCAGCCTCGCCAGGTGCACAGGAGAAAAGCAAAAAACCTTGAGGGCAAGGCCGGGCACGTGGCTCCTGGTGGGACTCACACAGGAGGAGGCCACGGAGGCCTGGGCTCTGGGAGGCTCACGAGGCAGCCACGGCCCAGGTCAGTTTGGAGTTGGTGCTCCCTCGCCCTCGGCCACCCCAGGCCCCAGCAGGTCTTCGTCCAGCCCCAGTGGGTGCTGGTCCCCGTTGCCGACGGTGCTGCCCTGGTCATCCTTGTTCTGCCACTTCTGCCACCGGGTCTCCTTGTACCTCAATGTGATGTCCCTGGGGAGCGGGATGCAGCGTCACCACCTGCCCCCACACCAGCCCCACTGCAGGCCCCATGGACAGCTGGCACCTAGTCCCTGTGGAGGTCCGGAATGGACTGGGTGGGTGCCGGGTACCCTGGCCCTGGGACGGCAGCCGTGGCAGACTGGAGCCCTGAGGAGCCTGGATCTGTCAGTGCAGAGCGAAGGCCCCGAGGGCTGGGTCAGGAAAGGCGCCTCCCGCAGAGGCGGCCAGAGGGTTGAAGCAGGGACAGTGAGACACCAACGACACCAAACTCCCACAGTGCCTGTGCCAAGGGACCCGGACAGCGGCCCTCCTTCAGAACATACGCGCCCTGCCCTGACTCACCGCAGGAAGAAGCGCCAGACGGTCCAGGTGAGCGCCAGGACGGAGCCGAGGGTCCAGCACTGGGAGATGTAGAAGGGCAGGGACAGGGTGAGCGTGTGGGGGTCGTACTTCACCACGATGAGCAGCTCCGTGGCCGTGATGGCCGCCACCAGCCAGGCCTGCGGGCCCAGCTTCTTGTGGGGCTTCCTGCAGGGGCAGCAGGGGGTTCAGCGTCCCGGGCCCCGCAGGGTCCTCCAGGCGGACTTGCCCAGGCTCCGGCCTCCCAGGCTCTGCTCCCCAGCCCTCCGGCCCCTGCCCCCCGGGGGTGTCTCCACCCGGACTGCCGCAGCCCTCACGGGTCATCCATGAAGTCGTAGATCTCACGCATGGCCACGCCACCCACGTTCACGAAGAAGACGAGCCGCAGGAGGACCAGGTAGTGCTCCGGGGGCATCCACAGCACAAACTTCAGGTAGAACGTGTTCAGTTCTGCCAACAGGAACTAGGGGAGGAGAGGGTGAGCACCAGCTCTGGCCCCCCGCCCGCCGCGCCGTCGCGAGGCAGCCCGGCCTTACCACCAGGATGATGCCGCACACGGCCAGCCAGCGACGCAGGCTGGAGGCCGGCTTCCACTCGAAGCGAACCCAGCTGTACGGCGTGAACTGGAAGGCGATCCTCTTCATCTTGCCCCTGGGAACCACAGAGCCGGCAGCCTGAGGAAGGCAGCCCACCGAACCCTGCCCTGTGCCATCGGGCAACAGACTGTTCCTGGTCACCCGGCCCCGCCCTGTGCCATCGGACGAGCTCTGCTCTTGGTCACCCCGCCCCGCCCTGTGCCATCGGGCCACAGACTCTGTTCCTGGTTACCCAGCTGCTGCCCGGCTGTTCTCCGAGGTCTGGCCACCCAGCTACAAGCCCTGCTTCTCCACGGCCCTCTGCTGTTCAGTCTCTTCCAGCTTGAGCAGTGGCTGCAGCGCCTCAGAGGGCGCTCCACGGTGCCGTGAGCTAGCCATGTCTGCAGAGCCAGGCAGAGCCGGGGCACCCACAGGCAGGAGGGGAGACCCCCGTCCCCCAGGCCTTTCCTTAGACTTCTGTTTCTTTTTTAAATTCCAAAGTCATAATGACAAAGTACCTGCAACTATTTCATAACCAAAGCAACCAAGGGAGGGAGAAGCACGGAATGATCCCACAGCCCCTGCGCCAGGCCGGCCAGGGATTGAGGAGGGAGGTACGTGGGTCAGACGCCATGGCCACTGTGAGGGGCGGCCGGGCTTGAGTGACACCAGGTCAGAGGGAGGTTCCAGGAGGCAAAGCCCCACGGTCACCCCTCCTGAGCCGCACACTGGACGGGCCTGGTGCTCGGGGTCTGCTGGAGCACGGACGCTGAGGCTGCCTCCAGGTAACCCCCACCCGGCCCTGCCCTCGCAGCCCCCACGACGTACTTGTAGGTCGGAATGTTCCAGAGGCCCTGCCACTTGTACGTCTTCAGGGACAGCCACTCAAGGGTCTTCATGCCGCAGTAGATGCCCAGCCCGTTGCAGACGAGCACGTCCATGATCCACTGCAGGGAGGGGCCAGCACTCGTTGCAGGGGTGAGGGGTAACGAGCCCCCCGAGGAGGACCCCGGAAGAGCACAGGGGAACCGAGAATGCCCCTCAGCCTGCACCCACTGCCCCCCGGGGAGAATGAGGGGGTCCAGGGGCCGCGCTGGGCACAGGGGTTCCGAGAATGCCCCTCAGCCTGCACCGACTGCCCCGGGGGCTGTGCTGGCACCTACGTGATCCCACCAGCACTCGCTGAAGTTGGGCAGCTGGTGCTCCAGGCTGTACTCCAGGAACTCGAACATCACGCTGATGATCATGCACATCCACCAGTCTCGGATCATCAGGGTCTGTGGGCGCCAGGGTCAGCCAGAGTATGGGACGCCGGCCACACCCGGCCCTGCCCACGGGTGCGTGCAGCCCCCACCCCGGCTGGCAGCCAGAGTATGGGACGCCGGCCACGCCCGGCCCTGCCCACGGGTGCGTGCAGCCCCCACCCGGCTGGCAGCCAGAGTATGGGACGCAGGCCACGCCCGGCCCTGCCCACGGGTGCGTGCAGCCCCCACCCCGGCTGGCAGCATTCTTGGAGTCGACAGCACTGGCAGGGCCCCCAGTGAGGTCTCAGGGTGAGCGTGGGGTGGGTGGCTGCCCCTCCAGCAGCCTCGATGTACGACTGTCAGCAAACAAGGCAGCATCCCCGTGCCCGGGGCCTGACACCAAACTCTGCCAGGGTGGGCTGCAGGGTCAAGCAGGCACTGCTCTTAGCCCCATAGGTAGCACAGGGTCCCTCAGAAGTGGGATGGGGCAGTGCCCAAGCCCAGGCAGGGGCGGGACTTCCTGCCCTGCCGCCTCTTTCCACCGCCCCGACCCTGAGGACGGAGCGGGGACCCGACCAGGATCAGGGCTTCTGGGAGGTCCGGGAGCCCCACGGCTTCTCGAACCTCTGGGTGGCTGCAGTGCGACACCCTCCCACCACACTCAGAGCACCCTGAGCTCAACTCCATGGACAGAAACGGTCCAGAGCCCACGGCAGGCCTCAGAACCGGGGCGGGGAGGCCGGGAAGAGGAGGTGCCGTACCTTCAGGTACCAGCCAAGAAAGTGCGCGGGAACAAAGCCATCCAACTTGTCCTGTGGGCGACAGGGTATGACCCTTGACCCTGGGGCACAGCCACCCCCACTCCCCACACCGGCAGATCAGCCCACACCTGAGCAGCACCTGCCAGACCCCGGGAAGAAGGCCAGGGACTCACAGGTGCTGCCGTGGCCTGTGGAGACCACGTCCACGACAGCCTAGAGAGCAGGGGCCCCCTGCCCACCATGAGCACCATCCAGACGGACAGGGCCTCAGCACATCTCTGCACCAGGAGACCCCAAGTGTGGGCTGAGGGGTGCGAGGCAGGAGCGTGGATGGCGCCTGGTCCGGCACGGGGCCACACCTGGGGAGGGGCTCGCCTCAGGGCCCCCGGCGTCTTACCCAGATGTTGTGAAAGGGGTCAGTCTCATTGTCTGGGTCGTAGATGAGGCAGTTTCCCCCGTAGTCTCTCTCTGGCAGTGGGACTCCCAGCTTGGGGTCAACATACTTTAGAAACTGCCGGCCGTCCTGGACAGTCTGCAAGGCCAGTGCCCCCGTCAGCGGGGCTACAGTTAGTGGTGGCAACTTGAAACGGGAGATCATGGTTGTTTATTTATTTTATTTTTTTGAGATGGAGTCTCGCTCTGTCGCCCAGGCTGGAATGCAGTGGCGTGAACTGGGCTCACTGCAAGCTCCGCCTCCTGGGTTCACGCCATTCTCCTGCCTCAGCCTCCCGAGTAGCTGGGACTACAGGCGCCCGCCACCACGCCCGGCTAGTATTTTTTTTTTGTATTTTTAGTAGAGACGGGGTTTCACCGTGCTAGCCAGGATGGTCTTGATCTCCTGACCTCGTGATCCGCCCACTTCGGCCTCCCAAAGAGCTGGGATTACAGCCGTGAGCCACCACGCCCGGCCAGGAGATCATGGTTGTAAACTGCATCTCAGTCACCCTGGAGGAGGGCAGCGCCCTGTCTCAGCAGCCCTCCCCACCCCAGGGAAATCCTGGTGGGGCAGCGCGTGGGGAAGGAACCCCCAGGCACGACACCCCATCTCCACACCTGCGCTCCCCGGGGCCAGGTGGGCACAGGTGCGCTTCAGGACATGGGGGTCTAGGACCGCTGGACAGACGGGAGCGGGATGGGGCCCTGAGTTACTGCGGCGCGCCGCCCCCACCCCGACCCCTCCCCGCATGCGCGCTCAGGCCAACACCCTCACAGGAGTCGCCCTTGTGGAACCTGCTCTTTCCTCACCCAGACGCTGGCATCAGCCAGATACACCTCTTGACCTTAGGGCAAGGCAGGCTTTTGGGCCTGACGTCAAGGGAGGTTTACATCATTTACAGACACCTGTGCTCACAGCACACACGCACCAGGGCACCAGCTGTGTTTACACTCGCCTGCGCACACGGTGAACACACACGCCCGTGCACTGTTTACACTCGCCTGCGCACACGGTGAGCACGCGCGCCCGTGCACTGCTTACGCTCGCCTGCGCGCACGGTGAGCACACGCGCGCCCGTGCACTGTTTACGCTCGCCTGCGCGCACGGTGAGCACACGCGCGCCCGTGCACTGTTTACGCTCGCCTGCGCGCACGGTGAGCACACGCGCGCCCGTGCACTGTTTACGCTCGCCTGCGCGCACGGTGAGCACACGCGCGCCCGTGCACTGTTTACGCTCGCCTGCGCGCACGGTGAGCACACGCGCGCCCGTGCACTGTTTACGCTCGCCTGCGCAGTGAGCACACGCGCCCGTGCAGTTTACACTCGCCTGCGCAGTGAGCACACACGCGCCCGTGCGCTGTTTAAACTCGCCTGCGCACAGTGAGCACACACGCGCCCGTGCACTGTTTACACTCGCCTGCGCAGTGAGCACACGCGCCCGTGCAGTTTACACGCCTGCGCACACGGTGAGCACACGCGCCCGTGCACTGTTTACACTCGCCTGCGCACACGGTGAGCACACGCGCCTGTGCAGTTTACACTCGCCTGCACAGTGAGCACACACACCCGTGCACTGTTTACACTCGCCTGCGCACACGGTGAGCACACACGCGTCCGTGCACTGTTTACGGTCGCCTGCACACACACAGCACACATGCCCATGCACTGTTTACAGACGCCTGCGCAGTGAGCACACACGCGCTCGTGCACTTACACTCGCCTGCGCACACAGTGAGCACACACGCGCCCGTGCACTGTTTAAACTCGCCTGCGCAGTGAGCACACACGCGCCCGTGCAGTTTACACTCGCCTGCGCACAGTGAGCACACACGCGCCTGTGCAGTTTACACTCGCCTGCGCAGTGAGCACACACGCCCGTGCACTTACACTCGCCTGCGCACACAGTGAGCACACGCGCCCGTGCACTGTTTACACTCGCCTGTGCACAGTAAGCACACGTGCCCGTGCAGTTTACACTCGCCTGCGCACACAGTGAGCACACACGCGCCCGTGCACTGTTTACGCTCGCCTGCGCAGTGAGCACACGTGCCCGTGCAGTTTACGCTCGCCTGCGCACACAGTGAGCACACACGCGCCCGTGCAGTTTACACTCGCCTGCGCAGTGAGCACACACACGCCCGTGCACTGTTTACAGACGCCTGCGCACAGTGAGCACACGCACCCGTGCACTGTTTACACTCGCCTGCGCACACGGTGAGCACACGCGCCCGTGCAGTTTACACTCGCCTGCGCACAGCACACACACCCGTGCACTTACACTCGCCTGCGCACACGGTGAGCACACGCATCCGTGCACTGTTTACGCTCGCCTGCACACACACAGCACACACGCCCGTGCAGTTTACAGACGCCTGTGCACACAGTGAGCACACATGCCCATGCACTGTTTACAGATGCCTGCGCAGTGAGCACACACGCCCATGCACTATTTACAGATGCCTGCGCAGTGAGCACACACGCGCCCGTGCACTGTTTACACTCTCCTGCGCACACAGCACACACGCACCCCTGCACTGGCTGTGTTTACAGACGCCTGCACACACAGTGAGTGCACACATGCCCGTCCTCTGTGAGCTATGGCACCCAGGACCACGCAGCCCACCCAACACCCAGGCCTCAGTTCCTAATATTCAGTAAGGACCCAAGGCTCTTGGAGAAGGGGCTGATTCCAGGACCAGGGTGGGGAGTGGACAGGAGGAGCCTGGAGCATCCCGCAGTGCTAGGAAGTCAGGATGTCCTCAGAAAAACAAAACGAAAAGCCAAGAACTCCGTGAGGGTGTGTGAAAGCAATACAGGAACCACGTGGAAATTCCTTTTGGCAAAAGAATTTGGGCACCACGATAAATAGAGCAGCGCTGAAATAAATATGCAAGTGTAAGACAAGTATCTGTACGTCCACACTGATATAAATAAATACATGATGGAATAACTAATGGTAGAGAAGCAGGATCTCTCCCATGCACAAGAATTCCTGGCAACGTGCAGACGCCACACACCAAGGGGGGCAACGAAACTCCCCTCCCTCCATGCAGGCTGCACCAGTGACCTCCTTGTGGAGAATGCACTATGGATTGACAGTGGAAAGCCTGACAGACACATCTCGCCAGGCAGTCAAGGTCCACAGCGCCAGGGATACGTCATGGTGATGGTGCCAGTGCGCGCCTTCACCCCAGACAAATACTGAGAAAACGTCAGACATCCTCACAAACCCTGGTGCCAAAGCCAGAACAAGACATTCCAGGAAAATTAAAGGACAGTACCTCTTACAAATATGGATGCAAAAATCTTAGATAAAATGCTAGGAAAGCAAGTCCAGCAGTATGTAAAAAGGCACACCCTGGGACCCAGCAGGATTTATCCCAGGAATGTAAGGTTGGTTCAGGATAAGAAAATCAATCAATGTAATTCATCATATTAACAAAGGGGGAAAAACACCCATATGATCATCTCACTTGATGCGAAAAATCATTTAACAAAAATCTAACAACTTTTCATGATAAAAACACTCAACCAACTAGGAATATACTAGAACTTTCTCCACTCAGTAAGGGAGATCTACGAAAAACTCACAGAACCTTCTCCCCTCAGTAGGGAGATCTACGAAAAACTCACAGAACCTTCTCCACTCGGTAGGGAGATCTACGAAAAACTCACAGAACTTTCTGCACTCGGTAGGGAGATCTACGAAAAACTCACAGAACCTTCTCCACTCGGTAGGGAGATCTACGAAAAACTCACAGAACCTTCTCCACTCGGTAGGGAGATCTACGAAAAACTCACAGAACCTTCTCCACTCGGTAGGGAGATCTACGAAAAACTCACAGAACCTTCTCCACTCGGTAGGGAGATCTACGAAAAACTCACAGAACCTTCTCCACTCGGTAGGGAGATCTACGAAAAACTCACAGAACCTTCTCCACTCGGTAGGGAGATCTACGAAAAACTCACAGAACCTTCTCCACTCGGTAGGGAGATCTACGAAAAACTCACAGAACCTTCTCCACTCGGTAGGGAGATCTACGAAAAACTCACAGAACTTTCTGCACTCGGTAGGGAGATCTACGAAAAACTCACAGAACCTTCTCCACTCGGTAGGGAGATCTACGAAAAACTCACAGAACTTTCTGCACTCGGTAGGGAGATCTACGAAAAACTCACAGAAACTTCTCCACTCGGTAGGGAGATCTACGAAAAACTCACAGAACCTTCTCCACTCGGTAGGGAGATCTACGAAAAACTCACAGAACTTTCTGCACTCGGTAGGGAGATCTACAAAAAACTCACAGAACTTTCTCCACTCGGTAAGGAGATCTATGAAAAACTCACAGCTAACACACTCAGTGGGATAAAGACTGGATGCTTTTCCCCTAAGATCAGGAATCAGATAAGAATGTCCATCTGGCCAGGCACAGTGGCTCATGCTTATACTCCCAGCACTTTGGGAGGCCAAAGGGGTCAGACCGCTTGAGCTCAGGAGTTTGAGACCAGCCTGGCCAACATGGCGAAACCTCATCTCCACAGAAAGTTAAAAAATTAGTCAGGTGCGGTGGCTCACTTGAGACCAGGAGTTCTGAGACCAGCCTGGCCAACACGGTGAAACCCCGACTCTACTAAAAATACAAAATTAGTCGGGTGTGGTAGCATGTTCCTGTAATCCCAGCTACTACGGAGGGTGAGGCACGAGAATCGCTAGAACCTGGGAGGCGGAGCTTGCAGTAAGCCAAGATCGTGCCACTGCACTCCAGCCTGGGCGACAGAGCAAGACTCCGTCTCAAAAAAAAAAAAAAAAAGCCCATCCTTGCCTATTCTAGGAAACATTGAGCTGGAGGTTCTGGGCAGGGCAGCTACGCAAAGAAGTAAAAGACATCGGCCGGGCACGGTGGCTCATGCCCATAATCCCAGCACTTTGGGAGGCCAAGGTGGGCGGATCACCTGAGGTCAGGAGTTCAAGACCAGCCTCAACATGGAGAAACCCTGTCTCTACTAAAAATTAAAAAAAAAAAATTAGCTGGGCATGGTGGTGCATGCCTGTAATCCCAGCTACTCGGGAGGCTGAGGCAGGGGAATTGCTTGAACCTGGGAGGCGGAGGTTGCGGTGAGCCAAGATCACACCACTGCACTCCAGCCTGGGCAACAAGAGCAAAACTCAGTCTAAAAAAAAAAAAAAGAAAAGAAATAAAAGACATCTAGATTGGAAAGGAACAGGTAAAACTATCTCTATTTGTAGATGACATAATCTTGAATATAGAATATTCTTAAGAGTCTACCCCAAAACACCACAACTATTAGAGCTAATCAGTTCAGCACGGTTGCAGGACGCAAGATCAGTACACAAAAATGAGCTACATTTCCATACATGAGTAACGAGCAATGCAAAAGTAAAATTAAAACAGTTCCACTTACAAGAGCACACAATGAACAAAATAATTGGAGTAAATGTAATAAAGGAAGTACAAAACTTAAACTCTGAAAACTGTAACACATTGTTGGAAGAAATTAAAGACCTAAATAAATGGAAAGCCATCCCATCTTCAAGGACTGACGGAGTTAATATTGTCAGGATGACACTACTCCCAAAACAGACTTGCAGATTCGATGCAATCCCCATAAAAAATTCCACCTGTTCTTTTCACAGGAATGGAAAGGGTGACCCTCACATTCATTTGGAAACGCAAGAGACCCAGATGATTCAAAACCATCTTGAAAAAGAACAAACTGGGTGAACTCACACTTCCCAATTGCAAATGTCACTTGAGGGATATTCTACTAGATCATGACCAATCCTCGAAACCGTCCAGCTCACCAAAAACAAGGGGCCTGAGAAACTGTCACTGCCGAGAAAGAGGAGCCCAGGCCGCGCGTGGTGGCTCACACCTGGAATCCCCGCACTTTGGGAGGCCAAGGCAGGCAGATCTTTTTTTTTTTTTTTTGAGGCGGAGTCTCGCTCTGTTGCCCAGGCTGGAGTGCAGTGGCGTGATCTCGGCTCACTGCAAGCTCTGCCTCCCGGGTTCAGGCCATTCACTTGCCTCAGCCTCCCGAGCAGCTGGGACTACAGGCGCCCGCGACCACGCCCGGCTAATTTTTTAGTATTTTTCAGTAGAGACGGGGTTTCACCGTGTTAGCCAGGATGGTCTCCATCTCCTGACCTTGTGATCCGCCCACCTCAGCCTCCCAAAGTGCTGGGTTTACAGGCATGAGCCACCGTGCCCTGTCAATGCAGGCGGATCATTTGAGGTCAGGAGTTCAAGACCAGCCTGGCCAACAAGATGAAACTAAAAATACAATAAATTAGTGGCGCATGGTGGCAGGTGCCTGTAATCCCAGCTACTTGGGAGGCTGAGGCAGGAGAATCACTTGAACCCGGGAGGTGGAGGCTACAGTGAGCTGAGATCACACC
Organism: Homo sapiens; assembly: GCF_000001405.40. Lineage (NCBI taxonomy): Eukaryota > Metazoa > Chordata > Mammalia > Primates > Hominidae > Homo > Homo sapiens. The sequence goes on along the minus strand of NC_000011.10, from coordinate 480,616 downwards.
ACTGCACTCCAGCCTGGGTGACAGAGTAAGACGTCGTCTCAAAAAATAAATAGTAAAAGAAAGAGGAGCGCAGGAAGACACATGCAACCTGGATGAACCTCAGAGGCACTGTGCAGGGCGGGAAGAGGCTGCCCACCGCATGATCCTGGGTGAACCTCAGAGGCACTGTGCAGGGCGGGAAGAGGCTGCCCACCGCATGATCCTGGGTGAACCTCAGAGGCACTGTGCAGGGCGGGAAGAGGCTGCCCACCGCATGATCCTGGGTGAACCTCAGAGGCACTGTGCAGGGCGGGAAGAGGCTGCCCACCGCATGATCCTGGGTGAACCTCAGAGGCACTGTGCAGGGCGGGAAGAGGCTGCACACCGCATGATCCTGGGTGAACCTCAGAGGCACTGTGCAGGGCGGGAAGAGGCTGCCCACCGCATGATCCTGGGTGAACCTCAGAGGCACTGTGCAGGGTGGGAAGAGGCTGCCCACCCCACGATTCCATTCTAGAAGAGACAGAAGCGAACCCTCACCAGCTGTCAGGGGTCAGGGCCGGGTATGACTACCAAGGGGTAACACAAAGGAGTTTTAGGGCCAGTGGAATTCTTGTGCGTCCTAATTGTGTTTCTAGAAGTCTACACAAATGCTAAAATTCACAGAATGTACACTGCCTCAGAAAAGTCAATTTTGCCACGATGATAAAAAATCTCATCATGCACTGATGGAGTTTTAAGATTGGGAATAATAAAGTCCTTTGTAAGCTGAAGACAGCCCCAAAAATGTGTGTTTACACTAAGTTAAACAGAACAAAGAGTATTAATAAAGTAGGCATTTGCAGCAGCAACACAGCCTGACCCAGGATTTACAAAGGAGCTGCGTCTCCCACCTGCACCCTGCTCGTCTTGCAGAATGTGGTCAGGATGGGGAAGAAGCACACACAGTCACACTGGTCAACCACAAAACACAAAAACAAAGACCCCGTCCCTCTTGGCGCTGGGGTCCCCTCTGAGGCCCAGATTTGCCCCGGCCATGCAGACGCTGGCCTGCATCGCAGGACCTGACTTGCGGCTCCCTTCACGCCCAGTCCCCACCAGCACTCAGATACGACAGCTGTGGGCAAAGCCACCCTGGCAGCTGCACCACTGGCCCTGCCCTCTTCTGTGCCTGCACCACTGGCCCTGCCCTCCTTAAGTGTGGCCCTGCTAAATGGCCACAGTCAGCGCCCCACCAGCAGATGCTCCTGGAGGCCCCCCGCAGCTCGGCCTACGTTTTGAAGGTCTAGCTTTGCTGCCCCCCATCACTCAAGGGCCGCACAGATGCTCCTGGAGACCCCCCGCAGCTCGGCCTACTTTGTGGGGGTCTAGCCCTGCTTCCTCCCATCACTCGAGGGCTGTGTGGGCAAGGCCTCCTTTGTCACCATGCCTGGGGCCACACTGTCACCTAAGTTCCCAGGTATCCAACCCAGAAAAACAGCTTACCTGGAAGAGTATAAAGATGAGAAACAGCTCGTAGACCACACTCACGCAGAGCCAAAACCTCCAGTAAGCTACAAAGACAGACGACAGAACGTTAGTGCGCCCGGTCCAGGCCTCCACGGCCCCGCTCAGCCCCAGGCCGGCTCCTGGCTCCTTCACACCCAGTGTCTCTTCTGGGCCCTTCACAGGCCCCTGGGAGAGCCTTTATAAAGAAAGCTGTAACTCAGAATTAGGCACAATTTCTCTCTGAAAAGTGAATTTTTTTTCTTCATTTTTTCCATTCCAGTACTCAAATCTTTTGCCCATAAATTGTTGCACAGAAGCAGTCAGCACACATCCCTGCCTTGTGTTTACGAGTGATGCTTCTAAACTTGCGCCGTTAAGTTTGGAGTAGGTTTTTGGTGGATACCTTTTTTTTTTAGATGGAGTCTGTCGCCCAGGCTGGAGTGCAGTGGTGCAATCTCAGCTCACTGCAACCTTCACCTCCAGGTTCAAGTGATTCTCCTGCCTCAGCCTCCCGAGTAGCTGGGCTCACAGGTGTCCAGCACACCCGGCTAATTTTTGTATTTTCAGTCGGGACAGGGTTTCACCATGTTGGCCAGGCTGGTCTCGAACTCCTGACCTCAGATGGTCCACCCGCCTCAGCCTCCCAAAGTGCTGGGATTACAGGTGTGAGCTACTGTGGCTGGCCACTTTTTTTTTTTGAGACAAGGTCCTGGCTCTGTTGCCCAGGCTGGAGTGCAATCTTGTTGCACTGCAACCTCTGCCTCCTGGGCTCAAGCAATCCTCCTACCTGAGCCTCCTGAGTAGCTGGGACCACAGGTACGTGCCACCACATCCAGCTAATTTTTGTATTTTTTTTTTTTTTGTAGAGATAGGGTTTCGACATGTTGCCCAGGCTAGGATACTTTTTATCATGTTAAAAAAATCTTTCAATTCCAGTATGTTAAGTTTTTGTCATGGATGAATGTGAATTTTTGTTTTTCTGCATTTAAGGGGATCAATTTTTTCATGTTGATGTGATGAGTTACATTAACAGACTTCTAACATGAAACCATCCCTCAATTCCTGACTTCCCACGGCTCCGAGCAGCTCACGGCAAGACGTGCAGACGTGAGGTTTTCGGACTAAACGCAGGAGGCCCCGACGTACTCAGGGGAAGACGGCCCCCGTGGCTCATGAAAAGCCGCCATCATTGGCAGGAAATACAAACGCCCTGGCGTTCTTAGGAAAAGCTGCACAGGGAGGTCTGGGACCCAAGACAGACGACTGAGATCACAAACTTCTTCCTCACGCCTTGGGATAAGAAGAACCTGGAAACTTCCCAGTGGCCCAAGAGTTTGAGGGGCTCGTGGTGAAATTAACTCGGGGCAGCCCTCGCCCCACAAGGGCTCGCCAACTGAAGGGGACGCCTTCGGAGCAGGTGCCCGGCCTGCAGGCGCTCTCTGAGGGGACAGCTACACCCATGAAACCATCATGTTCTGAGCGGGCCACAGGTCACCACGACCAGTACTAACTTCCCTCCCCGCACTGCCAAGTCGAATCTTTCTCATGTTTCTCCTGTTGGGGAAGGCCCCAGCTCCCCAGATCAGAAAGGTGGCATCTCGGACTCCTCTCCCCACTCACGCTTCCCACCCGACCAGCACCAGGCTGCCGCCCCGGAATACCCAGCAGGCCCTTGGTCTGCATTCCTGGGTCGCTTCCCGGAGCAGCTCCAGCACCTCCCTGACCCCAGGGCCACCCCCCAGGCCCCAGCACTCATTTGTCTTTCTAAACATCACACCAGAGGGGAAAGACAGACAGGCAGCCTCAGCAGCCCTGGAAATGCTGTGGCTGACACAGCCTTCAGAGGGAGCCAGGAAGAAAATGCCGTTCACACAGGAGGGATGCCCTCCTCAGTGGCCCAGAACGTTCCACCTCCCTCAGAGCTGCAGCCAACTCAAGTTTCCAAAGAAAGCAGCACCCCAGATGGCCGGGCTGGGCCCATTTCCACTCCTCCTCATGAGGCCCAGTCACTAATGGCTACGGCTACAGCTGCCGGACTGGGCATTCCTGGGCCAGACCCAGGGGAGTGTGAAGGTGGGCAGAGCCCACAGGGACCACCTTTCTGGAGAAAGCCCTTCTCCCTGCCCCCCACCCAGAGCCTCCGCTGCACAGGACTCATCACTTGTCCACTTCAATGTGTTGTGACTGCAGAGAGTTGAGGGCTCCCTGCCGGCCCCCAAGTTAACAAGACGCGTGGAAGAAGGTGGCTCCAGGACAGGCTTCCCCGTCAATAAATCGAAGATTGGCAAAGTAATATGGAATTTATGCCAAGCAAACTAAACGGACAGAAGAAAGGTAGAGCAGAGCTCAGACTAAAAACTGAACACCCCAGGAACCCCCAGTCCTGCCCAGTGGGAGGGGACGAGCCACAACTCAAGAGACGCCGCGGCCGGAGCTTTTGGAAGCGCCAAGACCTTCAGGCCCAGATGCTCCACATCCCGCCAGGTGACCTGCGCCAGAGCTCCTGACTGCTCAGAGCTGAGGGTCTCCCGGGAGTCTCTCCCTGTGCCAGGGGTCACATGCCAGGACAAGCTGCTGCCTGCTGACCAGTCTGTCCCACTCACGGCTGCGTCCCAGTCCCCAGTGATGCCGCCACCCAGGAGGGATTTGGTGCATCTCCAAGCAAGGACGGCCATGGGTTGAGCTTCCGGCAGCTTTTCTTCCCTCCAAATCCACCCAACAAGCACGTAACTGCACCAGGCTTTTCACTGTGTGCCGGGAAGTTTCTCACCATCACCGCGCCAGGCCTTTCACTGTGTGACGGGCAGTTTCTCACCGTCACGGCGCCAGGCTTTTCACTGTGTGACGGGCAGTTTCTCACCATCACTGCACCTTCCACGGCTCTGCTGAGGAATCCAAACCCCTTGGAGGCAAGACCGTCTGTGCTCAGCCGGCTGGGCAGACAGGGCCCTGGGCCCTTCCCACACAGCTGTCAGCCAGCAGAGTGGCCTGCCAGGCACTCAAGGAGCCCTCTCTCAAGGCCCTGGGCAAGGAAGGGGCCAGCAAGACCAGCCTGCTTGGGTCACCGGACGGCTCCCTGCTCAGGGCCTCTGTGGGTGGGGGAGCTTCACTCACCACCATGGCACTGACCCTGGGGCAGACACTGCTCTCCTGGAGGCCAATTTTATAACACATATCACAGGCTTAAACTGTGTATGCCCTTTAATTCAATACTCACTTCTGGGACATTTTATTAAATGAATAATCAGATATTTACACAGAGCATACGTGAAAAAATTCACCACAGCCTAGTTTATTAAAATAAAACTGGAAACTCTCTAAATATACAATATTATGGCTTAAATAAGTTAGTTAAATGTAGTACATTCTAATGACAGCAAACAAGCAGTCATTAAAATTTCGGGTGTTAAAAAATTAGTAAGGAAATGACTAAAGTCATTTAAACCTAAATGATTAAAGTCATTTTAAAAATTAGTAAGGAAATGACTAAAGTCGTTGAACCTGAAGTGGAGAATGCACAAAGCCACGTGTTCAGGATTCCACTCTTTCGAGGCTGTGAATATGTCTGTACACACAAACGCGTGAATATGTCCTACACACAAACGCGTGAATGTCCGTATCACACAAACACGTGAATATGGCCGTATCACACAAACGCGTGAATATGTCTGTATCACAAATGCGTGAATATATCCGTATCACACAAACGCGTGAATGTCTGTACACACAAATGCGTGAATATGTCTGTATCACAAACGCGTGAATATGTCCATACACACAAATATGTGAATATGTCCTACACACAAACGCGTGAATGTCCGTATCACACAAACGCGTGAATATGGCCGTATCACACAAACGCGTGAATATGGCCGTATCACAAACGCGTGAATATGTCCGTACACACAAACACGTGAACATGTCCATATACACAAAGACGTGATTATGTCCATATCATAAACGCGTGAATATGTCCGTATCACAAACGCGTGAATATGTCCGTATCACACAAACGCGTGAATATGTCCGTATCACACAAACGCGTGAATATGTCCCACACACAAACACGTGAATGTGTCCATATCACACAAACGCGTGAATGTCCGTATCACACAAACACGTGAATATGTCCGTATCACACAAACTCGTGAATATGTCCGTATCACAAACGCGTGAACATGTCCATATACACAAAGACATGATTATGTCCGTATCATAAACGCGTGAATATGTCCGTACACGAACGTGTGAATATGTCCGCACACACAAACACGTGAATATGTCCGTATACACAAACAAGTGAATATGTCCGTATCACAAACACGTGAAAATTTAACAGTGGTTATTATTTGTGGGTAGCTTTATTTTTAAGTATCTTTGTATTTTCGAAATTTTCTATAATACATACTCCTGTTGAAACAGAAAATGTTTCTAATTACTTCGTGTGGCCACTCAGGGGAAACAACCGACCCTACAGAAGCCTGAGCCCGCCTTCCTGGGGTGGGACTTGGGGGACAGAGTACACTGAGATTGGCGGGATGCTCTGGCCCACGAGGGTTTGTTAGAACTCAGGGCCATAAGGTGGGGTGGTGGCTGAGGCAGAGTGCGCTGGGCAACCACTTCAAGGGCAGGGGGTGGGCGGCACCTCACAGCTCCATCTGGAGCCCTCACCCACCCGCCCATGGCCTCACAGCCCCATCTGGAGCCCTCACCCACCCGCCCATGGCCTCACAGCCCCATCTGGCGCCCTCACCCACCCCCGCCCCCTCTGGTCTCAGAGTCCCACCTAGAGCCCACAGTCCCTGGCCTCACAGCCCCATCTGGTGCCCTCACCCACCTGCCCCCGGCCTCATAGCCCCATCTGGAGCCCTCGGCCACTCTGGTCTGTGGAAAGAGGAGGCAGAAGCAGGAAGAGAAGGGCTGGAGAGCCCTGGACAGGGAAGAGTGAAAGGGCCAGAGAAGGCCTGGAGAGACCCTCGGTGGTTGGAGGAGGAGCACACGGCCAGCTCAGAACCCCACGCCCTTGTCCATGTGGGAAGTGGCCTCGGAGGCCTCGGGGAGGGGCCAGGCGGAGGGGAGGACAGGACACTCACACCCAGCAGCACAGACACAGAGTGGCCGCTCAGAACAGAAATGCCACAGGGGCACACGGAAAAGGAAATGGCAAGTTACCTGGATGAGGTCTGGAAAATGGCCCGTCTTTAGCTTGTGTGACTCCAAAACATAAGAAAACCAAAATACTGGCCACAATACCTCTGCAAATAAAGAACAAACAGCCCCTCAGTGTGTGCAGGCTTCTCCCAGGAGGGAGGTGGGAGGCTGCAGGGACCCCCAGACACCCATTGTGGAACAGCCCCTGATGCTGGGGCGGGAGGAAGGGGCCTCGGGCAGAGCTGGGCGACTCCGCCGCGGGGAAAGCCCAGCTACCTCCACCACCCTGGGCCGGACATTCGCCCTCACATTTGCCGCCTCCGCGGCAGGGAAGGCCCAGCTACCTCCACCACCCTGGGCTGGACATTCGCGCTCACATTTGCCTCCTCCGCGGCAGGGAAGGCCCAGCTACCTCCACCACCCTGCACCCAACATTCGCCCTCACATTTGCAGCCCGCCCAGTGGCCAGGAGAAGGTCCCTGTGCTTGGGCTGCTGGTGGTTCCCAGTGTCACATCAGGAAGACACTGGCTCTACACAGAGGCCACCGAATGCCCCGCATGTGACCATCAGTGATCACAAAGCCCACGTAGGAGGGAAGGCGTCAGGAGCTACTGCCTCCCTGCTCCAACGCGGCAGGACCCCCAGGAAGTGTCTCTAGAGAGCTCCTGTGTCTTTTTGGTGTCAACTCATCCAAAACCAACGGGACTCCTGTGATTCATAAGATGGAAGCGTGAGAGCTGTAACTGCAACCAAAGATGCAGGTTCACGGGAAGGAGGATGCGAGGGACCGCTCTGGGCAGGGGCAAGGTGCTCCCTCCTCGGCAAAGCTCCTTGGGGCCGGCCTCAGCCAGAGTCCCAGTGGGTTTCGGTGAGCAGCAGCTTAGGCCGGCGGATGTGCAGACAGCCCTGGTCACAGGCACACTGCTCACATCCGCTCGCTGCACCCAAGGTGTGGACCCGCTCTGCGGACGCGCTCTGTGCTCTGCAGACGCTCGGATGCACCCATCCTCTCCAGTCGTGCTCAGCTCAGGGTCTGAGATCCACTGGCCGCTGCACCACCCAGTCCCTCCCACGGCTCGGCAGTGCCGTGCCGACAGTCACACCTTGGCGTGTTCGCACGCTGGGCGGCCTCTGGGTTTTGGCTGCCGTGAGGGAAGCTGCACACACACACGCACGTTCGTGTGGCCGCAAGAATAGACGGGGCCACAGAGACACGCTATCTATTTTTTAAGACAGCGCTGTTAAAAAATACCCAGTAACAACTTCAGTCTCAGAAATTCCCCTCTCTGCCTGCAGGAGTGCCTGGCCTCAAAGTCCTGAGTAGACAGAGGCAGGTGAGGCCAAGCACCGCCCGAGGCTTGCAGGATGGAGGAGGGCACAAGGTCGCTGGCCCCTGGTGCAGCCGGGACAAGGGTCTACTGCTTCTGGGCAGGTGCTGCTCTCCACCCAGAGCCCTGAGGGTCTCACCCTCGGCAGGACATTCATGGCCCACCCAGGCGAAACCTGAGTTTCTGACCCGGTCTCCACCCAGGCCCCAGCTCCCACACTACCGCTGTCAGCCTCCAGGGACAGAGGCAGAGATGCCCTCGCTGCTGGGTTCAGCAAGGTGGGGCCCGCGTCCCTGTCACCGGTACCCCTCCCGAGGTCTCTCAGTGCTGAGGGGTGGGAGGTGTAAAAAGTACCTTTCAGGGCCCCCTGGAGCCAGACATAGGCCCCACCTCAGCTGTGCCTCCAAGGGGCGTGGGGAGGGTCATAACATTCAGTGGAAAGACAGTAAAACGTCCCCCTACCCTCCCCAGAAAAGATAAAAATGAAAAGAGGAACATGGGCACTGGCCAAGGGAAGCTGCTCCCGGTGCAGGCGCACGTCACCCCAGGCCGCCATCCGCGTCACCCCAGGCTACCATCTGTGTCACCCCAGGCCGCCATCCGCGTTACCCCAGGCCACCATCCGCCCGACAGGCGCGCATCACCCCAGGCCGCCATCCGCGTCACCCCAGGCCGCCATCCGCGTCACCCCAGGCCGCCATCTGCATCACCCCAGGCCGCCATCCACGTCACCCCAGGCCACCATCTGCCCGACAGGTGCGCGTCACCCCAGGCCGCCATCCACCAGACAGGTGCGCGTCACCCCAGGCCACCATCCGCGTCACCCCAGGCCACCATCCGCGTCACCCCAGGCCGCCATCCACGTCACCCCAGGCCACCATCTGCGTCACCCCAGGCCGCCATCCGCGTCACCCCAGGCCACCATCTGCGTCACCCCAGGCCGCCATCCACGTCACCCCAGGCCACCATCCGCCCGACAGGCGCGCGTCACCCCAGGCCGCCATCCACCAGACAGGTGCGTGTCACCCCAGGCCGCCCTCCGCCTGACAGGCGCGTGTCATCCCAGGCCACCATCCGTGTCACCCCAGGCCGCCCTCCGCCCGACAGGCGTGCGTCACCCCAGGCCGGTGCTCCCTGAATCAGCTTGTGGCAGCCCCCACACGGCATGCTGCCCAGAGGCCAGCTCAGACCGGGTCACACAGGACTCTAACCTGGCCACACATCACATAATGTTTATGACAACTTTATAAGGCTAATTTGTTCATAAGAATTACTTGCCGGGCACAGTGGTTCACACCTGTAATCTTAGCACTTTGGGAGGCTGAGGTAGGTGGATCATTAAAGGTCAGGAGTTCGAGACCAGCCTGGCCGACATGAAACTCCTGTCTCTACTAAAAATATAAGAAATTAGCCAGGTGTGGTGGCAGACGCCTGTAATCCCAGCTACTCGGGAGGCTGAAGTAGGAGAATCACTTGAATCTGGGAGGTAGAGGTTGCAGTGAGCTGAGATCGCGCCACTGCACTCCAGCCTGGGTGACAGCAAGACTCAGTCTCAAAAAAAAAAAAAAAAAAGAATTACTTAAGTACTTGAGAAGGTGTGTCCCGTTGGGTAAGAATGAGGGAAGTGCTTTAAAAGGAAAACAAATATATTGCATTTTAAAAATAAATTTTTAATTTTAGAATGGTTTTAGATTTACAGAATTATTGTAAAAATAGTAAAAGCTCCCATATCTCACAGGCCCAGTTTTCCCATTAACATCTCACCATTAATAAGCCGGTGCTGGCTGGGTGCGGTGGCTCACGCCTGTAATCCCAGCACTTTGGGAGGCTGAGGCAGGCGGATCACAAGGTCAGGAGTTCGAGACCAGCCTGACCAACATGGTGAAACCCCATCTCTACTAAAAATACACAAATTAGCCAGATGTGGTGGCAGGCACCTGTAATCCCAGCTACTCGGGAGGCTGAGGCAGGAGAATCACTTGAACCCGAGAGGCGGAGGTTGCAGTGAGCCGAGATCACGCCACTACACTCCAGCCTGGGTGACACAGTGATACTCTGTCTCAAAAAATAAAATAAAATAAACATAAAAAATAAAAAATAAATAAGCCAGTGCTGCCACACAGCTGCTGAGGCCTACACTTCCTTCGCTCTCCCCTGATGTCCTTCCCCCTGCCCCGCCCCCAACAATCTCTTCCTGGAAGCCACATGGCATCTACTCGTTCTGTCTCTTCAGGCTCCCCGAGGCTGGGACGGTTTCTCAGACTCTCCTTGTCTCTGATGACCTGGATGGTTTGGAGGAGGCCTGGTCAGGAATTCTGTGGAATGTTCCTTAGTGAGATGGTCGACTATGCCTCTGCATGGCCGGGCTGGGGTCGTCGGGGTTGGGAGGATGGGGCAGCAGCCTCCCCGTCGGCCACGCCATGAACATGACCAGTGCATGCTGACCTGACCACTGGGCTTGGGGGTGTCTGCGGGCACCTCGGCTGCAGCGTCCTCCTCCCACTGCCCTCTCCGTGCTGCACGCCCAGGAAGGAGGTCAGGTCACCACGCGCAGCGCACAGCGGTGCCGGGAGCTCACGCCAGCTCCTGGAATGGGGGGATCTACCTCATTTACTGAAAACCTTCTGCAGGGAAGGTTGGTCTTGTTCCCTCTGTTTATTTACTCAATCACTTATATCACTATGGGCTCGTGGATGTTTATTTTCTACTCTGGGTTATATTCTAATACTACTTTATTATTTTGTTGCTCTTTGGCCACTGGGAGGCTCTTTCACTGGGACGCAATCCCGTGACTGTGGGGTTTTGTTTACAGAGCTCCTCACTTTCTGGAACTGCCAGGATCAGCTGATCCTGGGCATTTCCTGCCCCGGTGCTGGAATCAGCCATTTCTCCTCAGAGCCCTGGCCCCGTGGACTGGAGGGCACTAGGAACCAGGATCTGGGCCTGGGTGTGCTCACTGCTGCAAGCATAGCTGGTTCTAGGCCCCCTCAGCTTGTACAGCAACAAGATCTGTGTGTATCCATTAACCACTGCGCACACACTGTTTAACCATCTTTGTCTCTTCTGGGCTAAACGTGCAATGGTAATCCACCATCACAGCGGCCACTCCAACCTCGTCCCTCTGATTACCCGGAGACTCCCCTCCTCCTCCCTCCGATTACCCAGAGACTCCCCTCCTCCTCCCTCCGATTACCCAGAGACTGCCCTCCTCCTCCCTCCGATTACCCAGAGACTGCCCTCCTCCTCCGAGTACCCAGAGACTCCCCCGGAGACTCCCCTCCTCCTCCCTCCGATTACCCAGAGACTCCCCTCCTCCTCCCTCCGATTACCCAGAGACTGCCCTCCTCCTCCCTCCGATTACCCAGAGACTCCCCTCCTCCTCCCTCCGATTACCCAGAGACTGCCCTCCTCCTCCTTCCGATTACCCAGAGACTCCTCTCCTCCTCCTTCCGATTACCCAGAGACTCCCCTCCTCCTCCCTCTGATTACCCAGAGACTGCCCTCCTCCTCCTTCCAATTACCCAGAGACTCCCCTCCTCCTCCTTCCGATTACCCAGAGACTCCCCTCCTCCTCCCTCCGATTACCCAGAGACTCCCCTCCTCCTCCCTCTGATTACCCAGAGACTGCCCTCCTCCTCCTTCCGATTACCCAGAGACTCCCCTCCTCCTCCTTCCGATTACCCAGAGACTCCCCTCCTCCTCCCTCCGATTACCCAGAGACTCCCCTCTTTCTCCGATTACCCAGAGACTCCCCTCCTCCCTCCGATTACCCAGAGACTCCCCTCCTTCTCCAATTATTCAGAGACTCCCCTCCATCTCAGAGACTCCCCTCCTCCGATTACCCAGACTCCCCTCCTCCGATTACCCAGAGACTCCCCTCCTCCAATTACCCAGAGACTCCCCTCCTCCTCCCTCTGATTACCCAGAGACTCCCCTCCTTCTCTGATTATCCAGAGACTCCCCTCCCACAGCCATCATACACACCACAGTGACAGAGCTGCCAGTCAGCACCTCTGTGCAGCAAAACTTTATCGACTAGAGCAGCGTCTGTGCCATTCCTTTTGCCTCTGGCCTTATAGACACTGCTCATTTCCAAAGTTACTCAGCACCTTCCTCTGAACACCCTTCAGGAAGGTCACGGAATGCATCTGCAGTAGTTAAGATTCTTGTCAGTCGGCCTTCCCCGCCGGGACCCCCATCTCCTCAATGAATGTTTAAAATCTGCACACGGTCTGCTCGTGTTGTCCAGTTCTACAGGTTCGGACAAACGCAGTGTCATGTACCAACCAGGATGGTGCCACACAGAGTGGCCTCACTGCCATACGAATGCTGCATTCTACTATCCACTCTCCCCTTTCCCCGGGAAACAACTGATGTTTTCACTACCACATCATATTGCCTCTTCCAGAAGGTCATCGAGCTGAAATCACAGTGCGCGGCCTTCTCAACTGGCTCCTCTCACTTAGGAATGTGTATTTATAGAAACATGTATTTAAGGTTCCTCCCGGTCGCAGTGGCTTAATGCTCATTACTATCTTTTAGAGATGGGGTCTCACCCTGTTGCCCAGGCTGCAGTGCAGTGGCTCAATCACAGCTCGCTGCAACCTCTGCCTTCCGGGCTTGAGATCCCACTCAGCCTCTTGACAGGTGGGACCATGTGTGTGTGCTGTGACACTCGGCTAAGTTTTTTAGTTTGGTAGAGATGGGGTCTCAGTATGTTGCCCAGGCTGGTCTTGAACTCCTGGGCTCAAGCGATCCTCCTGCCTCAGCCTCCCAAACTGCTGGGATTATAAGCGTGAGCCACCATGCCTGGCCTGCATGCAGGTTTTTATGTGGACATAAGTTTTCAATTCAGTTGGATAAATATTCAGGAGCAAAACTGCTAGATTGCATGGTAAGAATCTATCTATCTATCTATATCTATATCTATATTTTTTGAGACAGAGTCTCGCACTGTTGCCCGGGCTGGAGTGCAATGTTGCGATCTCGGCTCACTGCAACCTCCGCCTCCTGGCCTCCCGAGTAGCTGGGATTATAGGTGCCTGCCACCATGCCAGGCTAATTTTTTGCATTTTTAGTAGAGACGGGGTTTCACTATGTTGGCTAGGCTTGTCTTGATCTCCTGACCTCGTGATCCACCTGCCTCAGCCTCCCAAAGTGCTGGGATGACAGGCGTGAACCACCACGTCCAGCCCAAGAATATATTTATATTTAGTTCTGTGAGAGTCTGTGAAACTGTCTTCTAAAGCGGCTTTAGCCTTTTGTATTCCCACCAGCAATGGGTGAGAGTTCCTGGAAGCGTTGGTACTGTCGGTTTTTAAGGTTTTAGCTGCTCCGTCGGGTATGCAGTGGCGTCTCCCTGTTTCCAGTTCCTGAAGGACAAATGATGCTGGGTATCCTCCCACCGCAATCTCCCGTCTGAATAACTTCCCTGGTGAACATCTGCTTAGACCTTTCACCCAGGTTTTGCTTTGTTTTGAGACAAAGTTTTGCCTTTGTCACCCAGGCTGGAGTGCAGTGGCCCCATCTCGGCTCACTGCAACCTCTGCCTCCTGGGTTCAAGTGATTCTCCTGCCTTAGCCTTCCGAGTGGGTGTCACCCAGGTTTGTGTTTGAAAGAGAGGGTCTTGCTCTGTTGCCTAGGCTGGAGTGCAGTGGTGTGATCTTGGCTCACTGCAGCCTTGACCTCCCGGGCTCAAGGGATCCTCCCACCTCAGACTCCTGAGTAGCTGGAACTGCAGGTGTGCACCACCACGCCTGGCTAATTTTTGTATTTTTTGTAGAGACGGGGTTTTGCCATGTGACACGGTTTCGCTGTGTCCCCACCCAAATCTCATCTTGAATTGTAATCCCCACGTGTGGAGGGAGGGAAGTGACTGGGTTATGGGGGCGGTTCCCCCATGCTGTTCTCATGTAGTGAGGGAGTCTCACGAGAGCTGATGGTTTTAGAAGCGGCAGTTTTGGCCGTGCGCGGTGGCTCACACCTGTAATCTCAGCACTTTGGGAGGCCGAGGTGGGCGGATCACTTGAGGCCAGGAGTTTCAGACCAACCTGGCCAACATGGTGAAACCTCGTCTCTATTAAAAAATACAAAAATTAGCCAGGCGAGGTGGCGCATGCCTGTAGTCCCAGCTACTCGGGAGGCTGAAGCAGGAGAATCGCTTGAACCCAGGAAGCGGAGGTTGCAGTGAGCCCCAAGATCATGCCACTGCACTCCAGCCTGGGCAACAGAGCAATACTCTGTCTCAAAAAAAAAAAAAAAAAAAAAAGAGTGGCAGTTTTTCCTGTGCCCGTTCTCAGTCTCTCCTGCCGCCTTTGTGAGGAAGGTGCCTGCTTCCCCTTTTGCCTTCCACAGTGATTGTACGTTTCCTGAGGCCTCCCCAGCAATTCGGAACTGTGAGTCGATGAACCTCTTTCTTTTGTAAATTACCCAGTCTTGGGTATTTCTTTATAGCAGTATGAAAACAGACTAATAGACCATGTTACACAGGCTGGTCTGGAATTCTTGGCCTCAAGCAATCCTTCTGCCTCAACCTCCCAAAGTGCTGGGATTACAAGTGTGAGCCACCCTGCCCAGCCTGTTTTTCTTCTTCTTGAGCTTTAAGAGTTCTTTGCATATTTTGAATACAAGTACTTTATCAGATAGGTGTTTTGTAAACATTTTCAACAGCTTGTGGCTCACCTTTTCGTTCCCTTAACAGTGTCTTTTACAAAGCAGAAATTTTAATTTTTTCAAGGTCTCACTCTGTCGCCTAGGCTGGAGTGCAGTGGTGCTACCATAGCTCACTGCAGCCTAGACCTCCTGGGTTCAAGCAATCCTCTCGCCTCGGTCTCCTGAGTACCTGGAACCACAGGCATGTACTACCACAATTAGCCAATTTATCTTTTCCTAATTTTTAGTAGAGATGGGGGGGGGGTGGTCCTCACTATGTTGCCCAGGCTGGTCTCAAACTTGTGACCTCAAGCAATCCTCCTAGATTGGCCTTCCAAAGTGCTAGGATTAAGGGCATGAACCACCACACCCAGCAGACAATTTTAATTGTAATGAAGTCCAATTGATCAAGTTTTTATTTTCATGGATTGTGCTACTGGTATTTTATTATCACCAAACCCAAGGTCACTATACTTTCTCCTGTGATTTCTCCAAGATGTTTTATAATTGTGGCTGAGCATGATAGCTCAGATGTTTTATAATTATGCCTGGGCATGATAGCTCACATCTGTAATCCCAGCAGTTTGGGAGGCCAAAGCAGGGGTTTGAGACCAGCCTGGGCAACACAGTGAGACTTTATCTCTACAAAAAATTTTAAAAAGTAGCTGGGTGTGGTGGTGCACACCGGTAGTCCTAGCTCCTTGGGAGGCTGAGGCAGGAGGATTGCTGGAGGCCAGGAGTTGGAGGCTACAGTGAGCTGTGACTGCGCCACTGCACTCCAGTGTGGGTGACAGAGCAAGACCCTGTCTCAAAAACAAAAAGAGAAGTTTTATAGCTTCTCATTTCACATTTAGGCTTATCTAGAATCCATTTAGAATTAGGTTTTGTGAGAAGTGTCAGGTCTGTGTCTAGATTTGCACGTGGATGTTCTGTTGCTCTAGCGCCAGTGTTGAAAAGGCCATCCCTTCGCCATGGACTTGCCTTTGTTCCTTTGTCAAGGATCGGCTGCCTGCAGTCGTGCGCGCCTGTTTCTGGGCTCGGTATTTCGGTGCATTTTTGACAGGAAGTCTTGAAATTGTGTAGTTTCTGTGTCCAACTTTGTTATTCTTCAGCACTGTGAGTATATTTATATGCATTATGTTTTATATGTATTACAAGTAAGGATATTTATATTTTAAGTGTATTACATTTATATATGTTACATGTATTTTATTGAGTAAAATGTGTGAAGAGGTTTAATTTACTAAGTTTAAAATGGGATAAAAATGTAATGGACTGGTGAGGAAAGCTGGACTCTCCCCCAGGGTCACCCCCATACAGGCAGATCAGTGAACGGTGCCGTGTCCACGCAACGGAAGCTCCCCAGTGAGCCCACCGGCAGGCACAGCAAGGATGCCGCGAAGCTGCCCTCCAGCGGGAGAGGCCAGGCCGGAGGAGCAACTGCGTTCACAGGAAGCCGGGGCCGGCAGCACAGACCCTGCTCTCACCCAGGCAGATGCACTGGCACTGCCCGAGCCGGGGTGAGGCACTCTGAGCGCAGGGGAGATGCCTCCGCACTGCCCGAGCCGGGGTGAGGCACTCTGAGCGCAGGGAACAGTGAACACTTTCGCACCCCCATGCAGTGGTGGGCACACGGGGCTCTGAGTCTGTTAAAACTCATCAGCCGTACGCGTGAATCAGACACAGATTATAGTAAATTATAGGTCAATAACGTTGACTCAAGAAAAGCAAAACGGGGCCGGGCGCAGTGGCTCACGCCTGTAATCCTAGCAATTTGGGAGGCTGAGGCGGGTGTACTGTCTGTGCTCAGGAGTTCAAAACCAGCCTGGGCAACATGGTGAAACCTGTCTCTACCAAAATATAAAAAAATTAGTGGGGCGTGGCGGTGCACGGCTATAGTCCCAGCTACCACAGAGGATGAGGCACAAGAACTGATTGAACCTGGGAGGTGAAGGTTGCAGTGGGCCATCACGCCACTGCACTCCAGCCTGGGCAACAGAGCACGACCCTGTCTCCAAAAAAAGAAAAAAAAAAGAAAAAGAAAATCATCCCCTAAGGTGGGGAACCTGTTAGATCCATAAAAAGAACAATGACAGCAAGCTGAATAAAGACACACTAGTTTTATAACTTTTTAACTTTAATAACATAAATATTAATTTTTAAAAATAAGGCTGGCCAGGCATGGTGGCTCATGCCTGTAATCCCAGCACTTTGGGAGGCTGAGGCGGGCGGATCACGAAGTCAGGAGATCGAGACCATCCTGGCTAACACGGTGAAACCCCGTCTCTACTAAAAATACAAAAAATTAACCGGGCATGGTGGCGGGCACCTGTAGTCCCAGCTACTCGGGAGGCTGAGGCAGGAGAATGGCGGGAACCCGGGAGGTGGAGCCTGCAGCGAACCAGGATTGTGCCACTGCACTCCAGCCTGGACAACAGAGCGAGAGTCTGTCTGAAAACAAAAAAATAAGGCTGGGAGCTGCAGTGGCTCAGGCTGTTTGTTCTGGCGCTTGGGGAGGCGAGGCTACACGTTCGAGGCCAACCTGGTCAACATTGACCAAAAAAAAAAAAAAAATTCCAACCTGGCTAACACGGTGAAACCCCGTCTCCACTAAAAATACAAAAACTGTCTGGGCATGGTGGTGGGCCCTGTATTCCCAGCTACTCGGGAGGCTGAGGCAGGAGAATGGCGTGAACCCGGGAGACGGAGCTTGCGGTGAGCCGAGATCACACCACTGCACTCCAGCCTGGGGTACAGAGCGAGACTCCATCTCAAAAAAAAATAAAATAAATAAAAAATAAAATTAAGCCTAATTTCTAGAAGGTATTTTCTTTTCTTTTCTTTTTTTTTTTTTGAGACGGAGTCTCGCTTTTTCGGCAGGTGGAGTGCAGTAGTGCGATCTCAGCTCACTGCAAGCTCTACCTCCTAGGTTCATGCGATTGTCCTGCCTCAGCCTCCCGAGTAGCTGGGACTACAGGCATGAGCCACCGCGCCCGGCTAATTTTTGTATTTTTAGTAGAGACAGGATTTCACCATGTTGGTTAGGTTGGTCTCGATCTCTTGACCTCGTGATCTGCCCGCCTCAGCCTCCCAAAGTGCTGGGATGACAGGCGTGAGCCACCGCGCCTGGCCTAGAAGGTATTTTCTATATAAGAAAATCTACCCTTGAGGACATCAGATAATTCTAGTATTAAAAGTAAACCAGCCCCCACAGCCTTCTGGACACCCTGTGTGGGGACACCCTGTGTGTGGGCACCCTGTGTGCGGACACCCTCTGTGTGGACACCCTGCGTAGGGGCAGGTAGGGTGGCTGCCCAGGAGCTGGGCTTCTGGTGTGCAGCAGTGCGGGTCCAGGCCATGAGAATGGACTCAGGACAGGTGCACCACGGCAATTTCACTGGAAGGAGCCACAGAGCCACGGTCAGTGCCAGGGTGACCTGGGGCAGCCGAGCCTTCCAGGAAGGAGCCCAGAGCAGGTTCTAGGTGCCAGCAGCAGAGAAGGACAGGTGGCTTCTTTTGTGCCCTCAAAGAGGGTGAGGGGGAAAGAGAATGTGAGTTGGGAGCGCGTTTAGTGTCCCCAGAACAGAACCTCAGAGAAGAGTGCCCAGGGCCCCGTGAATTCCCGTCTCCTGGCCCCTCTCAATGAACACACGCAGGGGCTCCCTGCTGGAGAGGACAGGATGGCAGAACCCAGCCTCTCACGTCGGGGGCCACTCAGGAGAGGCCAGTGCTGGGTGAAGTGGGGGACGTGCCCACCACTGCTGCCCCCTCAGGGGTCTAAGCTCCTGGCCCCTCTGGGTCTGGGTCACCTAGTGCTTCCCATAGGAACCAGGCCTGGGAGGGCAGGGCCTGGCTTGGGGTGGTGAGGCTTTGTGATGCGCCTGGTGGGGGCCTGGTGAATGCTTTCGGGGAGTGCTCCCAAGACACCCCCTGCACTCCTGCTCTTGACAATTCTTGCCATGTGGGACACTTGAGGTGAGACCCGGTCCTGCTTCCTAATCCACCTACCCTGCTGTGCCCGGCAGATGCCACAGACCCTCCTAGCCAGGTGCTGATGGATGAATTCAAGAAAGACCAAGTCCTCCTTGAAAGCTCCCTCTAGGCACACACGGGGCTCCTGCCCACTGCCTCACTGCCTCCAGAGCCACAGGTCCAGCGTCCCCAGGTGGCCCCTCCACAGGGGCCCCAGGCACGGCACATGCTCCCTCATCTATTTCTGGAGCCTAGTTACACAGTGCACACCGGGCCTGCAGGTTCTGCACGTGACCCCCGCTGGGACTGCCTAAGAAAGGGAGAAGGAGCGAGCTGGGCCTGGAGCACGGGAGGCACTGGCCAGGCCAGGCCTGGGAGCAAGCTGGCACCTCAGGCTCAGAAAAAGGGGGAAGGGCCAGCAAAGCTGACTGGGAGAGGGATGACAGCAAGGTGGGAGAGAACCCACAGAGCATGCAGCCAGGAGCAGGGTAGGGAGACCAGGACAGGAGAGGCCACCTGCGCCTCCCAGGTGAGGATGGAGGGTGAGCTCATCTGGGGAGCAGGCTGCAGAGTCCTGGGTCCAGGCACCTCAACAGTAATTTCTAACCAGAAATGCCCCACTGCCCCCAGGGAGATGGACTCAGTTATGAGGTCTGCTGTGCGTGATTCTAAAGCATCCGCTCCCCTACAGACAGGGCACTGGGCATGCTTGTGTTCTAGAGCCCACAGGGCTGGTGTCAAATCAGTGGGCAAACAGGGCCACCAACGCCCGTGCAAGCGTGATGACGTTCACACCATGCCCACCCATCACCCCACCCAACAGTCACGAAGATAGCGAGACTCTTGCTTTACAAAATGAAGTGCTGGCCCAAGAGCTGTAGGGACAGCTAAGTCCTACAAACCCCAGGGCTCCCGCCAACCAGAGCCAACTTGTGGCCCCGACACCAACAGGCCTCCAATGCCTCCTTCCACCTCTGTCCCCATCCTGCTGCTGGTCTCAGACCCTGCTCCGGCTTCCTCCCACCATCCCGCCGGAGCAAGTGGGGCCAGGCCCTGATGGTGTCAGCAGCCTTGCTGGGCAGGAGGCAGCCCTGGGCAGACACACCCTGTGCGCGCGTCGGAAGAGCAACGCGAGAGGAGAGTCAGGCACAGAAAACTCAAGACTGATTCACAGGCTCTAAAACCAGCTTCTCTTCCACACGCACTTCTGAGACTGGCGTCAGAATCCATGGAATTCAGGCAGAGGACACACCCAAGGTCTAGCCTGCCTGCCTGTGGAGATAAACCTGAGAAGACGAGTTTACTCGCTTGGCTGCTGACCAGATGGTCTGCGGTCCGTGTCGGCCCCTGTCCGTGCAAGAGCCCCGCTGGCTAACGGAACCAGCACGCGGCCACCGCAGGAACCTCACCCCCGGAGACGCCCAAACTCAAGGGCTCAGCCCTGTAGCTGCTGCAGCTCGTTCCAACCTCAACATGCAAAACTCAGAGGAAACGCAGCACAGGCTGCCGGTCACGTGGAGATGACACAGACTCCTGGCTCCCAGTGACAGGCGACGGGGGCTGACCGGGAACGCCACGCAGCACCAAGGGCAGCCCTGGAGTCTGCACATCAGACACACTCAAGGGAGAGGCCGGCGGCCCCACGCAGCCCTCTGGTGAAGGCCTTCTGAGCCCCCGGCAGCCCGAGCAGTAAGGGTGCCACACCCACCACACGGGGCACAGGGCAGTTTCAGAAGGCAGGACAAGAGGGCAGCTTACCTCTTGGTGTTGTAGGCCGTGTCCTGAGGTGTTTCCTCCAGCAGCGTCACATAGCCAAGCGTACAGGTGAGGATGAAGAGCACGGTTAAGGTGTGGGCTCGCCTGAAATCCAAAAACGCATAAGCATGGTGTCAGAGCTTGGGCAGCATTGCTAAATACTCACGTAACAGGCCCCAAATCCTCTCTACGTCAAGGAGAGGGCTTAAACTCCACTCTCCAACTCCCAACCAGCAACTGGCTGCGAGTCCCTAGCTGGGTAACTCCGAGATGACCCTGCGTCTGCTGGCCAGTCAGGGCTGAGACCAGCCCCCAGGAGGCTGGACAGGAAGAGCCCCGTGTTCCTGGGAAGCTGAAGGCCGCTGCTCAGAGGGCACATGCTGCCACTGGCGTCCAGGGCAGGTATCTGCTATTAAGAGCAACTGGACACGTAAAACACGCGCTTTTCACTGCGCAAGACAAGCCGAGACAACAACTCTTTGGGTTCATGAAATAACATCTGAGATTCAGTGCAGCAGCCCAAGACACCAAGAGCTGAGAAGGGGCCTGAGCAGAGGCCTGCAGAGTGACCGCTGCTAGCTGGAGTGAGCCACGAGCCGTGGGTCTGCCCGTCCTCTGGCCTGTCAGAGCCCAGACGTGGGAGGAGGAGGCAGGGCGCTCCCTTTGCAGTCTTGTCCTGTCCCATCGCTGGTGGAAAAGCCCACAACCAGCCTAGTATCAGAACTGGGGGCCACCAGACCCCAGCCACTGCCTGTGCCAGACACTCGCCTGAGACCCCCTCTGCATGACCATCTGCAAATGGAGGCAGAGACCTAGTTCCTACATCCATCGGAGTGTGTCCTCGGAGAGATGATGCACCCCTCTGTGCCTCAGTTTCCTCATGTCTAACCCAGGTCCTACATCCACCAGAGTGTGTCCTCACGTCTAACCCAGGTCCTACATCCACCGGAGTGTGTCCTCACGTCTAACCCAGGTCCGACATCCACCGGAGTGTGTCCTCACGTCTAACCCAGGTCCGACATCCACCGGAGTGTGTCCTCACGTCTAACCCAGGTCCGACATCCACCGGAGTGTGTCCTCACGTCTAACCCAGGTCCGACATCCACCGGAGTGTGTCCTCACGTCTAACCCAGGTCCGACATCCACCGGAGTGTGTCCTCACGTCTAACCCAGGTCCGACATCCACCGGAGTGTCCCCTCACGTCTAACCCAGGTCCTACATTCACCGGAGTGTGTCCTCACGTCTAACCCAGGTCCTACATCCACTGGAGTGTGTCCTTGGAGAGATGATGCACCCCTCCGTGCCTCAGTTTCCTCATATCTAAATGGGGAAGCTTCTGACTTCCAAGGACATCATGAAAATTAAGTGAACAATGCACTTAAAGCATGTTGCCCAGGACTTGCCTCCATGAAATGTAAACTATTTGTGCCCTAAAGAAATGAAAAGGCAAGTCACAAACTGGGAGAAAATATTCACAATACATATATCTGATAAAACTTTGTAGGCTGCACGCGTCTGTAGTCCCAACGCTTTGGGAGGCTGAGACAAGAGGATTGCTTGAGCCCAGGCGTTCAGGACCAGACTGGGTAACACAGTGAGACCCCATCTCTATAAAAAATTAGCCAGGCGTGGTGGCAGGCACCTGTAGTCCCAGCTACTCGGGAGGTGGCAGATTCGCTTAAGCCCAGGTTGAGGCTGCAGTGCGCTAGGATGATTGTGCCACTGCACTCTAGCCTGGGAGACAGAGCAAGATCTGTCTCAAAAAAAAAAAAAAAAAAAAAAATCAGGCCAGGCGCGGTGGCTCACGCCTATAATCCCAGCACTTTGGGAGGCCGAGGCGGGCGGATCACGAGGTCAGGAGATCGAGACCATCCTGGCTAACACGGTGAAACCCCATCTCTACTAAAAATACAAAAAATTAGCCGGGTGTGGTGGGTGGGCGCCTGTAGTCCCAGCTACTCGGGAGGCTGAGGCAGGAGAATGGCGTGAACCCGGGAGGCGGAGCCTGCAGTGAGCCGAGATCGCGCCACTGCACTCCAGCCTGGGCGACAGAGCGAGACTCAATCTCAAAAAAAAAAAAGAAAAAAAATACTTTTTATCCAGAATTTATAAAGAACTCATACAGCTCAATAAACAATTTAATGAAAAAATAGGCAAAAAATTGAACAGACACTTCACAAGGAAAACATACAAATGGCCAATAAGCACATGAACAAACGAGGAGCAGCACTGGTCACCGTGAAAGCAAATCCAAGCCAGGACACATCAGTACACATCCGCTGGAACGGCTGAAATTAAAAGCATCACAAATCCAAGCCACGACACAGCATCAGTGCACATCTGCTGGAACGGCTGAAATTAAGAACATCACAATGCAGAGTGCTGGTGAGGTCTCGGAGCAAGATGCTCACGCACTGCAGGTGGGACTGCAAAACGGCACAGAAAAGTGAGGCCTATGCTACGTCTGCTATCCAGCCAGCCACATACTCCCAAACGTGGGCCTGAGACAGATGAAAACACAGGTCCAGTCAAAGACACACTCCCAAACGTGGGCCTGAGACAGATGAAAACACAGGTCCAGTCAAAGACTTACATGCAGATGTTTCAGGTATAATAACCTAAAACGGGAAACAAACCAAAACTCTATCAGTGGAGGAAACACTGTGGTCCCTCCGACCAGCGGAGCATGGCTCAGCACTCAGAGGAATGTGCTGCTGGCAACGACCTCAACGTGGATAGATCTCAAAGACACGCCCCTTGGGAGGCCCAGGCAGGAGGACTGTTTTGGGCCAGGAGCTCAAGACCAGCCGGGGCAACATCATGAACATCGTGAGATCCCGTCTCAAAAGATAAAAAAAGAAAAAGAAAAACACGCTACAGACGCCAGGCACAAAAGAAACCTCCCATCTGCTGTCACCCACACACGACTCAAGGAAATGAGTTTGCATCCACGAAAAGCAGACTGGAGCGGAGACACGGGCCTTCCGGATGATGGAATGTTCTGGTGTGAGCGTGGTTGTGGCGGTGCATGGGCGTGTCACCTGCACGTGGGTGCTGCACTGAACGCACCCACACCTGGACTTAGCCGATTTCATGAAGAGCCAGGGTGGAGCTGCAGGACTGCAGGTGGAGGCTCCAGGCTGGAACTTTCTGTATTTTTTGTGCAGATGGGGTCTTGCCATGTGGGTCAGGTTGGATTTTTTTGTATTTTTTGTAGAGACGGGGTCTTGCCATGTTTTCCAGGCTGGTCTCAAACTCATGAACTCAAGGGATCTGCCCACCTTGGCCTCCCAAAGTGTTGGGATTACAGGCATGAAAGTGAATTCTTCTGCCATATTTTACAATACTAGGCATTTAAGACAACCAGAGGTAAATAAAAGTTTCATTGTGACTATCAACCACCTTTTTCTTTAGATACATTTGCATTTGAGTCCTAAGCCATGAGGAAACCGCAGGGAACCTCAGCCTTCCTGCTGAGCTCCACACCGTGGGGCCCTTCAGTACTGAGAGACCTGCCCACAATCACAGCAGAGAACCCACGTCAGAAGGCCCTCTTAGGCCCCCATTCCTAAGGGTGCCTGGATTCGGCGACCCAGAAACTCACCCTCTGCTGAACACTACACTTACAGAACGTGTCCTCCTGGAGACAGCCCTTGAGGGGAAACGGGCTGGGCTCAGCTGGGGCCCAGGAGTCCCCTTGTCCCTGGCCTGCCCCTCCATGAGGCCCACCCTTTCCTCCATACAGGTGACATCAGATTTCGGTGAGGAGAGTAAGATGACCCCGGTTAGGATAAGAAGAGTCAGGAGTGTTTGGGGGCAGGTACCGTGGCTCACACCTGTAATTCCAGAGCTTTGGGAGGCTGAGGCAGGAGGATCACTTGAGCCCAGGAGTTGGAGACCAGCTCGGGAAACATAGTGAGACCCTATTTCTACCAAAAAAAAAAAAAAATTAACTGGATGTGGTGGCGCATGTCTGGTCCCAGCTACTTGGGAAGAGGGAGGGTGAGGGGAGATTACTTCGGCCCAGGAGTCGGGGACCGCAGTAAGCTGAGATCACATCCCTGCACTCCAGCCTGGGTGACAGAGTGAGATTCTGTCTCAAAAAAAAAAAAAAAAAAAAGAATGAAAGAAAACAGAAAGAAAGAAAAACCAAAACAACAAGCAGGTTTAGATCGCAAAGCCAACGACGTGATGACAGCCAGGAGCGCGGTGGCTCTGGCTGTGTCCGTGCCCCGGGCCAGGGCACCTTCATGCCGTGTGCGTGGTGCCCGCAGGCAAGTCAGGGCCGGTAAGTGACACTGTGAAGGTCATGCAGCAAGGCGGGGGGTGGGGCCCGGAGCCTCCTGGACACTGGGCCATCACAGCCATTCCCTGAGCCCCCGCCCCAGCCACACCCGGGAGAAGACACAGCCTGCGTTCCTGAGCCTTCCTTCCAGTGGAGTGAGACCAATACAGGAGAGCTAAGAAACCCTACACGTTATAGAGAAAAACAAAAGAGGGATGGGAGTGGTTAGGGAGGTTAAAACAACTATTTTTGTTGCAAAGCCAGGTCCCAGTAAAACCACGCCAGGAGGGCTCGTGGCCTGGGAGGCATCTCCGGAGACCATAGCAAGAAGGGAGCGCGAGGAGCAAGCACTCTCGGGCTCAGCCTCCATCCCCAGCAGTTCTGAGAAACAGCAGGGACCTCTCCAAAGGGTGCACATGTCTGAAGTGACCTTTGGAGGAGCCAGGGACAGTCTCATCCTGGGGCTTCCTGACGAGGTCACCTTGTAGGAGGAACAAGGTCAAGGGGCTCCAGACACCCAGAACCCCGCCAAGGGCCCACAGCACAGACAGACAGGGTGTGGTGTGCACGGGAGCAGGACTCTGCCTGGCTGGAGTGCAGATGCCGGGACAGGAGCCTGCTGTGAGGGAGGCCTCCAGTGGGGAAGCTAACAGGGCCTCCACAGGACCCTGTCTTGGAACCACACGGCCACCCCACGTGAGGGGTTCTCACTCTGGGCAGTAATGTCTCTAAGAAAAGAGGGGTGAAGGAGCCCCAGCCTAAGGGAGGCTAACCGTGGAAGAGACAACAGCCCATCAACCTGCTCACATGCAGAATGGGAGACCCAGAAGCTAGATCAACGTGAGGACACCACTCAACCCTGTTCTGCAAGAGACCAGCAGGAAACCCCTCGTCATCTCCATGTGGGCTCAGGAAGAAGATGGAAACGACCAGGCCTCAGGGACACCCAGAATGCCACCACTCCACACACAGGCCCACTGGAGGAGGAGGCTGCACTCGGCCCCACCCTGACCCTCGGACGTGCCTGCAACCCAGTCAGCATCTCCCAGATACAGCACAGGCTCCCATTCACATGCAGAATCCCAGGAATAAACGCAAAGCTCAAGGGATGGGGTGAGCAGCCTGTGTCCCACCAGCACCAAGTTCCACAGCACACAAAGACAGGATCACACACTAACACAAGTTAAAATTGAAACTTGACTTCTTTTTTTCTTTTTGAGATGGAGTCTTGCTCTGTCACCCAGGCTGGAGGACACTGGCGCGATCTCTGCCTCCCAGGTTCAAGCGATTCTCCTGCCTCAGCCTCCCAAGCAGCTGGGATTACAGGCGCCCGCCACCACACCCAGCTAATTTTTGTATTTTTAGTAGAGACCGGGTTTCACCATATTGGCCAGGCTGGTCTTAAACTCCTGACCTCGTGATCCACCTGCCTCGGCCTCCCAAAGTGCTGGGATTACAGGCGTAAAACTTGACTCCTTTAATACGACTTTCCACGACAGAGACCTTCCTGTGGTTTCTAAAGTGGCCACCAACCCAACACTCACTCCTTGTGTAGCCCAGGGAAACGCTGATCATTGATCAACCCTAACCCAACACCATCTTTCCATTTCCCCAAAACACAGAGATTACCTGAAATATAAAGGTAACCCTTCGCCCCTTCAGGTAAATGTGCACACTGTCATTGAGGTGGCCACCGAGTGCCCAGCACCCTCCTGGCCCTGGGGAAGCAGAAATGGGAATGAAGAGGACCCAACAGGAAGGGAGGCAGAGGGTAAGGGACCCAGAGAAAGGGCACCAGGCACAGCAGCCCTGCAGGAGGACACATCTCAGAGCTGCTCAAATCCAACGCTCCTGGAAAGTAAGGTCCGTATTAGTGAGCTCCAGTCCTTGTCCTACACGCAGCACGACGTCTACACATCTTGGAAGTGACAGAGTGCCGCTCAAGATAGCATGAGACTCTCAAGGGAAGAATTCCGTGTCCCTCCCAGGACGCCAGGTCTGTTCAATGGCTCCTCCCACCCGCCTGCAGACTCTGCAGGACGGTGTATGTCCTGTGATCAGACACAGAACAGAGCTGTGATCAATCCTGGCAATTCAGCCACTTCACTAGGGTGAGGGCGTGAAGACAGCTGGCTCCCTGCCATGGGGAGTGGAAAAGACCCAGCTGCCTCCTTGGAGATGGTCACTCTCATGTCCACTCTCATGGTGGGCAGGGAGGCCGAGACCAAGAGGAAAACGCGGCGTCGTCGTCCAAAGGGCCAAGGAAAGGCCACGCCTGGATGGGCAGCCCAAGGCCTGCGAGAGGCTCCTGGACCGGGCACTGGCCCTTCTGGCTCTGACCAGCAAGACCAGAAAGACTTCATCTGGCTACTCGCGCCTCCCAGGTGTAGGCAAAGCTGGGAAAGCCCCGATCCAGGATGATGGAGAAAGGCATCTTCCAGAAACCTGGGGTATCTGAAGGTCAGAGGTCACCTCACACATAAAGTCCTCAGGTCACTGAGAAGGCTCATTTGAGGCACCCCATTCCAAGACACAAGCATACAATAAAAACTCTCAGAACATCACAGTGGCCCCCAGCTCGGGAACTGGTTAGCAAGTGTGGTCATCCGAAGCTGCTTCAGCGTCTCCCACAGACAGGCGGCAACGTTCACAGGCACCTCGCCAGGGTAAGGGGTCCCCAAGTGTTCTCCCAAACAATTTCCAGACCGCATGAGCTGCCACATCTTCGCACAGGGCTTCTCGGAGTCTGTGGATCTAAACGTTTTCCTCTGGATGTTCCCCATAATTGTCCTTGCTACCCTGAATGAATCCAGAGAAGGAGAGCTCAGCCTCGTGCTCCCAGGGCCAGTCAAGCCCTGAATCGAACCGCACGCCCTATCCCTATGGCTGACAAGCAGTCACAGAGAAACAAAATTCACACATGGCCGCCGTCACTGGCCCGAGGAAGTGCACCCATCCTTGAAAATGAACGCCCTGGCTGGATGTGGTGGTGCATGCCTGTAATCTCAGCAATCTGGGAGGCTGAGGCGGAAGGATCACTTGAGGCCAGGAGTTGAAGACCAGCCTGGGCAACACAGGGGGACCCTCTATTAAAAATAAATAAATAAATAAAAATGAATAAAAAATAAAAAGTAAAACTCTCTAAAACACAAAATTAGAGTTAAAAAAATGCCAGCACAGCAAGTCAGTGCAGGTGGACTCAGGAGGTCAGTGTGAGGCTCTGCAGGTAATGAATTCTCACCAGGCAGGCATTGAGTTACCTGCCACCCAGAAGCGTGAAGCTCCTTCCTCTGCACAGGGAAGGGAGGAGGCACAGCAAGAACCTGCCCCATGCGTCTCTACAGGGACAGGGTCGAGGGGAAAGCCAGAGCCAGAGCCACCCACCCAGAAGACCCAGGAAGGAGGTACCTGGACCAGCCAGCCCCGCTGCACCCGCTCCTGGAGAGCCCTCCTGACCCCCTTGGCCTCCTGACAGGCAAGCTCTGCTGCGCCCAGCCGTCTGTGTCCCAAACACCCCTTGTGGGCAGGGACCACTGGTCTGGGCTTCTAAAGAGACCGGCCCCCTCCTACCTTTGGGCTGCTGCTCCTGCTTCCCTGGTACTGGGTGGGCTGCGCAGGCTTGCATGTGCCCCCTGGCTCCTGCCACACTCAGCACCCAGCCAGCACATTTTGAGCCTTCTGAAGTTCCATGCCTGCACCAGAATCTAAGCTTCTTGTTTAGTTCTCTGCTATGTCCCGTAGAACGGTAACTGACAGGCAGTAGGGGTCCCCACAATGTGCTGAACGGCCAAATGAGAAACAAGAAGAGCCAGTCTGGTCTCCTCGCTCCGGGACCTCAGAGGAGCCCGTCTGTTCTCCTTGCTCCGGGATGTCAGAGGAGCCCGTCTGGTCTTCTTGCTCCGGGACCTCAGAAGAGCCAGTCTGGTCTCCTTGCTCCAGGACCTCAGAGACTCCGGTGGTCCCCAGCTGTGCTGCGGGAGGACAGCCTGAAGGGGTGTGGCAGGGCACCTGATGGAGAGGCCTGATGTCCACAGGGCCCGGAAGCCAGAGGGTCCACGTGGCAGGCACCCCATCTCCTCTCCCTCCCGAGGGCCCCGCAGCCACCCGGTACACTCATCTCCCCAAAGGAGAGCTCGGATGCCCTCCCTGCAACAGCAGCTGCCCACACCTCACGGAAGACCCTGCGTGGGGCCTCCTCCACCCTAACCTGCTTTCCCACCACTTGGACAGTCTCTCTCCAGAGCTTCGGCTGCGGTGACAGGCCAGGACCGGTTAAGTCCCTGTCTGTGGTGGCGCCTTCCCCTGACAAGTCCCTTACTCCTCCATCAGGCCCTCCTCGCCCCTCAGATTTGCTCTCCGACCATCCCACAGCATGGTTCTCTTGGAAGCGTCCATAAAGCCTTCCTTCCACTGCTGGCCGCAGGCGCCTGTCTCCCACACGTTTTCCTGGGGCTGACCCCACCTCTACTGCCCCTGTGCCCCCGGGCCTTCCACAGGATGGGAACTGGGCACCTTGCAGTCAAGAAGAGCCAAACCCTCCTCTCACGAAGCCTGCTTTCAGGTCGACGGCTTGATCCTTCTCACAGAGGAGCATCGGCAAAGGGCCAGCCCAGGGTCGCAGCTGTCGGGAGTAGGAGCGGCACCTGGAGCCTGTCTGGACACAGAGTGCCACACTCCAGCTGCTCCCGGGGGCCTCTTCCTTTTCCACCCCCATTAAAGGCAGAGTGGCGGACAGGGGGACCCCAAGGTGTAGCTAGGGCTGAGTTGTGCAGGGAGGAGGCGCTGGCCCCGCTAGGGGCAACTGAGGAGAGAAACAGAGCCTGGATTCGACGAACACCGACTACATTCCTGAAGCACGCACAACACTCTGCTAATCAACACGATCGCCACGTGGGGTCGGGCGCGACACACAAGATGATTTCGTGCAGCCGCAAGCACTGAGGAGCAACCACAGGCAGAATGACGGGGGACACAGGTGAAGCTTCGACAGCAGGACAGAGAAAGCGTTTCTGGGGTGACGCTGGAGGCGGGTGGCGGGGAAGGGGTCTGGATCGCAGAACCGCGCGGTCAGAGCCAAGGCGGGCAGGGGTGGGGAGGGCGGCGAGAGAGACGCAAAGCGGCCGCAGGGAGGGTCTGCCCAGGGTCTCCCCCACCTACAGCGCCGCCCTCCGCCCGACCCGGCGTCGGGAGCTCGGTCCGGCCGCTCCCCGGGACCCGGGGGGCGGTGCTGCCACACCCTCAAACCCCCGGCCACAGTCCTGGACTCCAAGACGGCGAGAGGGCGCTGCCGGGGACCCCCAGGCCAGCGGTGCCGGAACCCCCAGGTCGAGGGCACCCTCGCCGCCCCGCGGCCGCCCACTGCCCTCACCAGAAGAAGGTGTTGGTGCCGTCGTCGTAGACCTCGGACTCGGTGCTGCGGCGGCCCTCGCCCGGCCCGGTGGCTTGGCCGGCAGACGGCCCGTCAGGCGGCTCCTCCAGCGAGGCCCTGCCCGCGGGCACCGGGGACTCGGGCCGCGGACCTCCGGCGTCCCTGCGCTCGCCCCTCCGCATGGCGTTTCGGCCCGGAGCCACTCCGCCCGGCGCCTCGACCCCACGCACACCGGGTCACCGGCGAGAGGACGCGCCGCACACAGCGCGAGGAGCGCTGGGAAGGGGTCGCGGCGCTGGCCCGCGGGGTCTTAGGAGAGCAGCGCGGGGCCGGCCAGTAAAGGGTGTGCGGTGCATTGTGGGGCTTGTAGTCCGCGCGGGGCATGCTGGGCCTTGTGGTCCGACGTCGCGGGTTGGACGCAGTGCTTGCTGGGAAGGATGACGCCTGGTTGCTGGGAAACCGGAGCCGGACCGCCCTGCGGCTGAGGTCGCAGGAACCAAGCTGCGGATGGCGCGGGTCTCGCCAAGGCCTCCAGAGCTTGGAGGTAACCACAGACATCCCCGGCGGCCTGGCCCGAGTCCCTCCACCCCTTCGCCCCTTCCTCGCCGACGGATCCCGGAGCCCAGCCCCGTTCTCCTTTTGGGGCGCTTCCCGACCCTTCACCCCATGCGACCCGGGTCATTCCTTTTTGAGACGGAGTCTCGCACTGCCGCCCGAGCTGGAGTGCAATGGCGCGATCCCGGCTCACTGCAACCTCCGCCTCTCGGATTCAAACGATTCTTCTGTCTCAAGCTTCCCGAGTAGCTGGGATTACAGGCGGCCGCCATCACGCCCGGCTAATTTTTGTATTTTTAGTAGAGACGGGGTTTCACTATGTTGGCCAGGCCAATCTCGAACTCCTGACCTTGTGATCTGCCGCCTCGGCCTCCCAAAGTGCTGGGATTACAGGCGCGAGCCACCGCGCCCGGACCGGTCTGGGTCATTCTTTCGCAGGATCGCGTGAAATTGGGCGGGCGAAAATGGTGCGGACACGCTGATTTTAGTTGACCCAAATTGTTGACATGGTACCCTGCAAAAAAATTAGCTCCTGAGCCACTCTGAAAAGCAATGTGGCAGCTCCTCAAACCTGGAAACAAGTGTCCACGCCAAATTTACACACTAGCGCTCCTAGTTGCAGCATTTTGATAATAGCGGCATGTTATTAGCCATAGAGGAGCGAAGCATGCGCATGCTACAGCACAGCTGGACCTTGAAAACATTATGCTAGGCAGGCCGGGCGCGGCGGCGCACGCCTGTCATCCCAGCACTTTGGGAGGCCAAGGCGGGCGGATGACTTGAGGTCAGGAGTTCGAGACCAGCCTAGGCAAAGTGGTGACACCCCATCTTTACTAAAAATACAAAAATTGCCCTGGCATTGTGGCGGGCGCTTGTAATCCTAGCTACTCGGGAGGCTGAGGTGGGAGAATCCCTTAAATCCGGGAGGTGGAGGTTGCAGTGAGCCGAGATTGTGCCACTGCACTCCATCCTGGGCGACAGAGCGAGACTCCGTCTCAAAAAAAAAAAAAAAAATGCTAGGTGAAAGAAGCCAGTCACAGGAGACTACGCATTATGTGATCCATTTGTATGAAATGTCCAGGAAATGCAAATCTATGAAGACAGAAATTAGATGAGTTTTCACCGGGGGCTGGGGAAGGGGTAATAAGGAGCGACTACAAAGGGTAGCAGGTTTCTTTCGGGGCGATGAAAGTGCTGTAATATTGACCTCAGCTCCTATCTGTGAATGTCCTAAAAACCACTCAACTGTCCACTCGAAACGAGTTGAATGGGTGAACTGCATGATATGTGAAGTATATCTCATATCAGCTTTATTGAAATATAACTCACATACTAAATATATAAACATATTTGCGGGGCTCCTGCACAGCCACGCCCAGCAGGGATGGGGCCTGACTGTGATGGGACCTTCACCCCAGCTCCTGACACACAGGCTGGGCAGTGCGGGAGGCGCTGGCTCCAGGGGGCGTGCTGTTGGGCCTCCCCAGGCCTGGCCCCCTGCCCCAGGCCCTGGCCGCGTCCAGCTGGGGTCGGCTGAGTGGCCAGAGCAGCCAGCTCCCGTCCATGCCATCTTTCCAGCAATCACCCGACAGGCCTGGTTCCCTGTGAACCATCCTTCAGGTCCCCTCCCAGACCTCTTCCCATCCCAGCAGGTGGCGCTCACATTCCAGGCGCCCTCTCGGTGGCGTTGGGGTCATTTCCTGCGTATGGGTGTTCTCTCAAACTGCACAGAGAGCCCTCCTGCCGTCCCTCCAGGGTGCAGAGGCCGGGGCGGGGAGATGTACCGGCCCCACTGGGGTCCCTGGCCCCAAGGAAGCTGCGCGCGAGGCCGCCTCGCAATGACGCTCGTTCCTGTCGGCTCGGGGGCGGGGCCCAAGGGCGCGTGAGGGGCGGGGCCGAGGACATGGTCTGTGGGCGGGGCCTGAGGGCGGGGCCTTGGGACCCGGAGTAGCGTGATCTAGACCGCGCGGCCCCGCCAGACCGCGCGGCCCCGGGCGCGCAGACCACGTGTTCGTTGCCCATCACTACGGAGCTCTGGCCACGTGCCAAGTAGAATTCCCAACGCTTTGTAAATGCTAACTATTGTGATTTTTTTTTTTTTAAGCGTAGTCTCACTCTGTCACCCAGGCCTGGAGTGCAGTGGCGTGATCTCGGCTCACTGCAACCTCCGCCTCTCGGGTTCAAGCGATTCTCCTGCCTCAGCCTCCGGAGTAGCTGGGATTAAAGGCGCCCGCCATCACGCCCGGCTAATTTTTGTATTTTTAGTAGAGACGGGGTTTCACCAAGTTGGCCAGGCTGGTCTCGAACTCCTGACCTCAGGTGATCCACCCACCTTGGCCTCCCAAAATGCTGGGATTACAGGCGTGAGCCACCGCGCCGGGCCAACTATTGTGATCTTAACACACCCCCTTAGGTTCTATTTTTGACTGTCGCTTAGAGACAAAAAAACTGTGGCAGAGAAGGCCGGGCGCGGTGGCTCAAGCCTGTAATCCCAGCACATTGGGAGGCCGAGGCGGGTGGATCACAAGGTCAGGAGATCGAGACCATCCTGGCTAACACGGTGAAAGCCCATCTCTACTAAAAATACAAAAAATTACCCGGGCGTGGTGGCGGGCGCCTGTAGTCCCAGCTGCTCGGGAGGCTAAGGCAGGAGAATGGTGTGAACCTGGGAGGCAGAGCTTGCAGTGAGCTGAGATCACGCCACTGCACTCCAGCCTGGGTGACAGAGCAAGACTCCGTCTCAAAAAAAAAAAAAAAAAAAAAAAAAGAAACAAACAAAAAAAAAACTGAGGCAGAGAAAGGTTGGTGACAGCTACGCCCAGCTCTTTCCAGACCCCAGAGCCTCTACCCTGAACCCCTGCACTCTACAGGGAGCTCTCCACCTGCAGTTTTGCACCTGGCGTCTCATATCTGAGTCTCACATTACCCTGTCCCTGTCTTCACCCCAGCTGCAGAAGTGCACACCCCTCCCCACCCAGGCATGTGTGGACTGGCAGAGTCCATTGCAAGACGTGGGCCTGAGGGGCAGGGGTGAGGCCGGAGGTTTGTGGCTCAGGGAGCACCGTGGCTGGTGAGGAGGCAGTGGAGCAGCTTGGAGGACTTGGTTCTTTGAGGCCCCAGAGCAGCAGAACTGGGGGTCCCCCGCCTGGGGAAGGGTGCACGGGACAGAAGCCTTCCTCAGCTGCAGAGATGCCTGCCAGAAGCCTCAGGGCGCTGGAACTTTTAAGAAAATGGTCAATTCTGGCCTTACCCAGGGACAGAGCTGGCCAGAGTCACATTTATGGTGGTAAATAGTGAATGTTGGCGAAATGCTTTCTAAAAATGCCCTTGCAAGGAAGGGAGAGGAAGCCTAGGAATTTGTAAAGTAACAAATGCCTGTTGTAATATTTCCCCTGGTGCGGTAAATCCATAAAGGTGAGTGGATTACAGAAAAACTCACCGTGCCACACGCACACCTGTGCCCGGGAGTTTTCTCTGGCTTGTTGGAGGGAGCGTGGACAGCAGGACTGCTCCCCAAGTCAAGATGGTTAAGGCCTGGAGGTGTTGGGGAGGCAGCAAGGAGACAGAGTTGTCCCTGCAATGAGGACGGGAGGGGTTTGGGTCCCCACCCCAATGCCACCCTGGTGTGGCAGGCAAGGATGGCTTCAGGTGGTCCTCAAGGGCAGAGGCCCAGCTGGGAGAGGGTCTCCCCTGCAGGGGCTTCAGGCTGGGGGTCGCCTGCCAAGCACTGTCAGCCAAGAGAGGCTGGAGCCAGCAGGGTGCCTGAGACCAGCCCAGAGAGAGTACAGGGGCAGGTTCTCAGAGGCACCGACTCCAGCTGACCCAGAGGGGCTGCCTCTGAGCAGTGCCTGGACGAGTCTGCTCGTCCAGACACTGTGTCTGTGTCTGTGGCCGCGCCCAGGAGGCTGTTGGGGGCGGGGGGGGAGGACAGGTCTCTGAGGGGCCCAGGGCAAAGGTAATGACAATTGGTGCTCACACCTGCCTGTGGGATTTCACCTGGGCGCTCCCTAGCTCTCGCTGGCTTTGTCACCCGGACCGCTCCACGGGTGGCTGCCATATCCCACAGTTAAAAGGAGGCTGCAGGGACGGAGGAGCTGCCTCTGCTGCATGTTGGGCCTCAGGGGGAGGCGGTCTGGTGGACGGGGTCTTCTGAAGTGGGAGGAGGAAAGGCAGAGGAACAGGGTCCAGGGTCCACAGAGGAAGAGCAGGAGGCCCACGGGGAACCTCGACCAAAGTTCTCTGCCAAGGCAGGGCAGGGCCACCTGCCAGGACGTCCAGGCCAAACTCTTGCCTCTTCAGGAGCTGCACTCAAACCCGGAAGCCAAGAGTCAAGCTGAGTCTGGGGGAAATAAAGTTTATAATAATAGACTTGAATGTGGAAAAATAAAGCAAATTTAATAAGTTTATTAAAGTGTGATGTGTTTGTGTTAGAATATTTGAAAACAAACATAATGAAGAAAAGCATAATACCCCATCCTTAGTTCACATTGTTAAGCAAATGTAAGTATCAAATATCAGTCTACTCTTCCCATATTTTAATGCCCCTTAGCTACGTTTACATAAACATTTTATACATGTTTGTGATAGGAGCATCAAACCACCATGGCACACGTTTACCTGTGTAACAAACCTGCACGTTTTGCACACGTATCCTGGAACTTAAAGTAAAAGAACATTAAAAAAAAATTAATCTCCGCCAAGTGCAGTGGCTCATGCCTGTTATCCCAGCGCTTTGGGAGGCCGAGGCGGGCGGATCACCTGAGGCCGGGAGTTCAAGACTAGCCTGACCAACATGGTGAAACCCCGTCTCTACAAAAAATACAAAATTAGCCGGGCGTGGTGGTGCATGCCTGTAATCCCAGCTACTTGGGAGGCTGAGGCAGGAGAATCATTCGAACCCAGGAGGCGGAGGTTGTGGTGAGCCGAGATCCTGCCACTGCACTCCAGCCTGAGCAACAGAGCAAGACTCCGTCTCAAAAAATAAAAAGAATAAATAAATCTCTTTTAATCTAGGAAAAATTTTTATATGTTTGTAGTCTGTTTTTTTTACTTAGCAGTATAACATAAGCATTTTCCTATGTTCTCAAAAACTCTTTGAAAGTATAACTTCTAATGTCTGCTTAATCAGCATATAAATATGAATACCATGTTTTCGCTGATATTTTCCTATTGTTGAACATTGGTGGTTTACAATTTTTGCTGCAAATGACATATATACATATTTTCATTATTTTGCATTTTTTTAGAACAGTTTACAAAAAGTTAGATTAATGAACCAAAGTCTAAACAATTTTAAGGCTCTTAATACGTATTATAGCTGAATTGCTTTCTGAAAGGGCTGTACTGGTTTTCTGTCCAGATAGGACTGGGTGGGGTCCCCCTCCCTCTCCACCCTTCACTGATCGTAAGGGAACTTCCACGCTGGGTGAGGCCAGCGGCCAATGCAGCCGCCTCGCTGAGCTCTCTCCCCTGAAGCTGGATATGCTGGCTTTACAGCCAGGACTCTGGAAGTGACTGAGGATTCCTCTGGTGACGCCCACGGAAGGTGTGGGGGGAGGAGGAACAGTGTTTCTGCAACGCAACTGGGAATGCTGAAAAAGTCATTGAAAGAGAGCACAGCAGCTGTGTGGACACTTGAAGTGGCGCCTGAGTAACTCACATGACCTGCTAGCAGATTGTTTTAACACACTGAAAACGTGGAGATTGTTTTATTATTTATTTATTGATTTATTTATTTTGAGACGGAGTTTCACTCTGTCACCCAGGCTGGAGTGCAGTGGCACGATCTTGGCTCACTGCAACCTCCACCCTCCGGGTTCAAATGATTCTCCTCCCTCAGCCTCCTGAGTAGCTGGGATTACAGGCGCCTGTCACCACGCCTGGCTAATTTTTTGTATTTTTAGTACAAATGGGGTTTCACCATCTTGGCCAGGCTGGTCTTGAACTCCTCACCTCGTGATCCACCCACCTCTGCCTCCCAAAGCTCTGGGATTACAGGCATGAGCCACCGCACCCAGCCGAAGATTGTTTTAACACAGTGTGAAAACATGAGCACAGAGACCCCTGAGCGGGCTGAGCTGGGGACTGGGGAGCGACACCCGTCACGGACGGTGCAGGGGCTGGGAACGTGGATCTTGCGTGTGAGTTCCTCCCATACTCAACAAGCCTTGCACATTCTGTTTCTGAACTAGATCTAACTTGGCAGCTGTGACCCCCTGGTGAGACTGCCGGATGTTCCCTCTCCCGCTTACCCTGCTTTCTTCCATGGGAAAAGAGCTCACATGCCCCAGGCTTCCTTGCCATAGAGTGTGGTCACGTGACTAACCATGTGAAGGGTGAGGTTCCCTCCTTCGCCCTTTCCTCTTCCCACTGGCTGGAACGTGGATGTGATGACTGGAGCTTGAGCAGTCATTTTGGACCAGGTGCTGGGACCATGTATTTAAGGTGGCAGAGCAACAAGCTGAAGGCATTCTGGGTCTCTGATGACTATAGTTCGGCCATACTAGTCCAGGACTAGCCAACTCCAGATTTTTGTTTTGCTTTGTTTTAAAGACAGAGTCTTACTCTGTCACCCAGGCTGGAGTGCAGTGGTGTGATCTTGGCTCACTGCAACCTCTGCCTCCCAGGTTCAAGCGATTCTCCTGCCTCAGCCTCCCGAGTAGCTGGGATTACAGGCGTGCACCACCATACCTGGCTAATTTTTGTATTTTTAGTAGAGACGGGGTCTCACCATGTTGGGCAAGCTGGTCTCGAACTCCTGACCTCAGGTGATCCACCCGCCTCGGCCTGCCAAAGCGCCGGGATTACAGGCATGAGCCACTGCGCCCGGCCAACTCCAGATTTCACTTATAGGAGAAATACACAGCTTGTTTAAGCCACCACCATTTTGCACACAGATCTGAATGTGTTCCATTTGGATTTGCCCCATCTGAGCTCACAGGTCCTCGGCCACCACTTCACTCGCTTGTCTTTGCCAAAGTGGCAAAGCTGTGGTCTCTGCTGCCATCCCAGCCTGCCAGGAGGTCCCCCAAGGAGAAACATGGGTGGGACCATGTTACCCCTTGGGGAAACCAGAGCCGACTGTTGGCCCTGGGCCTGGACCACAGCAGAGGGCTGCTGGGCTTGCCGGGGGGTGCTCTGGCCCCAGTGGGCCTGGAGCCGTTCCGTGTGACAGCGTCTGCCTGCGGAGCTCTGGCCCTGCCTCCCCAGCTTTGCAGCAGCTTTCAGAAGCAGACTCCTCGCCACACACGCTGCAGATAATGTGTGCCAGCCCACGGCCTGGGCCCCCACTCCCCGCAGCCCTTCCCTCCTCAGGGCACTCCACTGGACGGTCACTCTCAGGACACCCAGAGCCTGCCCAGCTGCCGCCCTCAGCCCAGGCTGCACAGAACGTGCTCAGGGACTGGGGATGCGGGGTGGAGGGCTCCTCCTCCGTTGTCTACACAGCCTGGGGCCAGCCACGTGTCCCCAGGACTCCAAGGATTCCCCAGTGGGGCCCAGAAAGCAGGGGCTTGGGTAGGAGCAGACAGTTTCTTTGGGAGTCTGTCTCGTCGTCAGTCCTCCTTGCCCCAGTTTCTCCTCTAAGGGAATCAGCACTGGACCTGTGGGGTGGGGGGCCGTGGCCCGGGGTGGGGGGCCGTGGCCCGGGGTGGGGGAGGCCGTGGCCCGGGGTGGGGGAGGCCGTGGCCCGGGGTGGGGGGCCGTGGCCCGGGGTGGGGGGCATGGCCTGGGGTGGGATGCTTTTGGAGGGAACATGGGGATGTGTGAGCGGGGGTGAGAGAGGCAAGGCAAGTGGGGGCGTTGGTGCTGGCTCTGTCAGGGGCTCTGTGCCATCCTGCTTCCCCCTAGGACCAGGTGTCATGAGACCCATCTCACAGTGGAAACCCCCTTCCCGGGAACTCCAGCCTAGGAATTCCCCTCTGGCCCCTGACCCGCCATCTGGGCTCCAGGAAGGTGTCCCAGGCTCCAGGGGCTGGGGTACTCTCCTGGCCTGGATGCTGGCTCCGCCCCGACTACACCCAGGCGCGGCAGCTGCAGGACGCTGGAGGAGGAGGAGGGAGGGGCGAGCCCCACGCGGAAGTCAGGTAGGAGCACCCGCCGCTGGCAGCCACTCTCCTGGCCGCCAAACCCCAGCTGGAACTCCGGCCACAGCCAGCATGCAGGTGAGTCCTGCGCTCAAAAGGGTCCACACCTTCAAGGCCCCCAGCCACGCCCACACCTGGGGCCCCCGGCCCCAGCCCCCCGCCAGCCCCACCTGGAAGGCGCCTGTGTGTGTGGGGGGGGTCCCTGCAGGCTGCCCGGTCAGGCGAGGGTGACCGCCCGGCTCAGCTAAGCTGCCTCCTGGACTCCTGGGGCACGCTGGGGGTTGGAAGTGCTGGAGGCGGGCGGCGTTCCTCCCTCCAGCCCGGGATTCTGAGGGCACCAGGGCTGGGCTCTCAGCTAGTGTGTGGGGCCAGGAACCTCTACCAGAGTCCTGAACACGAGATGGAGAGGGCCTGCCCACCGAGGCGGGGGCTGCTGCTGAGGACCCCAGACCTGGCAGCTTTGCCTTGCAGCTGGCCCCTAAGGGGGAGCGGGCTGTGGGCACCAGGCAGGCTGCCCCAGGGTTGGGAGCTGCAGAGTGGCCGGCGGGCTGTGGGCTCTCTGCTCCCCAAGGACCCCGCCCAGCACAGGTGGGGGCCGACTGCTGCTGCTGGATTCCGATTCTGGGGGTGGGCGCTGACTGCTGCTGCTGGATTCCGATTCTGGGGGAGGGAGTGCAGGTGAACACGTAGAAAGACATCCTTTCTCCCCTCTGCCAGTGAAGAGGTCACCTGGGGCCAGGGCCAACACCTGGGCAGGTCAGCACCTGGTCGGCCCAGGGAGGAGGCAGTGGTGAGGTGTGGAGTGAAACCAGCCTCCCTCTCGGCCTGCCAGGGCCTCCACGTGTGGGCTGCGCCGGCGGCCTCTTGCTCCATCTCCGCCCAGGGCTCTCCTCGGCCCTCCACATCCAGGTCTGACACCCTGGCTGCTCAGCCCAGCACCTGATGCCCCTTAGCCTGAGCTCAGGGTCCCCTCTGCCAGCCCCTTCCTCCCATGCTGGGGGTTAGAGGAGAGACTTGGGGCTGGCCAGGGGTTGGGTTGGGAGAAGCAGCACCTGGTTTGTTGGAAGTGAGAGCATCAGTCCTTCAAAAAAGACAGTTGCAGCCGGGCCTGGTGGCGCATGCCTGTGGTCCCGGCTACTCCGGAAGCTGAGGCAAGAGGATTGCTTGAACCCGGGCGTCGTGGCATGCACCTGCAGTCTCAGCTACTCAGGAGGCTGAGGCAGGAGGACTGCTCGAACCCGGGCGTGGTGGCGCGTGCCTGCGCTCCCAGCTACTCGGGAGGCTGAGGCAGGAGGACTGCTGGAACCCGGGCGTGGTGGCATGAGCCTGCGGTCCCAGCTACTCCGGAGGCTGAGGCAGGAGGGTTGCTCGAGCCTGGGAGTTCTGGGCTGTAGTGTGTTAGGCTGACTGGCTGTCCGCACATCAGTATGGTGACCTCCCAGGAGCAGGGGACCACCAAGTTGCCTAAGGAGGGGTGAACCGGTCCAGGTCGGAAACGGAGCAGGTCAAAACTCCTGTGGTGATCAAAAAGGACAGTTGCAGACATGGGGAGGACTTGCTAGTCCCAGCTCCAGGCTGGATCTGGGCGTGCCTTTCCTCTGCTCTAACCCCTTCCATGGCTCCCCACTGCCCCCTGCTGAAGTCCAAGCTCTCCATTTGGCCAAGAAGCCTAGCAGCCTCCCCTGATTGGCCTCTGCCAACCTCCAGCCTCCCCTTCTGGCAGCTCCCTTCTTGCCCTTTATGCTTCTGCAAAGCTGAAGTACCAAGGACTGAGTCCCTGGACTCAGTTTCCGTAGGTGCCGAGTGCTGAGTCACCAGGAGTAGTAGCTACCAAGTCCTCCTTGGAGGTGCTGAGTGCTGAGTCCCTGGGAGGTGCTGACTGCTGAGTCCCAGACACCAACTGCACCCTGATTCTCAGGGCGTGCCCACACATGTTCTTTCTCCCGGGAATGCTGCCCCCATTTTCTCACCTTTTGCCAACCTCTTGCCCTACAATGCCAAGCTCCATGCCTCCTCACCTGCCAAGTAGGCCCCCGCCCCTGCGTCCACGAACGCCACGCACTGCCTGGGAGGGCTGCACGCAGGTCGCTCCGTCAGTGTCTGGGGATGGACGGGCACACGGATGGGTGAACTGACAGATGACAGACTGGACAGCTGGAGGGGCCGGGGGGTGGGCAGAAGACTGGCTTCAGGAGCGCAGAGCCAGCTGGGGAGGGTTTGCTCAGAGGATGCGTGGGCTGGGCAGAGGCGAGACGCTGTGGCTCACAAGGTGGGCCTCTCCATGCTTGGGACTGCGGTGGGGCAGAAGGGGACCCTCTGTGGATGACGAAACTGTAAAGTTCTCAAGGGCCAGATCCCAGAGGGCTCAGGGCACCGGCCAAGAGGCTTGACGTGACCTCAGGAGGAGATGAGGCCCAAACACCTTCCCATGCACAGCTGGGGGGATGTGCGTCGTGGGACCCCCTGGCCAGGCCTGCTCCTTCTCATGCACAGCTGGGGGGATGTGCGTCATGGGACCCCCTGGCCAGGCCTCTCAGGAGTAGGGTGGGGTCATATCTGCACAACCATCTCCTCTGCCTGCCCCCAACCTGGAGGCTGGACTGGGAAGAGGATGGATGGGCAGGACCCCCAGCTCTGTCCTCACACTCCAGCCCTTGGGAGGGAGGGTCTCCTGCAGGCTACAGTGTCTCCAGAAGCTTCCTCACTGGGAACCAGGGGCTTGCCCACTGGACGCTGGCCTATGCCCACAATGGGGGTGCCAAGAGCCCCCCACAAACTCCCTGGGGCCCTGGAGTACTGGGTGTGTCACCTGTGAGGGCTGTGGGACAGGAAGGATGGGGGAGAACAGTGTGTGGTTCTGTCCACCTTCTTCCTGTGTCTGCACGTCGCTGAGGTGACCTGGGGGCTGGGGTGAGGACACCCTGTTGTACAGACGAGGAAACTGAGGCCTGGGGTGTTTCGGTGGCGTCAGAGCTAGGGCCTGGCCGGCTGTCCACCCAGAGCCGGCCTCCCTCTCTGGGTTTGCAGATGGCAAGGCTGGCTGAAGCTTCAGAGGCCCTCAGACTGAGTGTGTAGGGACAGCCCCTGTCCCTACCCTGGGAGCTGGAAGCCTGTGGGCCCATACATAGTTTCCCGGAGGTGGGGCCCATGGACTGGGGACATGGGGGTCCCAGACATCTCACTGTGGATAAACCGAACAGTCTGCATGGCTGGAAGTGGAGGTGACTTCAGGTGGTCCAGCCCTCACCTGTGAAGACCCCGAGGGTGGTGTGGAGAAGCCAGGCTCCCGTGGTCCGTAAACACTGGCCCTGGAGACGGATGGACAGATGGATGGCCTGGTCCTGTAGGCTGGTGGCTGTGGCCCGGGGGATGGGCCGGTGGGTGTGGCTCCGTAAACACTGGCCCTGGAGACGGATGGACAGATGGACGGCCCGGTCCTGGAGGCTGGTGGGCCCAGTGTTCTGCAGCAGAGTCTCGGAGCCTGAGGCCTGTCTGGCTGTGTGTGTTGGGGGGGCTACACCTGCCTGGCTGTGTGTGTCAGGGGGTGGCTACACCTGTCTGGCTGTGTGTGTCAGGGGGGCTACACCTATCTGGCTGTGTGAGTCGGGGGGGGGCTACACCTGTCTGGCTGTGTGTGTTGGGGGGACTCCACCTGTCTGGCTGTGTGTGTCGGCGGGGGCTACACCTGGCAGCCCTAGTGCTTCTGCCTTGTCCGAGGGAGCAGCTAAGGGCAGCCAGGGGCTGGCACGCCCCAGGTGTGCGTGTAGCTCTGCCCTGGGGGGAGGGCTCCCTGTCAGCCCACGTCAGTGATGGGGGCTTTGC
Source organism: Homo sapiens (assembly GCF_000001405.40). NCBI lineage: Eukaryota > Metazoa > Chordata > Mammalia > Primates > Hominidae > Homo > Homo sapiens. The sequence goes on along the minus strand of NC_000011.10, from coordinate 438,176 downwards.
ACCCCATTCCCCAGGGGAGGCTGATCCTGCTGTTTGCAGAGGCGTGGGGTCATCACCCCAGTGCTGCACGGTGTCTTTGGTGGGGAGGGGGTTTCTGTGCCTCATTTCTGGGGTGAACGATGGCTTCCCACCCCCACCTTTGAGAATGTTCCCCAGGGACAGTCCCCTCTCCCAGGCTTCTCCGAAAGTCCTGCCTGGTCTGGGGTCCCTGCCTCGTCCCTTCCTTCTCAGGGGTCTGGGCTTATCCTGCCGGCTTTCAACTTTCGGCCCAGGCTGATGTGAGGGGGTCTCTAATTTCAGCCTCTGCCAGAGGAGCTGGGGTTCTGGGCAGAGGAGGGACCCTCATCCTGGGTCTGAAGCCAGGCATGTGAGGGGCCATTCTCCCATGAATCCCTCCAACACAACACTTCCCGGGCCCCTACGGAGGCAAGCTGCAGAGCTGGAGCCGTGATGCCCACGTCCCCCAGACCACCAGTCCCCCCCAGGGAGGCTGCCCTCTGCGCTGAGACAGAGGTGCCTCTCCTGCCTGGGCAGGTGCCACGCCCCTTCCTGCATATCTGTCGGAGGATGAAGGTTTCTCCTCTAACCCAGGACGGGGGAGAAGTTTCAGTGTGGCAGGCCACGCCTGAGTGCAGGTATCTGTCCGTGGGCTGTCGGGAAGGCCAAGGAGGGAGTCAGAGGAAGGGTTGATTGAGGCAGGAAGAACTACTGGTCTAGGATAGGACAGAAGGGCCAGGTGAGCCCCGTGGGCCAACTAGGGCAAGAACTTCCCCCCGCAGGGAGGCTGCAGTGTGGCACTGGGTGCTCAGATGGTGTCTACCTGAGCCCATCTCCCTGTGACCGGGGCGTCGGATGCCTTAGTGCAGTGCTCCCCAACCTTTTCAGCACCAGGGACCAGTTTCGCAGAAGACAATTTTCCCACAGCTGTGGGTGTGGTGGGATGGTTTTGGGATGAAATCGTCTCACCTCAGATCATCAGGCATTAGATTCTCATAAGGAGCAGCCGAGATCCCTGCATGCGCAGTGCACAATGGGGTTCTTCCTCCTCCTCCTGTGAGGATCTAATGCCGCCGCTGATCTGATGGGACATGGAGCCCAGGTGGGAACATTCACCCCCAGCTCACCCCCCACGCACCCCCCGCTCACCCCCCGCTCATCTCCAGCTCACTCCCCGCTCACCTCCCGCTCACCCACTGCTCACCCCCTGCTCACCCCCTGCTCACCCCCTGCTCACCCCCTGCTCACCTCCTGCTCACCCCCCGCTCACCCCCTGCTCACCTCCTGCTTACCCCCTGCTCACCCCCTGCTCACCCCCAGCTCACTCCCCGCTCACCCCCAGCTCACTCCCTGCTCACCCTCTGCTCACCTCCTGCTCACCCCCAGCTCACCCCCAGCTCACCCCCTGCTCACCCCCTGCTTACCCCCTGCTCACCCCCTGCTCACCCCCAGCTCACCCCCTGCTCACCCCCTGCTTACCCCCTGCTCACCTCCTGCTCACTCCCTGCTCACTCCCTGCTCACCCCCTGCTCACCTCCTGCTCACTCCCTGCTCACTCCCTGCTCACCCCTGCTCTGTGGCCCGGTTCCTAACTGGCCAAGGACTGGTACTAGCCGTGGACCAACCCCCTGCCTGAGAGCCTTCTGTTCTGTGGTTGGTTGGATGCATTTCCTGGCTTCTGTGGTTGAGACGGTAGAGAGAATAGGGAGATCTGTCCCAGAACCCGTAGCTCCTGGTGTGTGTGTGTGGGGTGGGGGCTGGAGGCCAGACCTGGACTAGGGTTGCAGACTTAGCAAAACAAAATAAGAAACAGGGCCGGGCGTGGTGGCTCACACCTGTAATCCCAGCACTTTGGGAGGCCGAGGCGGGTGGATCACCCGAGGTCGGGAGTTCGAGACCAGCCTGCCCAACATGGAGAAACCCTGTCTCTACTAAAAATACAAAATCAGCTGGGCGTGGTGGCGCATGCCTGTAATCCCAGCTACGCGGGAGGCTGAGGCAGGAGAATCGCTTGAACCTGGGAGGTGGAGGTTACAGTGAGCTGAGATTGTACCACTGCACTCCAGCCTAGGCATCACGAGGAAAACTCTGTCTCAAAAAAAAAAAAAAAAAAAAAGGAAAGAAAAGAAAAAAAAAAGAAACAGACACCCAGTCAAGCTGAATGTCACAATGTCACATAAACAACATTTTTGGTGTAGGCGTGTCCCATGCAATCACTGGGGCATCTATGCTATACTATGCTATGCTATACTAGACTAGACTAGACCATACTAGACCATACTAGACTATACCATATTATGCTATACTATGCTATACTAGACTAGACTAGACTAGACTAGACTATACCGTATTATGTTATGCTATGCTATACTATGCTATCCTATGCTATACTAGACTAGACTAGACTACACCATACTAGACTAGACTATACTAGACTATACCATATTATGCTATGCTATGCTATCCTATGCTATACTAGACTAGACTAGACTAGACCATACTAGACTAGACTAGACTAGACCATACTAGACTAGACTAGACTAGACCATACTAGACTAGACTATACTAGACTATACCATATTATGCTATGCTATGCTATACTATGCTATACTAGACTAGACTAGACTAGACCATACTAGACTAGACTAGACTAGACCATACTAGACTAGACTAGACTATACTAGACTATACCGTATTATGTTATGCTATGCTATACTATGCTATCCTATGCTATACTAGACTAGACTAGACTACACCATACTAGACTAGACTATACTAGACTATACCATATTATGCTATGCTATGATATCCTATGCTATACTAGACCAGACTAGACTAGACTAGACCATACTATACCATACTACCCTATACTATGCTATGCTATGCTATGCTAGACTAGACTAGACTAGACTAGACTATACCATACTAGACTATACCATACTATACCATACTACCCTATGCTACCCTATGCTATACTATGCTATGCTATCCTATGCTATACTAGACCAAACTAGACTAGACTAGACTATACCATACTATACCCTACTACACTATGCTATGCTATGCTATCCTATACTACACTACACTACACTACAATACTATATCCTTCTGCTGTTTATCTGGAAATCAGGTGTGACTGGGTGGCCTCTATTTTACCTGGCAGCCCTCAAGGGCCAACTGGCTCAAGCAGTCAAGTGAGACTTTCTGGAGGAGGCAGGTCTTGAGCTTGGCGAGGATGCGGCTGGCAGAGGGGAGGGACTCAGGTGCAGGGACCAGGTGTGACGCAGCCAGAGACAGCTTGGAGACTGCCTCAGTAATTAACAAATATCAGGGGATGCTCTGAGGCCCTGCAAATTCCCCTCCTCCGGAAGGTTCTGGCCCCAGACTCTCGTGTCCCTGTGTCTGCTGGGATGTGCCTGCGCCCGTCACCCTGCAGGAGCCCCGTGCACTGTGCCTGCGGGCACTCACCTTGCCTGCTGCAGGATCCTCCCTGTGAGGGGGCGGCATGATGCATGGTGTCCATCTGCCCAGCCCCCAGGGACCTGATGTGAAATGGGGCCGCCGCGAGTGCCCTCGTCTGCACCTCCAGGGGTGGACGGGCTAGGCCAGGGGTTGGGAGCGTTCAATTTTAAAAACAGTCCAACAGGTTTCCAAACCCGTGCTCTGATACGCGCAGCACTGGGAGTGTGCAGGGGCGCCTGTGGCTTCTCCCGTGCATTGGTCTCCTGGTCCTCTGACCTGCGTTTCCTTGGCTGTTCTGGAGTTCCCGTCGCTTCCCCTGTGGGCTGCTCAGCGTGCTCCTCTTCTGTGCAATCCCGTTGGCCTCTGTGGGCTGCGTCTTCCCTTTTGCATTTGTAGGAGCCCCTCACGCGCTTCTGTTTCCACAGTCCTTCGTCGGTTGTTTGTAGCAGGCCCTCTGGCCTGTCACCCGCCTACAGCCATCTCCTCGGGACTCTTTGCTGTTCTCCTTGTGGGGAGGGACGGTGTGTGACCATGTGGTCCGCTGCAGGGACCCGCCAATGAGGGGCATCTAGCCCCCAATCACATCCTCCTATCCCTTTCTCTGCCCCCAAACCCCCAGGGCGAAGAGAGCCTCCGGATCCTGGTGGAGCCCGAAGGGGACAGCTTCCCGCTGATGGAGATCAGCACCTGTGAGGTGGGTGTCCGGGGGCCCCTCCCGGGCCCCACCTGGCCCTGCTCTGCCCCTTCACCTGCGCCTGGCCCCATGCCTCCTCCCTGCAGACCGAGGCCTCCGAGCAGTGGGACTATGTCCTCGTGGCCCAACGTCACACCCAGAGAGACCCCCGGCAGGCGCGGCAGCAACAGTTCCTGGAGGAGCTCAGGAGAAAGGGCTTCCACATTAAGGTGGGCGGGTGCCCAGCGAGGGGCAGGGCCATGGGGCCGGGGCGGGTGTCCAGCGAGGGGCAGGGCCATGGGGCTGGGGCGGGTGCCCAGCGAGGGGCAGGGCTGTGGGGCCGGTCATGGCGGCACGGAGGGCCAGGCTTGGAGGCTCTCTCCTGGGCTGGAGGATTGGGGAGAAGCAGGGGCGTGGGGAGCGAGGCAGCTCCGTGGCTCTGGGCCACAGCGGCAGATGAAGGGAGGGTTCTGAGGCGGAATAGAGGGGGGAGGGTTCTGAGGTGGAATAGAGGGGGGAGGGTTCTGAGGCGGGATAGAGCGGGGAGGGTTCTGAGGTGGGATAGAGGATCCCATGTGCCCCCAGGTGATCCGGGACCAGAAACAGGTCTTCTTTGGGATCCGTGCTGACAACAGTGTCTTTGGCCTGTACCGCACTCTCCTCCTGGAGCCTGAGGGGCCTGCCCCCCACGCCGAGCTGGCCGCGCCGACCACCATCCCGGTCACCACGAGGTGAGAGGCTGCACCCAGAGCCGTGGCCAGGAGAACCCCTTGCCACCTGTGTGATTGGTCCAGACCGGGCAGGAGACAGTGCCAGGCTCCAGGCGTCGCCAAGGCAGGACAGCCGTGTGGTCTCAGGGCAGGGGCCACAGGTGTGAGACCCACTGGCTGTGTGAGCCTCAGCTTCCCCATCCCATTAAAGGATCACGGTGGTTCTCAACGCTCAGAGCATTCTGAGGGCTCCGTGTGGCTGCCTGTGTTCCTGGGGACACAGTCACAGCCAGCCTTAGGGGTTGGGCAGGATTTGCAGAGGCCCAGGGGCCCCTCCTGGATCAAGGCCAGTGTCTCTTGAAGACCCCTCCTCTCCAGTTCCGATGCCCCTTCCTGGACACCGTCCCTGGCCTCCAAGGCAAAGACCCAGAGGCCCAGCAGGGACACCCTCCTCGCTCCCTAAGGCCCTGCTTCTCCCCAGTCCTCCAGCCCAGGAGGGAGCCTCCAAGCCTGGCCCTCCATGCCCCCATGACCTGCCCAGCCCCATCCAGGCCCCGCAGGGCTCAGCCAGGGCCTGCTTGGTGGACCGGCCAAGGACACTCCTGGCATTGGTTACGAGGCAGTGGAGGGCACCCGTGAAGAGAGCTATGGGTCTTGGGGAGTCGCGAGGCGGCATCAAAGGAGGGGAGGTGGCTTGAGGGGGCTGACGGGAGCAGGCTTGGGGGGCGCATACCTGCGACGTGCCCTGGGGTGTCCAGGAGCCATGTCTGTAGGCACAGGGGGAGGCTGGGAGCCCGGCTCTGCCGTCGGACGCTTGGCTGTGCCGCTTCATGGCTGTGTGGCCTTGGGACGTTCCCTTTCCTGAGCCCCAGTCTCTGCTCTGCACAGTGGAACAGAACAGCTCCAGGGTATAAGGAGGGTGTGTGCGGATGCAGGCTGGGGTGTGCTCTGGACACATGGGGCCCGCAGGTGGGAGGTGTGGTTGCAGGTGCGGGCTGTGGTCTGGGCTTCTGGGAGGGACGGGCTGGGAGGAGAAGGAGCCCCCAGCCCAGCCTCATCCTGGACGCCGTGGGGCAGGCCAGGCCCTGGGAGCACTTTAAGGAGGGTGCGGGGTGGGCTCCCGGGTGAGTTGTGGATTCTGGGCTCTGGTCAGGGCTGGCAGGCTGGGGGCTCTGCCAGGACAGGGAGGGGCCTGGGCCTGGCCAGACCAGAGGGCAGGTTGAGACCTGGAGGCAGGGTCCACTGTGGTCACACGGGGCCACCCTGCTCTGGCTCTTGAGTCTCAGAATCCGAATCGTGAACTTCGTTGTCATGAACAACAAGACCTCGGCTGGTGGTAAGGGCAGGGGTGGGGCACTGACAGGGGCGCTGCGGGCAGGGTTCTCCCAGCACCTCACTCCCCCTGACTCGTGAACCCCTGTGACCCAGAGACCTTCGAGGATCTGATGAAGGACGGGGTCTTTGAGGCCAGGTTCCCCCTGCACAAGGTGAGGGGTGGGCTGGCCTGGAGAGGGCCCTGGGGTGGGACCCTGGGATGGGGGCTCTCACTCTCTGTCACCCGAGCCAGGGGGAGGGACGCCTGAAGAAGACGTGGGCGCGGTGGAGACACATGTTCCGGGAGCAGCCAGTTGATGAAATCAGGTAACGCTGCCCAAAGAGAGCACAGGAACCCCGCGGACGGCCCCGCCTCCTGCGGACGCCCCCAGATACCCGCGGACGCCCCCACACCCCCGCGGAAGCCCCCAGATACCCGCGGGAGCCCCCACACCCCCGCAGACGCCCCCAGATACCCACGGGAGCCCCCACACCCCCGCGGAAGCCCCCAGATACCCGCGGGAGCCCCCACACCCCTGCAGACGCCCCCAGATACCCGCGGGAGCCCCCACACCCCCGCAGACGCCCCCAGATACCCGCGGACGCCCCCACATCCCCGCAGACGCCCCCAGATACCCGCGGGAGCCCCCACACCCCCGCAGACGCCCCCAGATACCCGCGGGAGCCCCCACACCCCCGCAGAAGCCCCCCAGATACCCGCGGACGCCCCCACACCCCCGCGGAAGCCCCCAGATACCCACGGGAGCCCCCACACCCCCGCGGACGCCCCCAGATACCCACGGGAGCCCCCACACCCCTGCGGAAGCCCCCAGATACCCGCGGACGCCCCCACACCCCCGCGGAAGCCCCCAGATACCCGCGGGAGCCCCCACACCCCCGCAGACGCCCCCAGATACCCACGGGAGCCCCCACACCCCCGCGGAAGCCCCCAGATACCCGCGGGAGCCCCCACACCCCCGCAGACGCCCCCAGATACCCGCGGGAGCCCCCACACCCCCGCGGACGCCCCCAGATACCCGCGGGAGCCCCCACACCCCCGCGGACGCCCCTAGATACCGGCGGGAGCCCCCACACCCCCGCGGACGCCCCCAGATACCGGCGGGAGCCCCCACACCCCCGCAGACGCCCCCAGATACCCGCGTGAGCCCCCACACCCCCGCGGAAGCCCCCAGATACCCGCGGACGCCCCCACACCCCCCAGACATCCACACACACCACCCAGAAGCCACCACCTCCTGTAAACGCCCCCACACACCACCCAGAAGATGCTCCCACACTGCCCACACCCTCACAGATGCCCCCACGCCCACAGATGTGCTTCCCATTCAGACTCACTGATGCCACCAAAAGAGAGACCCCCTCCCCCACCCCCCTCCCACCCTGTCCCTCCCCCACTGCCCCCTCCCTCCCCCATCCCTCCCCTGCCTTGCCCTCCCACCCTCATCCCTCCCCGTCCCTCTCCTGTCCCTCCCCCGCCACCCCTTCCCACCCCGTCCCTCCCCCATCCCTCCCCTGCTGCCCCCTCCCACCCCCATCCCTTTCCTGTCCCTCCCCCACCGCCCCCTGACAGCTGGCCTTGACCCCTGCTGCCTGCAGGAACTACTTTGGGGAAAAGGTGGCCCTGTACTTCGTCTGGCTGGGCTGGTACACCTACATGCTGGTGCCGGCCGCCCTGACGGGCCTCTTAGTCTTTCTGAGCGGATTCTCGCTGTTTGAGGCCAGCCAGATCAGGTGGGCCGCAGCAGGGGCCGGGCATGGGGGGCCGGGGTGGGCCCTGCTGCCTGGAGGAGCCGACCCCAGCCTCATCCCTGCCCCTTCAGCAAGGAGATCTGTGAGGCCCACGACATCCTCATGTGTCCCCTCGGCGACCACAGCCGCAGGTACCAGCGGCTCTCGGAAACCTGCACTTTTGCCAAGGTTTGTCGCCTCCGGGTCCACCCCAGGGCCTGCGGAAGATGGGAACGGTGCATCCACCCGAAGCGGGGGAGATCAAGGCCTGGAGCCCTGCAGAGCTGCTCAGCTTTCCCCACAGGGCTGACGGGGAGGCCCAGCCCCAGCCCACCCGCCCATTTCCTCAGCCCACCTGCCCCCTTCCCCGGCTTTCCTGCCTCCCTCCCTGGCTCACCTGCCCCCCTCCCCAGCTCACCCACCTCCTCTCCGGCCCACCTATCACCCCCCCAGCTCACCCACCTCTTTGACAATGATGGCACGGTGGTGTTCGCCATCTTCATGGCTCTCTGGGGTGAGTTGCTGCGGGACGCCTCTGCGGGGCCAGGGGAAGTGCCAGCCCAAGCTCCGAGGTCCACCTGGCGTAGTGCAGTGATGCCCCTCCTTGCCCCCGCCGCAGCCACGGTGTTCCTGGAGATCTGGAAGCGGCAGCGCGCCCGCGTGGTCCTGCACTGGGACCTGTACGTGTGGGACGAGGAACAGGTGAGGTGGAGCTGGCAGCGCAGCTGAGGCCGACCCGAGCAGGGGCTGTTGGCGCCCGATGCCCTGCACGGCCCACATATGCCTGCCGTGTCTGAGGTGTGTGTCCCGAGTCTGTCTCCCCACATGTGGGGCGTGTGTCCTGGTCTGTCCACCTGTGAGGCGTGTCCCTGTGTCTGTCTCCCCACGTGTGGGGTGAGTGTCCCGTGTCTGTCCACCCGTGAGGCGTGTCGCTGTGTCTGTCTCCCCACGTGTGGGGTGCGTGTCCCATGTCTGTCTCCCCATGTGTGGGGTGAGTGTCCCGTGTCTGTCCACCCGTGAGGTGTGTCCCTGTGTCTGTCTCCCCACGTGTGGGGTGAGTGTCCCGTGTCTGTCCACCCGTGAGGCGTGTCCCTGTGTCTGTCTCCCCACGTGTGGGGTGAGTGTCCCGTGTCTGTCCACCCATGAGGCATGTCCCTGTGTCTGTCTCCCCACGTGTGGGATGAGTGTCCCGTGTCTGTCCACCCGTGAGGCGTGTCCCTGTGTCTGTCTCCCCACGTGTGGTGTGAGTGTCCCGTGTCTGTCCACCCGTGAGGCGTGTCCCTGTGTCTGTCTCCCCACGTGTGGGGTGCGTGTCCCGTGTCTGTCTCCCCATGTGTGGGGTGAGTGTCCCGTGTCTGTCCACCCGTGAGGTGTGTCTCTGTGTCTGTCTCCCCACATGTGGGGTGAGTGTCCCTTGTCTGAGGCTTGCCCGGTGCTCTCCCCAGGAGGAAATGGCACTTCAGCTCATTAACTGCCCCGACTACAAGCTCCGGCCATACCAGCACTCCTACCTACGCAGCACCGTCATCCTCGTCCTGACCCTGCTCATGGTACGCAGGGGACACCGCGGTGGGGCTGGAGACCCGGGCTGCATGCCCTCCCCGGCCCCCGCCCACCACAGCTGTCCCGCAGATCTGCCTCATGATCGGCATGGCCCACGTCCTGGTGGTCTACCGCGTCCTGGCCTCCGCGCTCTTCAGCAGCTCGGCCGTGCCCTTCCTGGAGGAGCAGGTGACCACGGCCGTGGTGGTGACCGGGGCTCTGGTGCACTATGTGACCATCATCATCATGACCAAGGTGGGGCCGGGAGCAGGGCAGGCCCGAGCTGGGGGGTCCACCGGAGCCCCAGTGAGCCCATTCGGTGCCCTCCTCCGCAGATCAACAGGTGCGTGGCCCTGAAGCTTTGTGACTTCGGTGAGAGGACTACCCCAGACCCTCTTGGGGGACCCGGCGGGAGGACTCAGGGCTGGGGCCTTGGGGCTGTGGTCAGAGAGCAGGGGAGGGGACCCTTCCTGCTGCCCCAGGGCCTCTCCTATGAGCAGGGAGAGAGGTGAGGGCCGGTCCCATTCCAGAGATGCCCAGGACCTTCTCGGAGCGAGAGAGCAGGTTCACCATCCGCTTCTTCACACTGCAGTTCTTCACCCATTTCTCGTCTCTCATCTACATCGCCTTCATCCTGGGCAGGTAGGGCCGGCGCCAGGCTCCCTCCAACCCAACTCACGAGGGCTTGTTCCACTGCCTTTAAAGTGGCAATGTCCATTCTTTTAATTTTAAAAGTAATTTCTGCTGAGAGCAAGTGGAAATCCAATCTAGAGACATGTGAGCAAAGCCTGCAGTGAGCCCAGCTCCTGAATCCCGGGCCCCGAGGTAGCATCAAGACAGTCTGGTGGCCTCCCAGGCTTTTTCATGCATTTGCAGGCGCATAACAGCACTGGCAGAAATGGCTTTGTCCTGGGAATAACTGCACCTGCTCTTTATGCTGAAAATGCACTTGGTGTCTTCCTGGGTCTGCCTGCCCACACATCCTCGTATACATGTATATATGAGAGAGAGAGAGAGAGAGACAGAGACAGGGTCTTGCTGTCGCCAGGCTGGTGTCCAGTGGCACAATGTTGGCTCACTGCAGTCTTGACCTCCTGGGTCTCCTGAGTAGCTGGGATTACAGGCGTGCACCACCACACCCAGCTAATTTTAATATTTTTTGTAGAAATGGGGTCTCACCGTGTTACCCAGGCTGGTTTCGAATTCCTGGGCTCGAGCGATCCTCCTGCCTCAGTTTCCCAAAGTGTTAGGATTTCAGGCGTGAGCCACTGCACCTGGCCAAAAAAAGGTGCATATGGATTGATGGAGCCAGAAAGACTCATTTCACTAATTAGGAAGGCGAGGTGAGAGGGATGCTGGCTGCAGCTTTACTTTTTTTTTGAGATGGAGTCTCGCTCTGTCGCCCAGGCTGGAGTGCAGTAGCATGATCTTGGCTCGCTACAACCTCTGCTTCCTGGGTTCAAGCAATTCTCCTGCCTCAGCCTCCTGAGTGGCTGGGACCACAGGTGCGCACCACCACACCCAGCTAATTTTTGTATTTTTTGTAGAGAAAGGGTTTCACCATGTTGGCCAGGCTGGTCTCGAGCTCCTGACCTCAGGTGAGCCACCACGTCTGGCCCTGTAGATGCTGGTTCTTGACCCCCATCCGTCTTGGGAAAGGCGTGCACCATGGCTTGCTGTGGGCCACGTCTCTCCTGGTGGGACCTCTCACTCTGGAAGCTCCTGCGGGTGAACCCTGGTCTCCTGTCTGGAGGCAGAAGGACGCTGTCTATGTGCTGGGAGGCCAGCTGGGGTTGGGGAGGACAGTGTGGGGCCTCAGTGTCAATTGGTCCAACCCTGTGTGCTGAGTCCCTGGTTGTTCAAACCCCTAGTGAGCTTCTAGTCCTCCTGAGGGGGTTTTGTGGTCAGGTAGGAAGCCCAGGGACCTTCCAGCTGGGCCTGCATTCCCCTAATCAGTGCCCCCAAGCCACCAGGGGTACCCAAGTCCCGAGGCTTCCTGGGGATCCTGGCAGGGCTGGGTTGCTTCCTGAGTGTCTCCCCCGAAAGCCTGATGTCTTGAGTGGACTTCAGGCCTCTCCAATTCCCTTACACCTCTAAGGTGATGCCTGGTAGTGGGTGTCAGCAGCCTGTCATTTTATTTTTATTTATTTACTTTTAGAGACAGTATCTTGATCCATTGCCCCAGGCTGGAGTACAGTGGTACCATTACAGCTCACTACAGCCTCAAACTCCTGGTTCCAGCAATCCTCCTGCCTCAGCCTCCCGAATAGCTGGGACTACAGGCATGTGCCACCATGCCTGGCTAATTTTTTCTATTTTTTGTAGAGATGGGGTTTTGCCATGTTGCCCAGGCTTGTCTCGAACTCCTGGGCTCAAGCAATCCTCCTGCCTCGGCCTCCCAACGTGCTACGGGATAACAGGTGTGAGCTACCGCACCTGCAGTCTCAAGCAATCCTCCTGCCTTGGTGTCCCCACGTGCTGGGATGACAGGTGTGACCCACTGCACCTGCAGTCGCCATTTTAATTGTGACTTGGGAGTTTGCATTTACATTAACATAGATCCTGCTAAAGAGACCTCCAGAAAGGCTGTGTCAGTGACAAAGCTACCCACAGTGTGTGAAACTATATGTTCCATCTTGAGCTGATGGGCAAAGTCTTTTCATTTTTTAAAAGTGCCTTTAAAAAACTACTGGTGAGGGGCTGGGCGAGGTGGCTCACGCCTGTCATCTCAGCACTTTGGGAGGCCGAGGCACGAGGATCATGAGGTCAAGAGATTGAGAGTATCCTGGCTAACACGGTGAAACCCCATCTCTACTAAAAAAAAATACAAAAAATTAGCCGGGCGTGGTGGCGGGCACCTGTAGTCCCAGCTACTGGGGAGGCTGAGGCAGAATGGTGTGAACCCGGGAGGCAGAGCCTGCAGTGAGCTGAGATCGCGCCACTGCACTCCAGCCTGGGCGACAGAGTGAGACTCCGTCTCAAAAAAAACAAAACAAACAAACAAACAAAAAACAAAAAACAAAAAACTATTGGTGAAGTCTAGCATCTTTCCAGATATTTACTGATCATTGTATTTTTTTTCCTATGAATTGACTGTTCATATTATCGGAGCATTTTTGTTAGGTTATCGTAGCATGAAGGCCAGGCTTCTTTCTTGCTTGCTTTTTTTTTTTTTTAACTGTCAGTTTCTTATAATCATGGTATGTTTTACTTTGCATCATATTTGTAACATTTATTGTACAGCTCTTTGTTTTTCCTGGAGTTTCTTTATCTTTTGTTGTTTTTGATTTTGTCTGCCTTCCAATCCATCTCCTGGGGTTTCTACTTGCCTCTTTTTCTTGAATGTCTTTATCAATTGTATCCAGCCTCTCTGTGGTACATCGTGTATTGCACGGAGTCCCTTTTCTTCCAGAGATCTTCCTTGGGAGCCTTTTCCTCCCGCGCGTCCCGTCTCTCCACGCCGCCTTTTGCTCCCGCGCGTCCCGTCTCTCCACGCCGCCTTTTCCTCCCGCGCGTCCCGTCGCTCCACGCCGCCTTTTCCTCCCGCGCGTCCCGTCTCTCCACGCCGCCTTTTCCTCCCGCGCGTCCCGTCTCTCCACGCCGCCTTTTCCTCCCGCGCGTCCCGTCTCTCCACGCCGCCTTTTCCTCCCGCGCGTCCCGTCTCTCCACGCCGCCTTTTCCTCCCGCGCGTCCCGTCTCTCCACGCCGCCTTTTCCTCCCGCGCGTCCCGTCTCCCCGCCGCCTTTTCCTCCCGCGCGTCCCGTCTCCGCGCCGCCTTTTCCTCCCGCGCGTCCCGTGTCCATGTCTCCTCCTTGTAACATCTGGAGAGATTTCCTTCACTTTGTGCCTTTTTCTCCATCGATTGATTTCTTTGTTTTACGTTTAACAATTAAAGTCTTAATTTCTAAGAGTGTTTTGTTTCCTCTTTATTTTTTATTCACAGCATCCCTTCCGTGTTTTTATGTTCTTGAGGATTTCAATTAGGTTTTCCTTCTCCCTGAGTTCTCATCTGTTCCCTAATTATCTCTTGTTTCCTAAAGGGTCCATTTTTGTTTTTTAATCGTTATTCTCCTCTTACTCCTCTGTGAGTAAATCTCTGTGGTTATTCATTCGTATTAAAGACCAAGGAACTGAATTGATTTTTCTTGATGGATGAGATGGGTCTGTATAATAGTAGCTACATCCATTGCCCACTCACACATTCTATCATTAACTCATTTAATCTGCACAGTAGCCCTATAGGGCAGAGCTTCTCTCATTGCCATTTTACAGAATAGATGACTGAGGACCAGAGAGGTTAAGAAATTATCTCCAGGACACACAGCCAGTGGGTGGCGGAACAGATAAAAACCACAAAGTCTGGCTCTAGAGCTTAGTTCTGTGCCTCTTTGCATGGGGAGGTCTCTCGGAAAACAGCGTGAAAAATCTACCTGGTTTCTCATGTTACACTAGAGCAAATTTTCTTTTTGACAGTATTCCTTTATGGTTCTATTTTTTCATGCCACTCCTCAAGATTAATAAATATGTTCAACTGTGGGCCAGGTGCAGTGGCTTATGCCTGAAATCCCAGCACTTTGGGAGGCTGAGGCAGGCAGATCACCTGAGGTCAGGAGTTCAAGACCAGACTGGCCAACATGAAGAAACCCCGTCTCTACTAGCCAGGCGTGGTGGTGTGAGCCTGTAGTCCCAGCTACTCGGGAGGCTGAGGCACAAGAATCACTTGAACCCAGGAGGCAGAGGTTGCAGTGAACTGAAATCGCACCATTGCGCTCCAGCCTGGGTGACAGAGTGAGGCTCCATCTCAAATGTGTGTGTGTGTGTGTGTGTGTGTGTGTGTGTGTGTGAGTATTCAACTGTGATTTCCTTTAGATGTTTATGATTTCAAAATATTAAACATTTGGCTGAGTGCAGTGGCTCATGCTTGTAATCCCAGCATTTTGGGAGGCCAAGGTAGGAGGATTACTTGAGGCTGGGAGTTCAAGACCAGCCTGGGCAATGTAGTGAGACCCACTGCCCCCAAACCCCCCACCGCACGTCTCTACAAAAAATAGAAAATTAGTTGGGCGTGGTGGTTTGGGCCTGTAGTCCTAGCTACTTGGGAGGCTGAGGTAGGAGGATCGCTGGAGCCTGGGAGGTGGAGGCTATAGTGAGCCATAATCTCACCATTGCACTCCAGCCCGAGTGACAGAGATCCTGTCACAAAAACCCTTAAACCTTCAAATCCCTGACTTGTAAGGAATTTGTTTTGCTGCAAGGGGCAGAGGAAGGAAGGCTGTTTGTTTGTTTTCCAAATGGCACCCAGTTGTCCCCAAACCATTGATTGACTAACCATCCCCATCACCATTCTTAACTTGAAATGCCTTCTTCGTCATACACCAAATTCCATTCTTTGCTTATATATTGTCTTCTCATGGATTCTGACAATTCCAGTACCAGCCCCTTGCTGTGCTGGGTATTATTGCTTTATGCCTTGCTGTAGGGTGGGGCTAGCTGCTGTCCATCACTCTTCTTTTCTACTTTTTTAATGGTTATTTACATATGTTTATTCTTTCAGATGAATGTCAGAATCATTTTGTCAAATTGCCAAAAATTCTGTGAGACTAGCTGGGTGTGGTGGCTCACGCCTGTAATCCCAGCACTTTGGGAGGCCGAGGTGGGCGGATCATGAGGTCAGGAGTTCGAGACCAGCCTGGCCAGCATGGTGAAACCCCGTCTTTACTAAATATACAAAAATTAGCCAGGCGTGGTGGCGCGCACCTGTAATCCCAGCTACTCAGGAGGCTGAGGCAGGAGAATCACTTAAACCCGGAAGGTGGAGGTTGTAGTGAGCCAAGATCATGCCATTGCACTCCAGCCTGGGTGACAGAGCAAGACTCTGTCTGAAAAAAAAAAAAAAAATTCTGTGGGACTTGGCTTAAGATTGTATAAGTAAAATGATACATTATTTCCAAGAAAATCACCATAACAAACGACCACAGCTTAGTGGCTTCAAACAATCAAATTATTACCTCCCAGTTCTGCAGGCCACAAGTCCTAGATGAGTCCCACTGGGTGAAAACTAAGGGGTTAGCAGGGCTGGGCTCCTTCTGGAGGCTCCAGGGGATAATTCACTTTCAGCTTCTCCTTGGTGCACGGCTGCTCCTCCCCCTGCAGAGCTTGCAGCGTGGGGCTGAGTCCTTCTGAGTGAGTCCTGAGTCCTTCTGATTCCTTCTGAGTCAGGCCAGCTCCCAGCTGCTCCCTGTCCCCACAGAGGGACCCTTGTGATTACACCAGAAAAACCCAGATAACCCAAGATAATCTCCCCGTCTTAAAGTCAGCTGATTAGCAGCCTTAATACCATCTGCCTTGTGAGATAAAATTCCTTTGCCAGGTAAGAACGTGGTCACAGGCTCCAAGAATGAGCACGTGGACGTCTTTGCGGCCCATCGCTCTGACTACAAATACATCCTCCGTTTTCTTATGGGAGAACGAGGTTCTCCCTGCAAGTCTTTCATGCTCCTTGGTAGTTTTATAGTTTTCTTCATTTAGGCCCCACAGATGCCTTGTGAGTTTCAGTCTCGTTATGGTATAACTTGTGCTGGTGTCTGCGGGTGACCGATACTTTCTCATGCCATGTTTCCCCGCAGCTTTGCCGCACACGGAAAAGCCAGTTCTGCTGGATGCTCGTTTTGTATCCACTTGAGCACTCGATTGATTTATCCACCCAGGCTTTCAGTTGTTTTATTTTGATTTTCCAGGTACATAATCATGTTTTCTAAAAGAGTCATTTTTTTCTTTGCAAATGTATACTATTTATACTTCATATTTCTCTTGCTTATTTGCAAGGAATTCCAGAACCGTGTTAAATACCAGTTGTCGTGAGCTACAATAGGAATGCTTTTGGGATTTCACCACTGACCATGAGCCTGACTTTTGGTTTAAGATAGTTCATGTATTTCTCATATTATGGAAAGCAGGTGATTTTAAACACAAAATAACCCATCGTGCCGTTTCCACGGGGAGAAACCGAGGCCACTCGTAACAGACACTGTCTGGAGCGTGTGTTGGAGCCTGTGGCCTTGCCTGTGTGTGTGTGTGTGCGCCCACGTGCAGGTGCGGTTCGTCTGGGAGCCTGTGGCCTCCCCTGTGTGGGGGTGTGTGTGTGTGTGCGCGCGCCCACGTGTGGGTGCGGTTCATCTGGGAGCCTGTGGCCTCCCCTGTGTGTGTGTGGGTGTGTGTGCGCCCACGTGCAGGTGCGGTTCGTCTGGGAGCCTGTGGCCTCCCCTGTGTGGGGGTGTGTGTGTGTGTGCGCGCGCCCACGTGTGGGTGCGGTTCATCTGGGAGCCTGTGGCCTCCCCTGTGTGTGTGTGTGTGTGTGTGCGTGCCCACGTGCGGGTGCGGTTCATCTGGGTGTGAGCACCTGTGCCCCGCTCACCTGCAGGGCCTGCCCCGCCTGTTCTGTGTCTTTCCTACCCGCTTCTGTCCTGCTGCACCCACCCTGTCAGAGGCAGGGCGCTGCCCGCAGTGCCCCAGACTTCCCCTTCCTCCCCAGGATCAACGGCCACCCCGGGAAGTCCACGCGCCTGGCGGGCTTGTGGAAGCTGGAAGAGGTCAGTCACCCCCAGGCTTCATGCCCTGTCCCTGAGCCACTGCTCCCCTGACCGTCCCCCAGGACCCCTCCCTGATCTCCTCCTGTCTGGCCCCGCAGTGCCACGCCAGCGGCTGCATGATGGACCTCTTCGTGCAGATGGCCATCATCATGGGCCTGAAGCAGACGCTCAGCAACTGCGTCGAGTACCTGGTCCCGTGAGTGCCGACCCCCGCCCAGCCCCGGGAGCCCCAGGCCCCTCCGCCCCCTGCGCCCTCCCTGCCACGCAGCTCTCCCCGCAGGTGGGTGACCCACAAGTGCCGCTCTCTGCGGGCCTCCGAGTCCGGGCACCTGCCCCGGGACCCCGAGCTCAGGGACTGGCGGCGCAACTACCTTCTGAACCCGGTCAACACCTTCAGCCTGTTCGACGAGTTCATGGAGATGAGTGCGTGGGCGCTGCGGGGCGGGGGTTCGCGGAGACGAATGCGGGGCGGGGGTCCGCGGACATGAGTGCGGGGCGCCGGTGAGCCTGACCCCCACCGCGCAGTGATCCAGTACGGCTTCACCACCATCTTCGTGGCCGCCTTCCCGCTGGCGCCGCTGCTCGCGCTCTTCAGCAACCTCGTGGAGATCCGCCTGGACGCCATCAAGATGGTCTGGTTGCAGCGGCGCCTGGTGCCGCGCAAGGCCAAGGACATCGGTCAGACCGGGCGGGCGCAGGATGGGCGGGAACTGGGCGGCCTCAGGCCTGTGGGCTTCCCGCTGGCCAGGCCGGCTCACCTGGAAAAAATAATCTCTCGGATCTCAGGCCGCAGACAGCCCCCAGCCCTTCTCCGACGGCCTCGGATGCGGGTTGAGCCTGGGTGGGAGGGTACCAGGAGTGGGCGGGGCCGAGCGCTTTGTAGGCTCCTCCCACAAACCGTCAGGATCTCAGAGGGGCTTGACGCCCCCAAGGGGGACCCAGGTTCTGCCAGTGGCTGGGGCTGGAACAGAGCAGCCGGCCTCTGTCCCAAGACTGGCCACGCTGAGACGGACAGGCAGCAGGGGAGCGACGGGAGCTGGGGCGCTGGATGTGGGGAAAGGGAGAGAGGTGTTAGGGAGGCCCCCAGTCTCGGGCCCAGGTTACAAGGTCTTACCCTGGGGTGGGAACCCAGGAGGTGGAGTGGCTGGGGGGCACAGCTGAGAAGTTCAGGAAGATGGAGGATGAGGATTCCCAGGTTCCTCCCTGTCCATGTCAGGGTGAGGGGTGCAGGAGCGCAGAGGCCATGCTCTGCCATGGCTGGGGACTTCCTTGTGAATACTGCAGCCCTAGGGCTGCAAGGGGACACCACGCACAGAGACACGGCAGGCCCCGTGTTGGCCGGGGGTGGGGGTGAGGGCAGAACCAGCCGAGGGACGCTGAGTCAGACCGCTTGCCCACTGCTCTGGTGCAGGGACCTGGCTGCAGGTGCTGGAGACCATCGGTGTGCTGGCGGTCATTGCCAATGGGATGGTCATTGCCTTCACATCTGAGTTCATCCCCCGAGTGGTCTACAAGTACCGCTATAGCCCATGCCTGAAAGAAGGCAACTCTACTGTCGAGTAAGGCCTCAGGGTGTCTGGAGACCCCTGGGAGAAACTGGCCCTACCACAGCCAAGCCCTGGGGGATCCAGACCCTTTCTCCTGGGAATGGCTGGACCTGTTGGTACCCCTGGGGCTTTAGTGAGGCTGGGGCCTGGGGGTGGCCCCTGCCCTGCGCCCACTGACGGCAGGCCCTGGGCTGGAGGTCAGGGATAACTGGCCAGGACCGCAGTTGGGGGTGAAGTTCCCAGACCTGGCTGCCTCCTGAGTAGGCCCTGCCAGAACGGCTCCCTCCCGATGTGAGGTTCCGCATGTCCTCTTCTGATTTATCCAGCTCTCTGACCTCGAGGAGCCACCAAACTGCAGACTGGGTCCCCAGGGCCAGTCTCTGGCAGGGAAAGTGGCTGGTGATGCCCAGAGTCCCCACAGTCCCCACAAGGCCCCCGGATGTGAAGATGTGCTTGGCCCGGGAGCCCCGTCCCACTGGACGCAGTCTGTGGCGTGGCCCCCACCTCACTGTTTGCTCCACAACGCAGGCTAGAAGCACTCTGGGGCCTGAAGGGGCCGCCCTGGAAGCCCACCCCACCCCACACTCCTCTCCCCTCTCCCCAGCTGCCTCAAGGGCTACGTCAACCACAGCCTGTCCGTCTTCCACACCAAGGACTTCCAGGACCCTGATGGGATTGAGGGCTCAGAAAACGTGACTCTGTGCAGGTTTGGAACTCCCCATCCCCCAAGAATGCCCTCTGAACTCCTGACCCCTGACCTCAGGTACTTCCTTACCCCAGATACAGGGACTACCGCAATCCCCCCGATTACAACTTCTCCGAGCAGTTCTGGTTCCTCCTGGCCATCCGCCTGGCCTTCGTCATCCTCTTTGAGGTGAGCCAGAACCGGGAGAGGCCTCGGAGTGGGTCTGGGCAGTGCTCTCCCCAGTCCTTCTCCCCGGCCCTGAACCCCCAAATGCCAGCTGGCACCTGACCGTGCTGGGCCTCTCCTGTGCTGCCGCTAGCACGTGGCCTTGTGCATCAAGCTCATCGCCGCCTGGTTCGTGCCCGACATCCCTCAGTCGGTGAAGAACAAGGTTCTGGAGGTGAAGTACCAGAGGCTGCGTGAGAAGATGTGGCATGGAAGGCAGAGGCTGGGTGGGGTGGGGGCAGGCTCTCGGCCCCCAATGCCTGCCCATCCCACCCCAGCATCCATCTTCAGTGCCAGGAGCACAGACGTGTAGGGCCAGAGCCCGTCCAGAGGCCACCAGGAGCTGAGACAGTGCCACCACCAGCACCTCCCACAAGCCCACCGCTGTGCGTGTTGAGGGGTGCTGTGAGAAGGCTGTGCCCATGTGGGGCCGCAGGAATCCCCTGTATGTTCAGGGCTGTGAGCTGCCACCCTATTCCGCCTGCTCCGTCTTTGTGGGGGCTCTCAGGCTTGGCACAGCCCTGACTTGAACTCTGGGTGACCCTGGGCACCCACAGAACTGGGAGTGAGGGCTCCTCAGGCAGCCACAAGGCAGGAAAACTGGCGCAAATTTCCTGGGCCTCCCTCTGACTTCTGGGCGCCAGATCCTGCCGTGCCCCCATCCTGGCTGTTGGGGGTGTCCTGAGCCCACCTCGCTGGCCTGTTCCCTTCAGCCAACCCGTTTCTGCAGTAAAATTAAGCCTGTCTGTCTTGCTTTCCTGGCCTCGCTGGGTCCCGGGTGGATTATATCTGCCCTCAGGGCTAGATGGGAAACAGACCCGGAGTGTGGAACGTCTGGAACCAGGTGAGGCCGCCTCAGGCCGCCTGTCCCTTCTCCAGTTTTCCATGGGCTTCCAAGGGAGGGGCGCCTATGGGGTCCTCTCCCCGTCCCTGCACCTGGGGTGTTGAGGGAGGCAAGAGAAGACATCGGGGCCACTTGAGGGTGGGGTGGGGGTCAAGGCAGGCTTCCTGGAGGAAAGGGAAGAGATAGGGGCGGACGCGCAAAACCTTGAGGGCGGTGGACGCTCCGAAGAGTCCCCAAGGCTCTGGGGCTCCGGGGCTCTGCGCGCTGGTTGGGCTGGTTTGGCCACTGGCCCCAGGCCCGTGCGGCAGCGGCTCCCGGGCAGCAGCGCAGCCTCCAGCGCCAGCCTTGGGCGCAGAGCGGGACGCTGGGGTCCGCCCCCGCCCTGACTGCGGGGCGGGGCCGCACCTGCTGCCGCTGCCGGGGCTACGCCGCCGCCGGGGCTGTTGCCGCTGCGCACCTGGCTCAGGTGAGCTGCCCCGCCCCCGCCCGGCGCGAGCCCCAGGTCCTGGCAGCAGGTGAGTGGCGGTCGCCATCAGACCCGCGAAGGTGAGTGGAGGTCGCAGTCCTCCCAGAGCCGCTGCAGGCCTGGAGTCGGGGCCCGGGGCGCTGCTTGTCCCTGGGCGCGGTCTCTCAGGAAATGGCTCGGGGCCGGGGAGGTTCCCGCGTCGCCCGGAAGCCCGAGCTCGCCCGCGTCCTGGCCCTTTCCAGGGCTGGGGGAAGGGAGGAAAGTGGGCGAAGGGGGCGGGGGCCACCCTTTCCTCTGCCCGACGTGGTCAGCGGCTTTTTGGTGACCCTCGCGCAGAACAGAGCGGGGCTAGGAGCGCCGAGGCGCGCAGGGATCCCACCTCGGTCGCCCAAGCCTGGATCCCAGCTCGAGGCTTCCTGAGGCGCCGAGGGCGGACCAAGAGTCAGGCTGGGGCCCGAGCTCGCCCGGCGCCGGGTGGAGCTTCCGCCATCCGCGCGCCTCTGCCCCGGCCGAGCGCCCCGAGCCGCACCCCCGTGCCCGCCTCCCGCGCGCGTCCTCGTTCTCCGCCCTCCTCACTTGGAGGGCGCCCAGGGCGCAGGTGGGCGCGGGGTAGGGGAGCGAACCAGAGCCCCTCGGCCTGCGGGGCCGCAGCCTTTTACCCACGTTCCTGCTTCAGGACAGGCGCTGGGGGCCCAGCGCGCACGGGGAGCGGAGGGGCGGCGCGTCCGAGCTGAGCGGGAGTCGCCCGCAGGGTGCTGGGTGCTGAGCGTCGAACCCACCGGGCAGGGGCGGCCGCGGACCGAGGACGCTGGCTGGGTCTGAGGGCGGGAGGAGCTGGCGCTTTCTAAGAACCTCAAGGTGCCCAGCAGAGTGCGGTGGGCAGTGCGAGGCGACCAGGGCCAGGCTTGGACTGAGATTCTGGGCGCCTCGGAAGAGCTGTGCGGGCGAGGGTCGGAGACTTTGTGGGTGTTCATGCTCACCCTGGACGGTGGACCTGGGGGCTCGGGGGTGCAGGACGTTAGCAGAGAGAGGGAAGGAGAGGGTGCCAAGCCAGCCCTGAGAGATGGTGACGCTGAGACCGGGTGCACAGAGCAGCCGCCGAGCCGGGGCTTCACAGTTGGCGGCTGACCCCAGGGCCTGTGCTGGAGGCCCTGCTCCTGCTTCCTGCGGGGGTGCCCTGGGCCCTGCTGTGCCTGCTTCCTGACCTGCAGTGTGGGGAGAACCTTCTTGAGGGGCTTCCAAGGACCCACTTCAAGGAGGGGCTGGTACCAGGCTCTGTGGGGGAAGGGGTGCTGTCTTTGGGACCCTGAGCCCAAGGCCCACCATCACCCAAGGCTGAGTACCGGGACAAAGGAAGGTCCTAGCAGGGCTGGGACTCAGTCAGACAAGTACCTGTAGAAAGCCTGCTGCTGAGAGGGTGCTCAGCCAGGGCCGGGAGGCTGGATGGCAGCCCTCCACAATGAAGCCCTGCCCCCATGTGGCTGAGGGCAGGGCCAGGGTCCAAAGGAGACCCTTGTCTGATTCTGTGGGCAATACCAGCCACCGGTCACTGGGTCCCCAGTCCCAGGTCAACCTGGGGAGTGTCAGTTTGGTGACAACAGGAGATGCCATCTGCCCCTCATCTGCTCTGAGCCAGGAGCCTCGGCCACCTGTGTTTGCTCCTTATTTGGAAAAGGGGGCGCTGCCCTCCCACCCCAGCCTGAAGGGAAGGTCCACAAGATGCCATAGTCCCTTGTAACTGCTCACCCATCGGGGGAGCTATGTCTGGGAGAGGGACGGGGAGAGGGCGGAAGAGTTCTGCTGGAGCCCCATTGTTGACCGGGAGTTTCTGAAGGCCCTGTTCCCCGGGGTCAGAGGTCAAAGACACATGGGGGAGCAAACCGGCCCCTTGGCTCCTGAGTGTGAGCTCTAGTAGCGTCTGGAAGGCATGCCGCGCGGTCCCCGGTCCTCCTTGTATGTGTGCAGGGTGGCCCTGGCGGGGGTCTCCTGGCTGGAGGACCCCCCATGCATTACCCCTGGAACCTGCCCCTTTGAGCACCCCCCACCCCACAACACACACGCACACACACAAACGCACGCACACGCACATACTGCACACACATTGCACACACGCAGACACACTGCACACACACACACACACACACACACACACACACACACACACACGCTGCACAGAGGAAAGTGCCGTGCCTGGGTGGGTTGGGGCGGGCTCCAGAGGAAGGAGCCGCTTGACTCAGAGCTACAGGAAGAGCCGGGGCAGGCGGGGTGAGAACCACCAACTGCCCGTCCTCCCGCCCGCCTAGGGAAGGGGTGGGTGCCTGGGTGGGGTTTAGGGTTAGGAGAGGATGTGACTGCAAGGCCAGGAAGCTACAGGGAAAGTTCTGATCAAAATACACAAAGACACAAGCCAGGTCCCCACCGCGCTTGGCGATGCATCCATAGCAGCCTTGGTGCTGTGGACACTCCCTGGGGCCCAGCGAAGGGGAGAGTTTGCTCCCAAAGGCGCACCAATGACCAACATTTGCCCCCCGGAGGAAAGAACTGGAACCAGGTGACTGCCTTCCCCGCTGCTCTGAGTGAGCCTGTGTCAGGGCCTGGCTGAGAGGAGGCCCACGGCGCCCAAGACCCATATGCATGTGTGTGCATGTGTGTGTGAGACAGAGCGAGGGGCAGCAGGAGGCTGTGTCGCATCAGCGGCCAAGGGTGGGTGTCAGGTGCAGTGTGTGTGCTGTGGGGTGCCTGTGGTCCTAGGCTCTGTGACAAGCGTTGCAATGGGTGTTGTATATACTCAACAGTTGTGTGAGGGGTCTGCAGCCTAAGCTGTGTGCAGTGGTAATGGGAGGTGTGTGTGGTAGGAAGTGTGCTGTGTAGGAGGTGCAAGTGTGCACACGGGCTGAGACTGAAGCTCTGTGCAGGTGCACATGGGCCAGAGGGCTGTGTGTATGTGATGTGTGCAGGGGAGGAGGGGCAGAGGAGAGGGTGCAGGGGAAGTTAGGGAGGGGAGGGGGTACAAGGAAAGGTGTGCAGGGGAGAGGGTGCAGGGAAAGGTGGGGAGGGGAGAGGGTGCAGGGGAAGGTAGGCAGAGGAGAGGGTGCAGGGGAGAGGGTGCAGGGGAAGGTGTGCAGGGAAAGGTGGGGAGGGGAGAGGGTGCAGGGGAAGGTAGGCAGAGGAGAGGGTGCAGGGGAAGGTGTGCAGGGGAGAGGGTGCAGGGAAAGGTGGGGAGGGGAGAGGGTGCAGGGGAAGGTAGGCAGAGGAGAGGGTGCAGGGGAAGGTGTGCAGGGAAAGGTGGGGAGGGAGAGGGTGCAGGGGAAGGTAGGCAGAGGAGAGAGTGCAGGGGAAGGTGTGCAGGGGAGAGGGTGCAGGGAAAGGTGGGGAGGGGAGAGGGTGCAGGGGAAGGTAGGCAGACGAGAGTACAGGGAAAGGTAGGGAGGAGAGAAGGTGCAGGAGGAGGCAGGCAGAAGAGAGGGTGCAGGGGAAGGTGGGGAGGGGAGAGGGTGCAGGGGGAGGCAGGCAGAGGAGAGGGTTCAGGGGAGAGGGTGCAGGGGAAGGTGGGCAGGGGAAGGTGGGGAGTGGAGAGCGTGCAGGGGGAGGCAGGCAGAGGAGAGGGTGCAGGGGAAGGTGCGTAGGGGAGAGGGAGCAGGGGAGAGGGTGCGGGAAGAGGGTGCAGGGGAGGGTTTGCAGGGAGAGGGTGCAGGGGAGAGGGTGCAAGGAGAGGCAGGCAGCGGAGAGGGTGCAGAGGAGGGTTTGCAGGGGAGGGCACCTGCTTTCTTGCTGTGCTCGTATCCTGGCAGTCTGCCCTTGACTTCCAGAAGGCTCTGAGGCTGCTTTTGGAGGGAGGACTTTGAGGTCTGAGCTTGGGGCGGTCACGGAAGCACTGCAGGAGATGCCAGGGGTTCTGCTGGGCTGGCGGTGTGACCTCCCGGGCTTGCTGTGAGGGGTTGGTTTCCTGGGAAGTGTGTGCTTTAAGGACCCTCAGTGGGTGGTTCCCCTGGGTCAAGGACTTTCCTTGGAGTGTCCTCCACCGCAAAGGACTTCTTCAAGGACCCCCTGGCCATCCCCCATGGGTGTGTGCCTCATGCTGTATCGGTTCCCGAGGAAACTGCCAAACAGTCAAACCTGGGGCCTCTGGCTGTGCTTCACCCATGGAGAGGGAATAGGTGGCAGGCTAAGAGGACTGTCCCTGCCACTGCCTCTGGGGCCTTAGCGGGGAGGAATCCTGAGGGAGCTGGGGTGCAGAAACTTAGGCTTGATCCCCACATCCCCACTTCCACTGTGTCCCTGCAGCAGGGAGGGGAGTAGACAGTCAGTGCCTGTTGGATAAACAGGGTGACCCTGTGGCATCCAGTGAGGAGAGGCCCCTGGGGCCCTGGGCTGCCAAGGAAGAGGCTCTGGGCTTCTCCCTGCAGCCACCTCACTGAGGAGCTTTGGGAGACTTGAGGTGTGTGTGGCTGCTGCTACGGGCTGGGAAAGGACATGGGACCCGAGACCTCCATCCCCACCGGGCGCTGTTCACCCTCCGGCCTCACAACCGCAGGGCGAGGCTAAGCTGAGGGTTCCCGAGGTGTTTCCCGAGGTGTTTCGAGGTGTCTGTGCTCACGTGCACTCCTGACTGTAACCAGACGTGGGCCAGAGCTGGGCACCCCCCCTCGACTGCATCCAGACATGGTTAGAGCTGGGCACCCCCCCCCCCCGACTGTATCCAGACATGGTCAGAGCTGAGCACCCCTCCCCGACTGTATCCAGACATGTTCAGAGCTGGGCACCCCCCCCCGACTGTATCCAGACATGTTCAGAGCTGGGCACCCCCCCCCGACTGTATCCAGACATGGTCAGAGCTGGGCACCCCCCCCCGACTGTATCCAGACATGGTCAGAGCTGGGCACCCCCCGACTGCATCCAGACATGGTCAGAGCTGAGCACCCCCCCCCGCCCGACTGTATCCAGACATGGTCAGAGCTGGGCACCCCCCGACTGCATCCAGACATGGTCAGAGCTGGGCACCCCCCTCCCCGACTGCATTCAGACATGGTCAGAGCTGGGCACCCCCGCCGACTGCATCCAGACATGGTCAGAGTTGGGCACCCCCCCCCCGACTGTATCCAGACATGGTCAGAGCTGGGCACCCCCCGACTGCATCCAGACATGGTCAGAGCTGGGCACCCCTCCCCGACTGTATCCAGACATGGTCAGAGCTGGGCACCCCCCCCCGACTGTATCCAGACATGGTCAGAGCTGGGCACCTCCCCCCGACTGTATCCAGACATGGTCAGAGCTGGGCACCTCCCCCGACTGCATCCAGACATGGTCAGAGCTGGGCACCCCCCCCGACTGCATCCAGACATGGTCAGAGCTGGGCACCCCCCCCCCCCACTGTATCCAGACATGGTCAGAGCTGGGCACCCCCCTCCCCGACTGCATCCAGACATGGTCAGAGCTGAGCACCCCCCCCCCCCGACTGTATCCAGACATGGTCAGAGCTGGGCACCCCCCTCCCCGACTGTATCCAGACATGGTCAGAGCTGAGCCCCCCCCCCGCCCGACTGTATCCAGACATGGTCAGAGCTGGGCACCCCCCGACTGCATCCAGACATGGTCAGAGCTGAGCACCCCTCCCCGACTGCATCCAGACATGGTCAGAGCTGGGCACCCCCCCCCCCCACCGACTGTATCCAGACATGGTCAGAGCTGGGCAACCCCCACCGACTGTATCCAGACATGGTCAGAGCTGGGCACCCCCCGACTGCATCCAGACATGGTCAGAGCTGGGCACCCCCCGCCGACTGTATCCAGACATGGTCAGAGCTGGGCACCCCCCTCCCCGACTGCATCCAGACATGGTCAGAGCTGGGCACCCCCCTCCCCGACTGCATCCAGACATGGTCAGAGCTGGGCACCCCTCCCCGACTGTATCCAGACATGGTCAGAGCTGGGCACCCCCCTCCCCGACTGTATCCAGACATGGTCAGAGCTGGGCACCCCCGCCGACTGTATCCAGACATGGTCAGAGCTGGGCACCCCCCGACTGCATCCAGACATGGTCAGAGCTGGGCACCCCTCCCCGACTGTATCCAGACATGGTCAGAGCTGGGCACCCCCCCCCCCCGACTGTATCCAGACATGGTCAGAGCTGAGCACCCCTCCCCGACTGTATCCAGACATGTTCAGAGCTGGGCACCCCCCCCCCCGACTGTATCCAGACATGGTCAGAGCTGGGCACCCCCCTCCCCGACTGCATCCAGACATGGTCAGAGCTGAGCACCCCCCCCGCCCGACTGCATCCAGACATGGTCAGAGCTGGGCACCCCCCGACTGCATCCAGACATGGTCAGAGCTGGGCACCCCCCTCCCCGACTGCATTCAGACATGGTCAGAGCTGGGCACCCCCCTCCCCGACTGCATCCAGACATGGTCAGAGCTGGGCACCCCCGCCGACTGTATCCAGACATGGTCAGAGCTGGGCACCCCCCTCCCCGACTGTATCCAGACATGGTCAGAGCTGGGCACCCCCGCCGACTGTATCCAGACATGGTCAGAGCTGGGCACCCCCCTCCCCGACTGCATCCAGACATGTTCAGAGCTGGGCACCCCCCCCCGACTGTATCCAGACATGGTCAGAGCTGGGCACCCCCCGACTGCATCCAGACATGGTCAGAGCTGGGCAACCCCCTCCCTGACTGCATCCAGACATGGTCAGAGCTGGGCACCCCCCCCGGCTGTATCCAGACATGGTCAGAGCTGGGCACCCCCCCCCCCCGACTGCATCCAGACATGGTCAGAGCTAAGCAAAGCCCCCCGCCGACTGTATCCAGACATGGTCAGAGCTGGGCACCCCCACCCCAACTGCATCCAGACATGGTCAGAGCTGAGCACCCCCCACCGACTGTATCCAGACATGGTCAGAGCTGGGCATCTCCCATGGTGTAGGTTACATCACTCACACCCCTGCCCCAAGGCCAGGCTGTGTCTCTGGCACTGCAGCACCCCCTGCAGTGGCAGCTCTGTTGAAGGGGACAGCCAGGAGTGAGGCCAACTGCCATGTCGGGAGACAGGGTCCCACCTAGTGTTCGTCCACTGCACCCTGGGGCCGTCATGGTGGCCCCAGGGCCGGTGGAGGTGATCCTGGACTTGATGGCCCCTCCCCGTGGTCCTGGGCTGCGTGAAGTGGTGCCCATTCTGGCCACGTGTGAGGGGCTCAAAGAGACACCCTGCTGGCCTCCGAGAACTCTGCCAGCATCCATGCGGCTGCTCAGGGTCGCATCTGGTCAGGGCCAGTGCTGTCTGTGGCCGGCAGTTACTGGTTAACTCATCCTGTTCCTGTTTAACTTGTTCCCTGGGGATGGCGGCAGCCTCTGACCTGTCCAGGTGCCCTGTCCAGCTGACTGCAAGGACAGAGAGGAGTCCTGCCCAGCTCTTGGATCAGTCTGCTGGCCGAGGAGCCCGGTGGAGCCAGGGGTGACCCTGGAGCCCAGCCTGCCCCGAGGAGGCCCCGGCTCAGAGCCATGCCAGGTAGGCAGGTCAGAGAGGGATGGGCTTGAATTCCCCACTCCCACCTCCTGCCCCTCAGGCTGGCTCCACATTGTGCATCCTGCTCTTATCCCAGGCACTCTGCCTGGCCACATGCCGGGGGTACAAAGGCCCCTGCTCACCCCTCCCACTGGGCCCTTGGCCCTGAAACCAGGGCGAGTGGTGAGGATGAGCCCTGCACCCTCTCCTGCCCCAGACCAGGCTCATGAGGGTCAGTAAAGCCCAGGAATGCTAGGAGTGGGCACTGCTGGGGCCCACAGCAGGGTGTGGCCGATGTGAGCTGGCAGGAGACCATACCCTACTGAGAAGATGGTGGTTTGACCTCCCGCTAGGGCTCATCACCCTGATGTAAAGATGAACAAGTTCAGGCCTCAGGTGGTGGGGAGGGCTTGCCTGTGGCCAGGAGCAGAGGGCCCCAAGACCCCCAAGGCAGGAATGAGGCCAACTGCTCCAGGCTCCCAGCTGTGCCCATCCAGGTGGAAGGTGCTGGCACACTGGGCATCTGGGTCCCCAAACCCACTGGTGCCCACACTCTCTGCAGATTCCCCAGCAGAGGCAGGCCAGGCTGAGGGGTGCAGTGCCCGGCCCCTCCTATGAGACAGGCATCATGGTGTCACCAGGGGTGGGCAACAGGTGCATCTGGGAAATGGGGGGCTGGACTCACATCCTGGGTGGACAAGCAGCCAGATGGGGCTTGAGCGTGGGCCTGGGGCAGCTCAACTGTGGCCACTGCTCTCTGTCCCCTCAGCACAGGGTGGGCGGAACACCCAAAGCCTGGCCACTACTGGGGAAAGACGTGCCAAGTGCTAAGCCTGTCCCCATGGGACTCGTGGACAGACATGGTGTGACTGCCAAGCCACACAGAGGCCTTATTTCTTCCTGCACCACGGACCACTGTGGAGGTGGTGGGGCCAGGCACCCTGGCACAGCTGACCCACTGTGTCCTCTCTCTTCAGGTGTCTGTGATAGGGCCCCTGACTTCCTCTCCCCGTCTGAAGACCAGGTGCTGAGGCCTGCCTTGGGCAGCTCAGTGGCTCTGAACTGCACGGCTTGGGTAGTCTCTGGGCCCCACTGCTCCCTGCCTTCAGTCCAGTGGCTGAAAGACGGGCTTCCATTGGGAATTGGGGGCCACTACAGCCTCCACGAGTACTCCTGGTAAGAGACCCGGGTATCCAGGGTCAGAGTGACCTCTCAGACATGCCAAGGGCAGTGGTCTCCCTGACCTATGCCTGGGTCTGTAACCACCTGGCCAGACATGTCACGAGCAGAGTGCCTCTGTGGACCCAGACGGAGGGTCAGTAATGTCAGGGACAGACCCTTGGGTCTGCATGGCCCCTGTAGGCACACACCTCGTAACTGCCCAGGGCTACGGGTGTCAGCAAAGTCTAGGGTCTGAATGAACACCGACCAGCTGGCCAAGTCTGTGATCAAAGGACCTCCAGGCCCCAGACCCAGGACTGGGACGGCTGTTCTGAAACAAATCTGCATCCCCTCCAGGTTCAGGTCACTTCTCTTGGCTTAAGGCCCAAGAACCACCCAGGAGGCCCAATTCTGCAGCCTCCCTGGGTGAACCCAGACAGGTGGGGTTCGGGGGTGTCCACTGGTATCCCCAGTCGACCCTGACCCTGGCTTGGTATCCCCAGGGTCAAGGCCAACCTGTCAGAGGTGCTTGTGTCCAGTGTCCTGGGGGTCAACGTGACCAGCACTGAAGTCTATGGGGCCTTCACCTGCTCCATCCAGAACATCAGCTTCTCCTCCTTCACTCTTCAGAGAGCTGGTGATGGGGGTTCCCCAAGGTGGAGGGTAGAAGGGGACCTAGACCTAGTGAGGCCCAGGGATCTTGAGGCTTGGGGGCTGCTGGAGGGGCAGCGGCTCAGGCAACCCATCCGCAGGCCCTACAAGCCACGTGGCTGCGGTGCTGGCCTCCCTCCTGGTCCTGCTGGCCCTGCTGCTGGCCGCCCTGCTCTATGTCAAGTGCCGTCTCAACGTGCTGCTCTGGTACCAGGACGCGTATGGGGAGGTGGAGATAAACGGTGCGTGGGGCCCGCGTGGGCGCGAGGAGGGGTCGCCACGGCCTCCCTGAGAGTGCGCTGCTGAGCTCGGCTTTGGAGGCGTGCGGCGGGGAGGGGTTAGCCCCCGGGTGCTCTGTGCGGCCCGGCTGGGGTTAAAGTCCGGGGCGGGTCTGCCCCTGTGCACGTGGGAGATGGTTAGGGGTGTTGGGGACCCCGAGGGCTGGTGTGAGGCCTCGGGAGCCATCGGGGTGACTGGCCGCCGTCCGCAGACGGGAAGCTCTACGACGCCTACGTCTCCTACAGCGACTGCCCCGAGGACCGCAAGTTCGTGAACTTCATCCTAAAGCCGCAGCTGGAGCGGCGTCGGGGCTACAAGCTCTTCCTGGACGACCGCGACCTCCTGCCGCGCGCTGGTATCCCGGGCCCCACCCCGTGCCCCGCCCACCCGGAGGGCCCGCCCCGCCCCGCCCCATGCTCCGTCCCACCCGGGGCCCCACCCCCACCATCGAGCTCCGCCCCCATCCCCGCCCACCCGAGGCCCCGCCTCAAAAACCCGCCCACCCCGCAGGCCCCGCCCCTCCCTTAGAGCTCTGCGTCCGGCACCGCCCCTGAGCCTCCGGCCCCGCCCTCCCCCGCCCCCGCCCCTGCGCCGCCGACGCCCGCCCTCCCGCAGAGCCCTCCGCCGACCTCTTGGTGAACCTGAGCCGCTGCCGACGCCTCATCGTGGTGCTTTCGGACGCCTTCCTGAGCCGGGCCTGGTGCAGCCACAGCTTCCGGTGGGTCCCGCGCGGGGTTGGGTGGGCCCCAGCGTAGCACCCACCCCCCTGACGGTCCCGCCCCGCAGGGAGGGCCTGTGCCGGCTGCTGGAGCTCACCCGCAGACCCATCTTCATCACCTTCGAGGGCCAGAGGCGCGACCCCGCGCACCCGGCGCTCCGCCTGCTGCGCCAGCACCGCCACCTGGTGACCTTGCTGCTCTGGAGGCCCGGCTCCGTGGTGCGGAGCAGGCGCGGGAGGGTCCGGGGCTAGCGGCGGGTTAGAGATGGGCGGTGCCCGGGCTCCAGGCTGGGACCCCTCCGTGGGGAGCTCTGCGGCACCACGCTTTGTGAATGGGCCCTGGGGGGAGGTTCCGCTGCCTGGGGCCCCGATGCGGGGAGCCGCCCTTGAGGCCCCCGGAGCCACGGAATAGCTGTCGCAGGGCGTGGAACCCGTGGGCAGCCGCAGGTGTGCTCTTGGGGGCCAGGACGCCAGGGGCTTCCGAGGTGTTCACACCTGCAAACCGCCCCGACCTGGCCCCCAGACTCCTTCCTCCGATTTTTGGAAAGAAGTGCAGCTGGCGCTGCCGCGGAAGGTGCAGTACAGGCCTGTGGAAGGAGACCCCCAGACGCAGCTGCAGGACGACAAGGACCCCATGCTGATTCTTCGAGGCCGAGTCCCTGAGGGCCGGGCCCTGGACTCAGAGGTGGACCCGGACCCTGAGGGCGACCTGGGTATGCCCGCCCAGCCCCACTCCCCAACTGGAGAAGCTCAGCACAGGGCGGAGTGGGGGCAGGCACAGGGCACAGGGCCTGGAGGGGCTCCAGGTGTTGAGGACTCTTCCCGGCACCGGGAGCCCCTGCACGGCCTCTGCCCTGGAGGTGCTCGGCCCTCGGTCTGCCTGGGAACTTCCTGGGCCTCACAGGCCATCACAGCAGGGGGTGAGCAGGGGCAGCCCCTGGCAGTGGGTCTGGGCCAAGGCTGTGGGTGGCCACCTCAGGCGTCTCGGTCTCCCCACCCCAGGTGTCCGGGGGCCTGTCTTTGGAGAGCCATCAGCTCCACCGCACACCAGTGGGGTCTCGCTGGGAGAGAGCCGGAGCAGCGAAGTGGACGTCTCGGATCTCGGCTCGCGAAACTACAGTGCCCGCACAGACTTCTACTGCCTGGTGTCCAAGGATGATATGTAGCTCCCACCCCAGAGTGCAGGATCATAGGGACAGCGGGGGCCAGGGCAGCGGCGTCGCTCCTCTGCTCAACAGGACCACAACCCCTGCCAGCAGCCCTGGGACCCTGCCAGCAGCCCTGGGAAAAGGCTGTGGCCTCAGGGCGCCTCCCAGTGCCAGAAAATAAAGTCCTTTTGGATTCTGCTGGGGCCTCGGTCTCCTCCCTTGCGGCGGAAGGTTTCGGATTCGGCTTCCCTCTGCGGCTCTCTCAGCCTTCCACCCCTCCTCTCTCATCCCCACCCCTCCCTCTCTCATCCCCACCCGCCAAATCACCAAATCTGCCCTCTCTCCATCCCCCTTCCTAAGCCAGCTCAGGCGTGTCCCGTGCTTACAGTAGCCTCCTTGGGCCTCCTTGCCTGGTCCCTGGTTGGGGACGTGACTCTTCCTAGACCCTTCCCATGCAGGCAGATCCTGGATGGGGGCAGGCTCCTTAGAGACCTCAAGTTCTGAGCTTCACAGAAACTTTCTGTTTTAAGAATATCCACAGTAACTTCACAACTAAATGGCCTGGCTCTGGGTGAGATGGATGGGGGTGTCCGAGAGCCCACTGGACCCCAAACCTCAGGCAGCCAGTGTGAGAGCCCCTGGTCCAGGCAACTCCAGGCCCAGGGTGGGCGGCGGAGGAGTTGGGTTCATTTGCCGCATGAGTGTAGCCCACGAGGCAGCCACCCTGTTCCTACTCCAGTCACCCCTCTACTCTCGAGGCCCCCAGCTCTGCTCCGTCTGTGCCTGTGGTGCACCCGCTGTCCACCCTGTCCCCTCTCGGCCCTGAGGTGCCAGCTGTCCCTCTGCTGGGCTCTCCATGTCCTATGTCCTCTGATCTTGGGAGGCTTGTGTGTGAGCCCAGGGGGTGGGTGTCCTCAGGGGCAGGGGGTGCCTGGGGACACCTTGAGTCCCAGGATCATGCTGCCAGCCACAGGGTCGGGCCAGCCATGGAAGGACACAGGGCAGTGACTGTTCATGGCCATCTTTATTCCCAGTGCTGGCTATCCCAAGATACTGCCAGGCCACAGCCAACCCCCACCTCTGCCAATGTGACTGGGTCACCACCCCATACACCAGAGCAGCCTTGAGCCCTGCCCCACCCCCTGCCCTGCGGAAGCCAAGTCCCCAGCTATAAGACCCTGCCCCTCCTGGTGGCCCAGGACCCTCAAAGATGCACACAGGGGCCCCAGCGAGGGGCCCCTCCGTCATTAGCCTTCTCCTCCAGGCTGGGCTGCCAAGCAGCCTGGAGCTGAGTCTGTCCCTTGGACGCTGGGCCACGTCACCTTCTCCTCCAGAAGGCTTCACCTATGGGCCCAGGAAGTCCTCCTTCCGATAGCCCTTCTACAGTGGAGAGAGGCCCAAGGTCAGGGTGCATGTCTGCCCATGTGGCCCTCTGCCCGCTGTCCCTCCTGCAGTGTGCTGGGTGTGGCCCGGACCCTTCCTCTCTGGGTCCCTGGTCTCCATCCTCCCATGGGCCTCTTCACTGACCCTCCCCCGGCGTCCCATGCCCTGCACCCGGGTCCCTGCTTGCCCTGGGCTCGGGAAACGTACCGCCCGGAAGTCACGGTGGAGCTTGTTGTACTGCCACAGGTTGGCCAGGAGGCTGGATGCTGCCCGGGAGGACTTCTCACTGTCGGGGCTGAGGGTGGAGGGCAGTCAGGAGGGGACACACAGCCAGAAAGCAGGGTGGACTGGGAGGACCCCTGACCAGGCTGCTGCACGGCTGGGTCGGCCCCTACCTGTCCCGCTTCTTCTTGATGAAGATGAGCTTTCGGAGTCCGTCAAAATACAGCAGGTCTCGGGCAGCGATGGGGCTGGCCACCACCAGGTTGTTGAGCACAGCTATGATGTTGACCAGCACCTCGGCTGGGGGCGACTTCTCACCCACGCTGCCCGGCAGCTTCTCGATCAGGTGGCTCACCACCTTCGTGGCTGTGGGAGGCCGGGGGTCAGTCTGCACCCCTACTCCTGGCCACCTGGGCACCTGGGGTCCCCTGCCTCCCCCAGGGAGCTGGACTGGCCCCAGTGGTCTGAAGCCCACACTTAAAGACAAAATTGACATGTGGGTCCAGCAGGGCAGGGACGAGGGGCTGCCCGACTCACACATCTCGTCCTTGTTCCTAGCGTTCCGAGACAGGTTTCGGATGAGGCCAGTCAGTGAGCGCAGCTGGTGGTGGTCGGCGGTCCTGACACGGTCTAGCAGGGGGTTCAGAATACGCTCCTGCTCCAGGGCCAGGCGGCTCAGCACCCCCGCCCACTGTGGGGAGGGAGGGTGTGAGCCGTGACCCGGAGGCCTCAGACCCTCACCTGAGGGGGTCCTGCCACAATGGGGTCGCTGCATCCTCTCGCCACCCTCAGGGGGGCCTCTGCTTCTGCCTTTGCCCCCCAGCCGGGGGGAATCAGCCGCAGCCCGGATCAGGTGCCTCCCTTCAAACCCAGGGCAGGACTTCCATCCTCCCAAGGCCCAAGGCCTGCGCCACCGGGACGCTGACCTCCGAGGCTCCGCGGACCCTGGGCGTCCCCTTCCTCCTCCCCTCCCTCTCCCTCCTCTGTCCCCCCCTCAACCGCATGAACCCCTGGGACCCCCTCGGGTCTGGGTTGGGTGCCCCACCCTGCGGTCGCCTGCCGTGATGTTCTGCAGCGCCCCGGCGGCCGCCTCCGTCGTGTGCCGGTTGAGCTCGCAGCGCTGCAGCAGCCGGTTGTACAGCCCCACGATCTGGGGGCTCCACAGCCACTCGAGGCCCTTGGGGTCCTTGGACACCTCCGCGAAGGTGAGCGCATCGGCGGCGAGGGGCAGCTGCGCAGGGCGGGGAGGAGTCGGCGGGGTCGGGGTGAGCGGGTCGGGGTGAGCGGGTCGGGGTGAGCGGGTCGGGTGTGAGTGGGGCGGGGGTGAGCGGGGTCCGGGGTGAGCGGGGCGGGGGTGAGCGGGGCCGGGGGTCGGGGGTGAGCGGGGTCCGGGGTGAGCGGGGCGGGGGTGAGCGGGGTCCGGGGTGAGCGGGGTCGGGGTGAGCGGGTCCCGGGGTGAGCGGGGCGGGGGTGAGCGGGGCGGGGGTGAGCGGGGCCGGGGGTGAGCGGGGCCGGGGGTCGGGGGTGAGCGGGGTCGGGGTGAGCGGGGCCGGGGGTGAGCGGGGCCCGGGGTGAGCGGGGCAGGGGTGAGCGGGGCGGGGGTGAGCGGGGTCGGGGTGAGCGGGTCGGGGGTGAGCGGGGCCGGGGGTCGGGGGTGAGCGGGGTCGGGGTGAGCGGGTCGGGGGTGAGCGGGGCCGGGGGTCGGGGGTGAGCGGGGTCGGGGTGAGCGGGGCCGGGGGTGAGCGGGGCCGGGGGTCGGGGGTGAGCGGGGTCGGGGTGAGCGGGGCCGGGGTCAGTGGAGCCGGGGGTGAGCGGGGCCGGGGGTCGGGGGTGAGCGGGGTCCGGGGTGAGCGGGGCCGGGGTCAGTGGAGCCGGGGGTGAGCGGGGCCGGGGGTCGGGGGTGAGCGGGGTCCGGGGTGAGCGGGGCCGGGGTCAGTGGAGCCGGGGGTGAGCGGGGCCGGGGGTCGGGGGTGAGCGGGGCCGGGGGTCGGGGGTGAGCGGGGTCCGGGGTGAGCGGGGCCGGGGTCAGTGGAGCCGGGGGTGAGCGGGGCCGGGGGTCGGGGGTGAGCGGGGTCCGGGGTGAGCGGGGCCGGGGTCAGTGGAGCCGGGGGTGAGCGGGGCCGGGGGTCTGGGGTGAGCGGGGTCGGGGTGAGCGGGGCCGGGGTCAGTGGAGCCGGGGGTGAGCGGGGCCGGGGGTCGGGGGTGAGCGGGGTCCGGGGTGAGCGGGGCCGGGGTCAGTGGAGCCGGGGGTGAGCGGGGCCGGGGGTCGGGGGTGAGCGGGGTCCGGGGTGAGCGGGGCCGGGGTCAGTGGAGCCGGGGGTGAGCGGGGCCGGGGGTCGGGGGTGAGCGGGGCCGGGGGTCGGGGGTGAGCGGGGTCCGGGGTGAGCGGGGCCGGGGTCAGTGGAGCCGGGGGTGAGCGGGGCCGGGGGTCGGGGGTGAGCGGGGTCCGGGGTGAGCGGGGCCGGGGTCAGTGGAGCCGGGGGTGAGCGGGGCCGGGGGTCGGGGGTGAGCGGGGCCGGGGGTCGGGGGTGAGCGGGGCGGGGGTGAGCGGGGCGGGGGTGAGCGGGGTCGGGGGTGAGCGGGGTCGGGGGTGAGCGGGGCCGGGGGTGAGCGGGGCCGGGGGTGAGCGGGGCGGGGGTGAGCGGGGCGGGTGTGAGCGGGGCCGGGTGTGAGCGGGGCCGGGTGTGAGCGGGGCCGGGTGTGAGCGGGGCGGGTGTGAGCGGGGCCGGGTGTGAGCGGGGCCGGGGGTGAGCGGGCCGGGGGTGAGCGGGGCGGGTGTGAGCGGGGCGGGTGTGAACGGGGCCGGGGGTGAGCGGGGCCGGGGGTGAGCGGGGCGGGTGTGAGCGGGGCGGGTGTGAGCGGGGCGGGTGTGAGCGGGCCGGGTGTGAGCGGGGCCGGGTGTGAGCGGGGCGGGTGTGAGCGGGGCCGGGGGTGAGCGGGGCGGGTGTGAGCGGGGCCGGGTGTGAGCGGGGCCGGGTGTGAGCGGGCCGGGGGTGAGCGGGGCGGGTGTGAGCGGGCCGGGGGTGAGCGGGGCGGGTGTGAGCGGGGCGGGTGTGAACGGGGCCGGGTGTGAGCGGGGCCGGGGGTGAGCGGGGCGGGTGTGAGCGGGCCGGGTGTGAGCGGGGCCGGGTGTGAGCGGGGCCGGGTGTGAGCGGGGCAGGTGTGAGCGGGGCCGGGGGTGAGCGGGGCGGGTGTGAGCGGGGCCGGGTGTGAGCGGGGCCGGGTGTGAGCGGGCCGGGGGTGAGCGGGGCGGGGGTGAGCGGGGCCGGGTGTGAGCGGGGCGGGTGTGAGCGGGGTCCGGGGTGAGCGGGGTCCGGGGTGAGCGGGGCGGGGGTGAGCGGGGCGGGTGTGAGCGGGGCCGGGGGTGAGCGGGGCGGGGGTGAGCGGGGTCCGGGGTGAGCGGGGCGGGGGTGAGCGGGGCGGGGGTGAGCGGGGCGGGTGTGAGCGGGGTCGGGGGTGAGCGGGGCGGGGGTGAGCGGGGTCCGGGGTGAGCGGGGCGGGGTGAGCGGGGCGGGGGTGAGCGGGGCGGGGGTGAGCGGGGCCGGGGTCAGCGGGGCCGGGGTCGCAGCACCCACCCCACGCCCCGCTCAGGCTGGTGCCCACCTCGCGCAGCCGCCGGCTCTGCGGCGTGAAGCAGCCCACGACCTCTCCCGGCGGCGCCCCCGCCAGGTCCCTGCGGCCGCGACCCTCCAGCCGCTGCAGCGCGGACGGCGGCATCTCGTCGTAGAGGCGGTAGGACAGGTTCCGCAGGACGCACACCGCGTTCTCCACGCTCTGCGGGCGGGGGCGCGGGGCAGGGGCGCGGGTCAGAGCGGCGGCCCGGGGGCACGGCCCCTCCTCCACACCGCGCCCCTCACCTTGTCCTCGCATTTGCCCGCGTCCAGGGCGTGGTTGATAGAGGTGACCAGGGCGTCCACCAGCCCGTGGCACTCCCGCATCTTCTGGCGAGTGGCCTGAGAGGCTGAGCTGAGGTTCCTGGGGACCGAGGTGGATCAGAGCCCCCCAGGGACCCCGCATCCCGGGCCTTGCCCCAACCCATCGTGGGCCCTCGCACGCCCATCCCCAGCGCGAGGCGTGCGGTGTGTGGGCTGCGAACGCCAGGCCAGGCGGAGTCCCCACAGTGACCCGCGCCTGCAATCCCCACCCCGCTGCCCGAGGCTGGCGCACCTGAGGAAGCCGGTGGCGTTGTAGAAGATCTCTGCCTCCGAGGCGTTCTGCTGGATGAGGGGGGGACCCCCAGCCCCCGACAGGGGGCTCAACACCAGGTCTGTGAGCTGCTCCAGCGTGTCTCTGGCCAGGCGGTCCTTCAGGTGGTCGCTGGATGAAAGGTTCCACAGGATCCCTGGAGGACGGGGGAGGCTGCTATCAGCGTCTGCCCTCCAACCCCCTCCGCGTTTCTGGGGATGGTGTGAAGAGGTCCCGCCTCTCCCCAGGGGCTGGCCTGGTGTTCTGTGCCTCACCCACGAGCCCCACTGGGGAGACCCTGGGGTGGCATTTGAGGTGATAGAGCTGGGACCAAGCAAGAGGGGACAAGATGTGGGGGTGGGGTGGTGAGCAGGCCTGGCAGTGCAGGCGGCTCCAAGGAGACAAAACCACAGGACAGGGTGGCCGGGGGTCCAGGAAAGAGGCGGGCAGTGGAGGCCCAAGTAGAAACACGGCCGGCAAAAGGTACAAAGGGACGGAGGGGAACCGAATGAGGTGGAGGGGTCAGAACGGAGGAGAGAGGACAGGCAGAGGAGGGACAGGAGGAGGGGGACAGGCAGAAAAGGGGGACAGGTGGAGGGGGGGACAGGTGGGGGATAGGCAGAGGGGGCAGGTGGAGGAGGGGGGCCAGGTGGGGGGGACACAGAGGGAGGACAGGAGGAGTAGGGGACAGGCAGAGGGGGCAGGTGGAGGAGGGGGCAGGTGGAGGAGTGGGGCAGATGGCGGGCAGGTGGGGGGGTAAGGCAGAGGGGGGGAGGAGGAGTAGGGGGGCAGGTGGCAGAGGGGGCAGGTGGAGAAGGGGGGCAGATGGTGGGCAGGTGGAGGGGGGCAGGTGGGGAGGAAGGCAGGGGGGATAGGCAGAGGGGCGCAGGTGGAGGAAGGACAG
Source organism: Homo sapiens (assembly GCF_000001405.40). Classification (NCBI taxonomy): domain Eukaryota; kingdom Metazoa; phylum Chordata; class Mammalia; order Primates; family Hominidae; genus Homo; species Homo sapiens. The sequence continues at coordinate 399,219 of NC_000011.10, read as the reverse complement.
GTGGAGGAGGGGACAGGCAGCACCTGTGACATTTTTGCGAAGCTCATCATCCTGCTCCCGCAGTGTCCGCAGCAGCTCGAAGATCCCGTTCTCCTCCACCAGGGCCAGCTTGTTGTCAGCGTTGTCGTAGATGAGGTTGCGCATGGCACCTGTGGCATGGCGCTGCACTTCCTGGTTGGCGTGGTTGAAGAGCTTCACCAGCCTAGGCACGGCCTGAAGGCTGCGGGCCTGCGGGCACAGGCATATGGGGGTGCACAGACGCATGTGGATGGATGCAGACTATGCACCTGTGTGCAGCTGTGTCCAGGTGCGTAGATGTAGATATGCAGGGGATGCAGCCGTATAGGGAGGTGACGGAGGTGTGTGCGGCGGTAGGGAGGTGACGGAGGTGTGTGCGGGGGTACGGAGGTGACGCAGGTGTGTGCGGGGGTACGGAGGTGACGGAGGTGTGTGCGGGGGTACGGAGGTGACGCAGGTGTGTGCGGGGGTAGGGAGGTGACGCAGGTGTGTGCGGGGGTACGGAGGTGACGCAGGTGTGTGCGGGGGTAGGGAGGTGACGCAGGTGTGTGCGGGGGTAGGGAGGTGACGCAGGTGTGTGCGGGGGTAGGGAGGTGACGCAGGTGTGTGCGGGGGTAGGGAGGTGACGCAGGTGTGTGCGGGGGTACGGAGGTGACGCAGGTGTGTGCGGGGGTACGGAGGTGATGCAGGTGTGTGCGGGGGTAGGGAGGTGACAGAGGTGTGTGCGGGGGTACGGAGGTGACGCAGGTGTGTGCGGGGGTAGGGAGGTGACGCAGGTGTGTGCGGGGGTACGGAGGTGACGCAGGTGTGTGCGGGGGTAGGGAGGTGACGCAGGTGTGTGCGGGGGTACGGAGGTGACGGAGGTGTGTGCAGGGGTACGGAGGTGACGCAGGTGTGTGCGGGGGTAGGGAGGTGACGCAGGTGTGTGCGGGTGTACGGAGGTGATGAGGTATATGTGGGGGTAGGGAGGTGACGCAGGTGTGTGCGGGGGTACGGAGGTGATGAGGTATATGTGGGGGTAGGGAGGTGACGCAGGTATGTGCGGGTGTACGGAGGTGATGAGGTATATGTGGGGGTAGGGAGGTGACACAGGTGTGTGCGGGGGTACGGAGGTGACGGAGGTGTGTGCGGGGGTACGGAGGTGACGCAGGTGTGTGCGGGGGTACGGAGGTGACGCAGGTGTGTGTGGGGGTATGGAGGTGATGCAGGTGTGTGCGGGGGTACGGAGGTGACGGAGGTGTGTGCGGGGGTATGGAGGTGATGAGGTATATGTGGGGGTACGGAGGTGACGCAGGTGTGTGCGGGTGTACGGAGGTGATGAGGTATATGTGGGGGTACGGAGGTGATGCAGGTGATACTGGTGTATCCAAATTGTATCCTTCTGCTCTTCCTCTGCTGAGGGGGCTCCAGACAGAGTGGGGTCTACCCAGTCAGCTTGGGGATCATGAGGGGTGCTCAGTGAGCAGAGGACAGTGGGAGGTGGTGGGGCCCACGAAGGAGGTCACCAGGGGGCAGCGAGTGGGTGGTCGGGGTGGTCACCTGCTTCTTGGCGGCTGCATCGCTGTAGCACTTGTGCTGGATGTAGGCCGCTCCCAGCACCTGCAGGTTGGGGTCTGAAGCCATGAGGTACTTGACTGCTGAGGGCAGGTCAATGTCATCAAAACTGCGGAGCCAGGGGTCAGGGGTCAGGCTAACTTTGGGTTCAGGCTGGGCCCGTGGTAGAAGCCCCCTCCCTGAGCCGGGCCCAGCCGCTCACCCGCTGCTGAGTCTCTGCAGGGTTCGGTGGCTACCGTAGCTGTTGAACCCATGCACGTCCGGCAGGTGGCCCGAGTCAGCCAGGCTGAGGCTGAGGCTGCGCACAGATGGCGCTCGAGCCACTGGCTCCAGGACGGCCCCCGGCACTGCCCCGCCTACCCCGCGGCTCCGGTGGCTGCTCTGGAATCGCTGCAGGGTCCGCACGGCAGGGGCACGGATGGTCCGGCTCGGGGAAACCTCAGTGGCCTCGGGCCAGTCCAGCCCCCCTGCCCGGCTGGAGCTGGAGCTGGCCTGGCGCTCGTACGCAAAGGCCCTGTAGGTGGAGGTGGCCGCGGGCTCCAGCTGCTCAGACACCAGGCTGTAGCGGTCGTCCAGGCCCCCGGGCCCCAGCCGCAGCGAGCGCAGGGAGAGTGTGTCATAGTCGGCCCGGCTCCCAACCCCACCGCGCTCATGGAAGGACACGGGCCTGGTGGGCATGGGAGGGGTGGGCTGGGCACCCCCGTACCCAGCGGCCCCAAAGGCGCTGCCCCCGTTGTGGGCTGAACTCAGCCTCCGACTGCAGCTCAGATCCACGGCGGAGCGGGAGGACCAGGAGGCTGGGCTGTAGGCCGGCTTGGCGATGGGCCGGAAGCCCTGTGGGTCGAGAGGGGGCGGTGAGGGCGTGCCTGGGCTCACCTGTGTCCGGGCCCGCTGCAGAGCCTCCCACTCTCCAGACTGCAGAGCTCAGATCGTCCCCCTCGGGCTGGGCCCATCGCTCACCGAGGTCTTGTCCCCACTCAGGCCCTGAGAGCGAGAGCTGAAGCCAGCCTGCAGGGTGTGGTACTGCCCCCTGGATGTGCCTGTGGAGAGGGACGGTGGTAGCCCAGCTCTGCCACACAGCAAAGCACTGGCCTCCTGCCTCCTCTCCACCACTCCATCGCTATTGGCAACCCTAGGAGCAGCCTCCAATCCAGGGCAGGGAGGCCAGGGGGGCACCAGGGCCAGTGCCTCCCCATTCCTGCCATGGCTTGGTCTCCTCACATGTCAGCCCTGGTGGTCCATCTTCCACAGCCCACCCCCCAGCTGTGCCTCCTCTACCCGAGAGGGCAGATACGCTCACCCACTGACCTCCTGGTCGCCAGGAGGAATGTGCCAGGGCCTCTGACATCAGTTCTCCAATCCTTGCCATGGTACAGTGCCCAGCCTCCTCCAGGAAGCCAGCCTGGCCTGCCCCGGCCCACACTGACTCCTTTTGAGCCCCTCCTGTGCCCAAACCTCATCTGTGCCCGGTCACAGGAGAGTGACACTGTCTCCCTGGACCAGTATGCCCTGTTGCAGTGCCCTGTCCCACCCGGCAGAGCCTGAGGCAGGGGCCACACCCACCCCGTCCAGCCACACACACGCCAAGGGCAGCTGCGTCAGCCCGACTCCACAGTGAGTGGACAGACAGGTGGGTGGGCAGAGGGTGGAGGGCGGAGGGTGGATGGAGGGACAGGCAGGAGGAGGATGGGAGGGCTGCTGTGACTGCTGGAAGGATGGACAGAGTGGTGGATGGAGGGGTGGGACAGCCGTCGACGACAGGGTCCCATGGTTGGATGGTGAGTGGGCAGAGGGATGGACTCGTGGATGGGTGCAGAGAGGATGGGCTGATGGTGGGGGCATGAGAAGGCCCACCAGAGCGACCTGGCTGAGGGGCTCAGGGTGGGGTGCAGGGAAAGGGGCCGTGGCCCTCCCACAACTCTGCCCAGAGCTGGATGCTCTGTGGGGGACACCCCCATGGCAGAGGCCCCAGGTTCACCCTGGTTAATGGGGCTTCTGGGCCGGGGCTATTAACCCTCTGACGCTCGTGAGGCCCAGCCCGGAGTGGGGGCACGCCCCAGCCTGGGGACCTCACCCCCACCCCCCAATTATAATCCACCTCCCTCTAATTGGCAGGGCAGCCAGGGTGGTAATTAACCCTTCCCTCACCGTCCTCCACCCCATGACCCCTGGGCACCCGACTTGGTCACCAGCAAGGCTGAGGCCCCTGGAGGGAGGACCCCACAGTCCAGGCCGCCGGGCCGGCCCCTCCGCTGGGCGACCTTCACTTCCCCCTGGCCAGTGGCTGGAGGCCAGTCCTGGGGAAGGCCCCTCTAAACACCAAGTGGACCATGATGAACTGGCATCTGGGTCCCTGGCATTCTGGGAGGTCCATCTTACTGTCTAACCTTAATCCCTGTTGCTGTAGCCTGGGAAGGAGGAAATGGCGTTCCTAGAACCACTGCCTTCAACTCACAGCGTCTGTGCTCCTGTCACTCACACTCACACGCATGCACACACACTCGCGTGAGTGGGGCCAGGATTCCGCCACAGGTGGGTCTGGCTGGCACCGAGGGGTGCTCCTCCACCTGCTGTTCCCACAGAGAAATCTAGGTCACTCCAGCCGGGCCCTCCCCTCTAATTCCTCAGGGAGCCCCTGGTCCAGACAGGCCTGGCTTTCCTCCAGGACTTCCAGCACCCCCACACCTCTCCCCGCTTTCCCGTTCTGCTCATTCCCGTGAGGTATGGGAGGAGCGTGGGTGTCTGGGTGTCCCTGAGACCCTATGTGAGTCTGTGCTACCGGGGCCAGGCGCGTGCGTGTTCCGGGTTTGCCGACCGAGTGGCCTGGCCCGCCTGCCATGTGCCAACCTTCCCTGTCATCCCCCACAGGGATGGCTCCAGGACTCCAGGCACAGGTGGGGCCTGGCCAGGCTCAGTCTTTGGAGGACCCCGGGGTCCCTGCTTGGACAGGGCAGCCCCACCCATGGCTTCTCCCCACGCCCCTGGGGCGGGGTGTGTGACTCAGTGTGAGGCCTGGTGAGTCAGGAGCCGGCCTCACTGCGGCCTCTGCCCTCACACTATCACGTCCGCCCGCAGCCACCTCTCCCCGCCACCGCCATCCCCGCCGCTGTCCCCACCGCCTACCTCTGGCAGTCTCGGCCTCAGGCTCGGGCTCAGCGGCCCCGTTGTGCCGCGGCTGCTGTCCCAGCTGCAAGAGGCGGGCGCGGACCTGCTCCTGGACGCGGGCTGCCCGCAGCCGCTCGGCCTCCGGCCCCTCGGCGCCCCGGCGGTCCAGCTGCAGGTCAGAGGGCAGCGCCAGGGAGCACACGCCGGCCTCAGGCTGCAGGGCCGACAGCAGGAAGTTACCGTCCTGCATGGCGGCAGGTCCACCGGGCCTGGGCCTGGCGGCCGCCTCCAAACCCAACTATCTTCACGTCCTGTCCCTCGAGGCCCTCTCCCTGAAGTCCCCGCCCAGCCAGCCTCACCCAGAGCCGCCTGAAGACAGACGCCTGCCCAGCCCTGAGCGCAGCTGGGGGCGGGGACACCTGGCCAGGTGGGAGGGAGGGGCCGCCGCCTGCTTAAGGTGGAATTTGGGCGGAAGAACAGGCCCTGCATGGCCCCAGGTCCCAGCCTGGCCTCCCGCCTCCTTTTCTCCCATCCCACAACAGGGCCACGGGGACCTGGGTCCTTCTTGTTCTCAGCCTGTAAAGGCCAGACCGGGCCCTTTGTCGTGGGGCTGGGACAGAGGGGCCCTCTGTGTCCTGAGTGTCAGGGAAGGGCAGGGGGCCTGCGGGGGGCCTATGTCCTGCCACCCCCAGCATGAAGGGGAGGGTGCCCCAGTCCCTGGGGGTCTAGGGCCCTAGGTAGCTCCAAGAATCAGCCAGCCTCCATGGTAGCCCAGCCTTCCTGGTGAGGTGGGGATGAGGCCTAGGAAGGGTTGGCAGGAGACACTGTCGGGAGTCAGGGGTCAGTGCCAGGGATCAGGACAAAGGCTGGAGGGACAGAGCTTTAGGGTCCAACGGGACTCCATGGAGGCCCTGGCCCTGGTCCTTGGAATCCAGCGAGCCCCCTCCGCACCAGGAAGCATGTGGATGGACCGGCCCTCCCCCGAAGCCTGCAGACCCTGGAACTCACCCCCAGGACCCCCTCACCCCCTACAGAGGCCTCCAAAACCCTCTCTGGCTTCTGGGACCCTGGCACCACTGCTCCTGCACCCCAGGCCCTGGGGTGGGAGGCCGTTCCCAGCACATGAGTCAGGGTGCAGGGGGGCGGGGCCGCCCCAGGGGGTTGACTCAGAGGGCCTGCACTCCTGTCAGCGCATGTCAGGCTGGGGCAGGAGCGGGTGTGCAGGGAAGAACCAGGGGTCTGGAAGAGCAGAGGCCTGGATGGAGAGGGAGCGAGGGTGGGGGGCCCCTGGTGGGGGTGGGGTAGTGGGGGGCCCCTGGTGGGGGGGCCCTGGACCAAGCAGGGCTTGTGCCCAGAAGGTCTCCTTCTAGCACCACAGCCAGCAAATGGGCTCTGAGGCCCTCTAGCCTCTGGGACAAGCCCCTGGTAGATGGGGGTGGGGATAAGCCTAGGAGGGCTGGGGGTGGGAGCTGAACATCTATGACAACCTCTGGGCTTCTCTCACGAGCTCATCGGACAGCCTCTGCTTCTCCCTGGACCCTGGACCCTGGCTCTGGGCTCTCCTCCAGGGCAGACCCTTGCCCCCTAGCTCCGTCCCTGGAAGATTTTTGCCTTAATGGGGCTGGGGCAGGGGTCTGGCGTGAGGGCCGGGTCAGGGTTAGGAGGCAGCATTAAGGGTGAGGTCAGTTCTGAGGGGAGGAAGCTGGAGAGTAGGAGTCGGAGGTCAGCGTGGGGGGTTAAAGGGGGAGGGGAAGGTCCACTGAAAGGATGGGTGAGGCCCGGGCTGGGGCCACCAGGTGGGGTCGGGGTGGTGGGGAAGGGGTGGGAGACCTACCCGGCTCGTGGTCCGGATCCCGCCAGCCTCCCAGCTCATCCCAGAGGCCACTGCTGACGGCCGAGGTGTCCAGGACTCCATCCCTGGCCCGGCGCGTGCGGGGCAGCCTCTGCGGCGGGGACAGGACTGTGGGGGCCTCGGAGGGCGGGGTGGGAACGCCCAGCTCATCGGACTGGCTGATTCCCTGGGAGACAGGTTTCGTGTGGAAAAATCCTGGGAGACAAGTTTGTGCGGCGCAGAGCGGGCCTGGAGGTATGTGCCTGGCATGGGCTGGGTCCCGCCCTGCACCCAGGTCCACCCCAGGCCCACCTGGGGCCCTGCAGGGGCCAGGCTGGGCGGCATGAGGGGGAAGCCAGCCTGGAGGGCCTCTGCAGCCCAGTCAGGCCGAAGGGCTCACAAGAGGACTCAGTGAAGGGGCTTCCGTGCGGCTGGAGCTATGATGGGAACGCCGGTACCCCGCGGCCTGCAGGGCCCCCAGGGCCGACTCTGCCCACCTTCCCTCCTCCCCTTGGCAGAGAGGGCTGTGGGTGCCCCCCCCCAGAGCTGCGGCGCCTCCCTGAGGATGCGTGGTGCCCGCCAGGCACAGTTTTGGCAAAGCCAGGAATCTGGGGTGCACCTTCCCTCACTGCGGCCGGGCCAGACGGATGGCGATGCCTGCTAGGCCACCGCTGCAGCTTCCAGCTCCAGGCTCGGCGGAGTCTCATCTGATCCCTGTGACCAGCCCTGAGGGTCGCACTCTCCCTGGAGCCAGCTCCTGACACAGGAGCCCTGGAGGGGGGCTTGACGGTAGGCTTCCTGGAGGAAGCGGTTGTCTGTGGGGCCCGGAATCTGCACGGAGCCTCGGGCCGCTTGGGTGCACAATCAGGTTGAGAGCCTGGAACCTGAGGGCCTCGAAGGGTGAGTGAGCGCTGCTCTTAGATGGGTCCTGGGTGGGGTGTGGCCTGTCAGTCACCTCCCAAGAGGCGGTGGGAGAGGGCGCAGGAGGGCTTCGGGGCATGGTGGGCTCAGCGTGGGGGGCACGGGAGGCGCTCACAGAGAAGGTCGGCTGGGCCCAGGTCGTGGGCAGAGCTGCCAGGTGCGTGCCCGGAGTTGTGGGAGGGCACAGAAGACAAACCTCCAGGGCAGAGCCTGCGTGGGTGGAGGGGGTTGGGGTGGTCGTCTTAAGGAGCAGAAGGGGGAGGATCTGGGGAGAAAGGTGTGAGGACGTTGGAAGCAAAATATAGTCAAAGCCGAATTCAGGAGTGAGCCGGTGCACAGAGAGGCTTGGGAGGCTGCCTCAGGTCCCACCGCCTGCAGGGGCGGGGTTCGGAGTGCATTAGGGGAGCCCCTTGGTGGTTGATGGACCCGGCGTGGGGGCACAGCTCACCCAGAGGCAAGCGTCCTGGCGCTTCCTGTTGGCGCCCACGCTTGCAAACCTTCTGACTTGGGCTCCAGCCAAGTCCAGCCCCTCCACGGAGCCTGCCCGGCTGCCCATGGGCACCACCCCTCACCTTGTGGAGTGTGGCCCCTGCCCCGCGCCTGTGGCTGGGGCAGCTCTGAGGTCTCTGGCCTTGGTCCTTGGCATGGAAAGTAGCTGAGGGGTATGGCCCCTGTAGGCTCTTGGGGGGGACACCTTTCATCTGCACACACCCCGTCCACTGCCGGCCTGTTGGTCAGTCTGTCCATCTGTCCGTCCACTACTTGTTCGTTCATCAGACGAGTCCCGGGCTCTTGCTATGCCCCCGGCGCTCCTCTGGGGAAGGGGGCGTCTGTCTGAGGCAGGCGGGGCATCTCCCGGGGGTTCTCCTGGGGTCTGGCCTCAGGACCCCGGCGCTCCTCTGGGGAAGGGGGCGTCTGTCTGAGGCAGGCGGGGCATCTCCCGGGGGTTCTCCTGGGGTCTGGCCTCAGGACCCCGGCGCTCCTCTGGGGAAGGGGGCGTCTGTCTGAGGCAGGCGGGGCATCTCCCGGGGGTTCTCCTGGGGTCTGGCCTCAGGACCCCGGCGCTCCTCTGGGGAAGGGGGCGTCTGTCTGAGGCAGGCGGGGCATCTCCCGGGGGTTCTCCTGGGGTCTGGCCTCAGGACCCCGGCGCTCCTCTGGGGAAGGGGGCGTCTGTCTGAGGCAGGCGGGGCATCTCCCGGGGGTTCTCCTGGGGTCTGGCCTCAGGACCCCGGCGCTCCTCTGGGGAAGGGGGCGTCTGTCTGAGGCAGGCGGGGCATCTCCCGGGGGTTCTCCTGGGGTCTGGCCTCAGGACGGTGTGTGGACCCATTCAGTTAGCCCCAAGTGTTCCTCACCAAATTGCAGCTGCTAACAGGTGGCGGCCGCTCCTGTTGCTTTCCTGTTATAAACAGGTGGCGCTGTGGGGCCAGGTCCTCCTCAAACAAGGCGGAGGAGGGAAGTCCTGGGAATCGGGGGCCTGGCCTAAGAAGGTGCCTTCTGAAAGGAAAAAAGCTAACCCCTCCATGGAGAGGTCCCTGTATTCACAAGACTGTGTTGATTCCTGACATGGTGGAGGAAGGAGGCCTGAGATGCCACTCACAGTTGTGCCAAGAGATGGGGAGGGGGGCCCAGATTGGAGAGGAGAACTCTGGAGTCCAGGACGAGGTCCATCCTCCTTCCCTTGACCCCTACAATCCCTGGGGTTCCTGGATGGCAATGGTGGTCTGGACGACTGTAGCTGGGGAGAGGAGGCTGGGGACCCATCAGTCCTGCTGTACCATTTGGGAGACTGGCCCGAGGTCCGGCAACCCACGTCTCCAGGGATGGTCTGTCCTCCAGCGGTCCCCTGTGGGCGGAGGATGACCCAGGTGCCCAGGCAAGAGACTGAAGGCACAAACTGTTTCAGTATAATAAAGAAAATAGAATAAGAATAGTCATAATACAAATTAGATATAGAGATGCTCATGGACAATTATCAATCATTATTATAAACATTATTAGTCATTAGCTTTTAATATTACTCTTTGTTCCATTACTATATAACCTAGGAATAAGCGGTGGGTATAGGGTCAGGTGCTGAAGGGACGTTGTGAGAAGTGACCTAGAAGGCAAGAGGTGAGCCCTCTGTCACGCCAACATAAGGGCCGCTTGAGGGCTCCTTGGTCAAGCGGTAACGCGAGTGCCTGGGAAGGCACCCGTTCCTTAGCCGACCGCGAAAGGGAGTCTCCTTTCCTTGGAGAGGTCGGGGAACACTCTGCTCCACCAGCTTCTTGTGGGAGGCTGGATATTCTCCAGGCCTGGCCCGCAGTCATCCGGAGGCCTAACCCCCTCCCTGTGGTGCTTGAATGATCACACTCCTTGTCCACTTTCATGCTCCTCCCGTACTCCTGGTTCCTCTTTGAAGTTCGTAGTAGATAGCGGTAGAAGAAATAGTGAAAGTCTTAAAGTCTTTGATCGTTCTTATAACTGCATAGAAGACAACACTGATGTATGCTGCCTTTCCTCTCTACTTCGGCTACCTAAGAGGGAAGGGTCACCGTAAGGTGACTTGCTTCACCTTATCACTTAGAAGATTCACCCTCCTTATCCTGCCCCCTTGTCTTGTATGCAATAAATATCAGCGCGCCCAGCCGTTCAGGGCACTACTGGTCTCCGCGTCTTGATGGTAGTGGTCCCCCAGGCCCAGCTGCTTTCTCTTTATCTCTTTGTCTTGTGCCTTTATTTATTACAATCTCTGGTCTCCGCACATGGGGAGAACACCCACTAAGCCCCGTAGGGCTGGACCCTACAGTCCCCAAGGCAAACTGGACAGGGTCAAGGTGGCCTCCCTGCACTGTCTGGAAAGCCCCTCCTGAAGGACCCTCCTCCCTGCACTGTCTGGAAAGCCCCTCCTGAAGGACCCTCCTCCCAGGACTGTCTGGAAAGCCTCCTGAAGGACCCTCCTCCCTGCACTGTGTGGAAACCCTCCTGAAGGACCCTCCTCCCTGCACTGTGTGGAAACCCTCCTGAAGGACCCTCCTCCCTGCACTGTGTGGAAACCCTCATGAAGGACCCTCCTCCCTGCACTGTCTGGAAACCCTCCTGTGGGGCCCTAGCCCAACACATTTGCAGCAGTCACAGGTGTATCTAGGGATCCTGGGGTCCATGAGCCCACAGGGCAGCTGTTAAGAGCCTTTGCCTTCTTCCTATATCTCCTCTCTCTTTTCTGGACTTCCTCCCGGTTCCCACTGGAAAAAACTGAGGTGGCCCCTCCCAGGATGCCCCCAAAGTACCATCTGGTCCCACAGCCCATTCCCGCATCCTCCTTCTGACATCAGGGGCCGCCTGTGCAATGAACTCATCTCCTCATCCCCTAGGACCAGCCGTTCATTGACTGAGTCAGGAGACAGAGAGGCACACTTCACCAAGGCCCCTGCCATCCCCCAGGAAGGCAGTGGGGCCAATCCCTGCTCTACCATGGACAGCCTGGTGCAATCAAGAGGCCCAGCCCCTTTCTCTCATAAGCCCTCCAGCCAAGTGCAATGAGAAGCCCAGTCCCATTCCCTCACAAGCCCTCCAGTATCACATCTGAAAGTGTTTCATCCTCCATTCTCCCATTTTATCACTGGGGTCCCATTTAGGGTCCTCCAATGGTACTGCTATTCATCCAATTGGATAAAGCTTCTCTTCTTCCCTGGCCCTATATAAGATATACAGCTCATCCCCCAAATTCTCTGCCGCTTGCGGGGTGGCCTGCTTTTCAGCAGTCAGGGTTTGATTCAGAAGTAACATGATATCCTTCCAGGAGAGCTCAAATACTTGGGTTAAGTTCTGGAAAGCCTCCATGTATCTGTCAGGGCCATCTGAAAACTTGCCAAGATCCCCCTTAATTTGACTCAGAATGGCCTAAAATGAGGATTTCTAGGCTGGGGAAAGCTTGAGAGAGAACCTGAGTAGGGAGGAGTGAAGGGTTTGATTCCTCCACTGGAGGTGCCTCTGGGGTTTGCTTCTCTATTTCCCTGGGATTGCCTCTTGCAGCCTCTCCTGAGATGGCCACCAGGAGGGCTGGATCAATCCTACAGTAGAGGCAAAGGTCCAAGTTACCCTGCAAGGCAAAGAAAGCCTGCACACACGAGGCCTGGGATCACTGGCCCTCACATTTACAGAAAAGCTTCCTCCCAAGACCATGCTTCCCTTCTGTGTCTTACACTTACAGAAAAGCTTCCTTCCTGAGACCATGCTTCTCTTCTGGGTCTCACGTTTACAGAAAAGCTTCCTTCCTGAGACCATGCTTCTTTTCTGGGTCTCAAGGTGCTTGGCACCAAGTTGGCGGCCAAGGAAATAACAAGAACATTTTTGCCACAAATTTACATACAGATACCAAGGCACACTTTACTTCGTCTGTGCTATTCTTAACCTTCCATTTTATAGTTTTGATGACTCAGTCAAATGCTCATTCTACCCAGTAATATTTCTGGTTTGCAACAACATCCTTAACATTTAACATTGTACATAAAGAAGAGATAGGAACCATGACAGCCACAAAAGAAAGACAGAAAAGAATGATAGGAAAGAGTGGAGGTCTTTGTGCCAACACCCTCATGGGAGGCTGGGGACTGGAGTCAGTCCAGGGGCCTTTGGATAACTCCAAGGGGTAACCTCAGCCAAATACCCCCAGTTGCTCTAGGACCTCCTTCTGGTCCCACGTGACAGCTAGACCTCCATGAAGGAAAACTGGGTTGGAACAAAGCCAACATTCCCAATACCTGAGGGTGATGGGGGCTTGACAGTGTCCTCCCCAGCAAGCCTGGCCTCCATGTGTTGAGTCTGGTGCTTGGAGACTAGTCGTCACTTTTAACTAATTGACAGAGGCCTGGTATTTTTCTTTCATTTTAGCTGTTGAGTTTAAGGACCACGAAGAAAGGACAGAAAGAGAAGATCCACTTTTACTTACCCTTGTGCAGATCCCAGACGAGCCCCCAAACATGTTGTGGGATATTTGGGGTGTTGCTTTTCTGGCCAGAAACCTCTGTGGCCAGGAGCACCTTTGCCTGAGTTCTTGTCCTGTGTCCAGGAAGAATGAGGTACACAGACAAGTGGAGGGTGAGCAAGACGAAGAGGAGCTTTATTAAGTGTCAGAACGGCTCAGAGGCTCTCAGCAGAGAGGAGGCTGGGAGTGAGTGGCTCCTCTCTGCAGGAAGGTCGTCCCAACGAGTGTTCAGCTCTCAGCAGAGAGGGCAGCTCCTCTCTGCAGTTGGTCGACCCAATGCCTGCAGCTATCAGCAGAGAGGGTAACTCCTCTCTGCAGTTGGTTGACCCAAGGCCTGCAATGCTCAGCAAAGAGGAGGCCCTAGTGAGGGTAGCTCCTTTCTGCAGCTGGTCATCCCGTCGTCTCTCTGTCCTCTTCTCCACTCTGGCTGAACCCAGGGCTTTTATGGGCCTCAGAGGGGAGGAAATTCATGCCAACTGGTGCATGGGCAGCCATGGGTGGGCCCGGAAAAGGCACCACAAGTCCCCACTGTGGTCCTCAGGACTGTCAGCCTGGCCCCCAGCCTTCAGGCCCACCCTGGCTTGAAGGTGGAGCCTCACCAGGGACCTGCCCATTCCCTCCCAGGAGCCTGTCTGCCTCCCACTGCCGCCCATGGTGCCCAGGCCGCTCGTGCCAAGGGGTGCCCACAGGCCAGCACTGAGCTGCCCCCAGCTCCATCTTGGCCTCCCTCCCACACTCATTGGTGCCCAAAGTCTGGAGGGGCTGAGGTGGCAGGGGACTGGCATCTCGGCACTGCTCTGAGGGTGCACACCCGGCTGGGCTGCAACAACACCCGGGCTTGGCCCCGACCCCACTCCAAGATCAGAGTGGGCGCCAGGAGCAGGGACACCCCCAAGCCTGTGGTGTTAGGGGGTCCTCCCTGGCCCCCAAGACCACCAGGAGGCCTGGGTCCACACAGCAGCAACCTGGCTGGCTGCAGCTGCCCCCGTGGTGCTCCCGCCCTGCCAACCCTGCACAAATAAACCCACTGCTCCCAGGGCTGGTTCCACGAGACCCGGCTGTGCCTTCAGCTGGGTGCTCACGGGCTCCCGGGACACGGCAGGAAGCGAGGTTGAGGTGGCTGTGGGGGTTCCAGGCCTGGGAGTGGGTCTTGCCCGGCTGTGGGGGTTCCAGGCCTGGGAGTGGGTCTTGCCCGGCTGTGGGGGTTCCAGGCCTGGGAGTGGGTCTTGCCCGGCTGTGGGGGTTCCAGGCCTGGGAGTGGGTCTTGCCCGGCTGTGGGGGTTCCAGGCCTGGGAGTGGGTCTTGCCCGGCTGTGGGGGTTCCAGGCCTGGGAGTGGGTCTTGCCCGGCTGTGGGGGTTCCAGGCCTGGGAGTGGGTCTTGCCCGGCTGTGGGGGTTCCAGGCCTGGGAGTGGGTCTTGCCCGGCTGTGGGGGTTCCAGGCCTGGGAGTGGGTCTTGCCCGGCTGTGGGGGTTCCAGGCCTGGGAGTGGGTCTTGCCCGGCTGTGGGGGTTCCAGGCCTGGGAGTGGGTCTTGCCCGGCTGTGGGGGTTCCAGGCCTGGGAGTGGGTCTTGCCCGGCTGTGGGGGTTCCAGGCCTGGGAGTGGGTCTTGCCCGGCTGTGGGGGTTCCAGGCCTGGGAGTGGGTCTTGCCCGGCTGTGGGGGTTCCAGGCCTGGGAGTGGGTCTTGCCCGGCTGTGGGGGTTCCAGGCCTGGGAGTGGGTCTTGCCCGGCTGTGGGGGTTCCAGGCCTGGGAGTGGGTCTTGCCCGGCTGTGGGGGTTCCAGGCCTGGGAGTGGGTCTTGCCCGGCTGTGGGGGTTCCAGGCCTGGGAGTGGGTCTTGCCCGGCTGTGGGGGTTCCAGGCCTGGGAGTGGGTCTTGCCCGGCTGTGGGGGTTCCAGGCCTGGGAGTGGGTCTTGCCCAGCTGTGTGAGGGTGGGGGTGGCACCGTCGGCAGCCTTGGGGACATGGGGCACTGGGGACCTGCTGCCGCCACTGCTGCTCCTGCAGTCATCCTGCTCCCCTGTCCGCCTCCTTGCAGCCTGGGGTGAAGACTTTCGGCCCTCACAGAGCCCGGGTCGGCATCCGGGGCAGAGGGAGGCGATGTCACCACAAGATCCCCCTGCAGTTCCAACACTCAGGGGCAGCCTGGGGCCGCCCCTCACCCGACTCGCAACCATGCTGGGAGACACCTCTGGGAGCGGACTGTGGGCCCCGGTTCCAGCTACTGGAAGCACCAGGCTCCGCAGGGGCAGCAGGAGCAGGTACTTCTGAGCCTACAGGGGGCCGGGTGGGGGCCTTCCTGGGCCCCCAAGAGCACAGGAATATTGAGGTGCACGCAAACGAACCCAGTGCCCAGGAGGGCCGAGCTCCTGCCTGCTCTGTGGAGTGGGAGGCCCTGCCATGCCTCTCCGCTGCGGCCAGCATCTTGGCAGTGTCCACTCTAGATGGGCCACCGCTGCCATCACTCCTGCCTCAGCCTCCCGAAGTGCTGAGATTACAGGTGTGAGCCACTATGCCCAGCCTTATCATTGATTTTTAAGAAATTTCCTCAAAGGCTGCCGCTGACCCCTGCCCTCCCCCGCCTGTGTCCTCGGCCGCCTTCACCTTCTCACGCTTGGTCTTTCTGAGCACCCTGCTTAGAAACGCAGTCACGCTCACATGGGCTGCTGCCTTCCCGGGCTTCCTTTCTCTCCACTGCCCTTGCCGCCAGCTGGTATACCAGATGTGTTATTGATGGCGTCGTCGTGCCCCGCTCCCCCCCGTATTAGAATGTAAGATCCTTGGGGGCAGCAGTTTTTGTCTGTTCCGTTCCCTGCCTTTTCCTCAGTGCGGGACATGTAGTGAGTGTGCAATGAATCATTGCTAAACGGATTAAATGATGGTGTGAATCGTCCAGATTACATGGAATTTTGACTTTTTTGTTTTCCAAGGTTAATTCTCTTTCTGATGTGCAGGCTTCCCCTGCCTGTGGTTTACATTTCTTCTATCCTTTTCTCATTTTCTTGGGTTAGCGTGGATCATTAAATCCAAGGCTAGTTCTTCTCTTGCTGCGAAACATCTGTGAGTGGGGACAAGTCCATCTGAACTAGATACACAGGGATCAGCGGGCAGGACAGCTGGTCAGCACATGGCTTCTGGGCATGTGTGTGGCCAGCCATGTCCCCTGCCCTGCGGGCACCTCTGTGGACCTGCACACCTGTGGACCAGCAGGACCTGTGAAGCCCACACCAGGCGACTGGATGCCGCTCTGGTCCACGGCAGGTCCCCCTGGTTCTTCCTTCGGCTCCACCGCCCAGCTGCCGTGAGTGCACGGTGAGCAGTGACCTCAGGACGTATCTGCAGAGGACAATTCTGGCTGCTGGGCCTAGGAGCTATTTTCCCACCCCGTGTGAACGAGGAGGTAGAAAGAAGAGTGACCGCTCAAGATGTGCCTGTCCTAGTCCCAGAACCTGTGACTGTTACCTTCATGGCAAAGGGGTTTTGCAGATGTGACTGAGTGAGGGACGTGATGGTTATCGTGGGTTTGCTGGGAGGGCCCAGTGTCATCGCAGGGGGCCTTATAAGAGAAGGCAGCAGGGTCAGAGTCACAGGAGGAGATGAGGGAGAGAGGGAGAGAGAGAGTGAGTGAGAGAGGGGAAGAGGCCAAGCTGCTGAAATCCAGGTGGCCTTGAGAAGCTGGAGAAGGCACGGACGCAGACTCACACCTAAGTCTCCCGAAGGAACCAGCCCTGCTGACACCTTAATTTTAGCATTTTTTTTTTCCGAGACAGGGCCTTGCTCTGTTTCCCAGGCTGGAGTGCAGTGATGCAACCACAGCTCACTGCAGCCCTGACCTCCCGGGCTCAGGTGATCCTCCTGCCTCAACCTTCCAAGTAGTTGGGACTACAGGTACACACCACCGTGTCTAGGGATCCGGACGCTTCAGCCTCCCAAAGTACTGGGATTACAGGCGTGAGCCACTGTGCCGGGCTTAGTTCTAGGACTTTTTATCTCCAGAACTGTAAGATAATAATTTTTTTAAGCCACTACATTTGTGCCAATTTGCTACGGCAGCCACAGGGAACTCACACACTCACTCGCTGCCTGGCAGAGTACAGCCTCCCTCCTGTGACCTGGCCCAGGCCAGGACTGAGCTGGACCCACAGGCAGAGAGGAGACAAGGCAGGAGTGGGCTTCGACCAGCCTCTGAGTCTGTCCTTCTCTGGTGTCCTGCTGACCCTGACCTGGAGGGTTCCAAAGTCATACAGGCCCCCTGATTACGGCTTCACTGGCTTGAGTTGGGTTTCTGTTTCTGGCAACCCTGAGTTCTGCCTGATCACCCCCAACCCCAGCACACGACATGCCCCACCTGGGTGCAGCAGCTCCTCCACCCTAGAGGAGGCTGGGGTGGGAATGACACCCCGATTCTGTTTGCAGAATGAGGGGAACTGAGGTGGTGACTGCTCATTCCTCGCCTCAGTGTGGGAGGGCCCTGTGCTATCTATGTCTGTTATCAGCGGGCACAGACCCCATAGACACAGGGCGGAGGAAGTCGGAAGCCCCCTCCCCACAGGGCCCGGCACAGAACCTCACAGGCAGGAAGGGGAAAGTGGTCTTGGGGGTAGGAGAAGGAGAGGTCCGGAAGGGCTGCGGCTGGGAGTCAGGAGGTCGTGCTCAGGGTCCCCCAGGGGAGAGGACTCTACCTCTCAAGAGAACAGGCACAGAGGACTAGTCAGAACTAAAAAAAATATTTCATTTCATTCTGAATAAAAAACAGAACAGACAGAACTCTTGGAAATTCTGAAAACAATGTCATCGCTACAGCAAAATTTCACAGAAATCATCGCAGAGTGGGGACCAAGGCCAGGCCCTGACCCGCCGTGAAGGCTGCCTCTCCGGGGAGGGGCACGACGCCCAGTGGGCCAGAGAGGGGCAGGCACAGGCGGTGGCTGTGCCCCTCTGACCAGCCCTGCCGGGTCTCTCGGGACCGAGCTCAAAGCCCAGCCCCCAGCAGCTGCCTCGGGACTCCCACCGGGGCTGGGAGGGGCTGCCCGTCCTCAAGACGCCCCCGTGCGAGAGCCCTTCCTGCTGCGGACGCTCCACATGCCCCTCTTGGAGTGGTAGTGGTGATAGAAATTCCGCAGTCGGAGCCGCTCCACCTCCAGCCCTGCCTGCAGGACCCTGGGGCCGGGGGCAGAGAGGTGGTCAGGACCCCGGGGTTGGGGACGGAGAGGTGGTCAGGACCCCGGGGCCGGGGGCGGAGAGGTGGTCAGGAACCCGGGGCCGGGGGCGGAGAGGTGGTCAGGACCCCGGGGCCGGGGGCGGAGAGGTGGTCAGGAACCCGGGGCCGGGGGCGGAGAGGTGGTCAGGACCCCGGGGCCGGGGGCGGAGAGGTGGTCAGGAACCCGGGGCCGGGGGCGGAGAGGTGGTCAGGACCCCGGGGCCGGGGGCGGAGAGGTGGTCAGGAACCCGGGGCCGGGGGCGGAGAGGTGGTCAGGACCCCGGGGCCGGGGGCGGAGAGGTGGTCAGGACCCCGGGGCCGGGGGCGGAGAGGTGGTCAGTACCCTGGTCCAGGGGCTGGGGGTGTCAGGGCTGCCTCGAGCCTGCATGGCCCCAGTGGGATGATGGGGACTCAGGGCCACCCAGGGCCTATGGGATCGGGGGCAGAGCTGGTTCAGGGATGTCCCTGACCTTGCAGGACCCTGGGGGTGGGACAGGGTTTCAGAAGTGATGTGGGTGGAGGAGTCTCTCCAGGCCTACAGGATACTGGGAAGACCGGGAAGGGCAGAGTTCTCTCAGCATGTGGGCGCCGTGGGGGGCATAAATCCCCCTTCCCCATTCAGAGGAGGAGGACGCAGGGGTCAGGGTGTCACCTCTGGGGAGTGGGGAGGTGGTCACCTGTCCAGGAGCTCCCAGTCTTCACCCCCCCACTGGTCTCGGAACTCCTCCGTGTTCATTCCTCCAACCCGGTCAAAGTCCGACTTGTAGATCCCAAAAAGGCCAAAGCCGTTCACCTCCCAGTAACCTGGGGCGGGAGGGTGAGGGGTGCTACCCTTCAGACCAGGTCCTGCAAGGTCCCCCCGGCAAAGCGCCGCTAGGAGACCTCGGGAGGGGTCAGGTGCCGGGTCCCATCACCACGGGGGCTTCCGGGAGTCGTCCGGTGGTACTGGGTCATGACCCTGGAGCGCGGTGCATAAACGCGGGATACTGGAGGAGGTTCCTGGGGCCCCTGGCATGGCCCTGGGTGTGCTGGTGCGGGGGGACTGGGGCTCTGGGCACTACGGGGAGCACTGATGGACTCCCAGGCCTCCCCTGGGAATTGAGAGAGGCCCCGGGTTCCTGGACTTTACCGCGGCGGTTGGTGGGAACCCTGGTATCACAGGGTGGGACGCTCGGGGCCTCACCGTGGGGGTCCCGGGGCGAGCTCCCGCAGCTCAGGCGCATGACCACGGGCGCGAAGGCCAGCCTGCCCTCCACGCAGTGCTTGCGGATGCCGTCCAGGATGTTGGGTGGGAAGTGGATGTGCAGGTCGCAGAGGAACACGATGCTGCTGGCGTCCTGGGGGGTGCGGGAGGTCTGAGCCCCGCCCTCCGCTCCTCCCCGGGCACGCCCCGTTTTGCTCCCCGACCCCCATGGGGCCCTCGGACCTCTACCGCGTCCACTCCCGCCTGCAGCCCGGCGGAGCGCTCGAAGTTCCCGGTTCGTCTCAGGTACTGGTACCTGGGGAGGGCGAGTCACAGGCACGATCTCTGGGGGTGGGGTCAGGAAAACCCATCTCCCGGGGAGGAAAGCTGCGCTGGGTCCGCCCAGGTGGAAGTAGGGGTCGTTACCGGGGCAGGCGCGCGGCGCGCAGGGCCCGCTCCACGTCCATATCCTCGCTCTCGAAATCCACCAGGACGACGCTGAAACGCGAGTCCCCGGTGCGCGCGTGCAGCGCAGCCATGTCCGCCAGGAACTGTGCCACCCACCGTGCCTGGTTTTTCACTGGAGGAGAAAAGGCGGGGGGGGCGCTGAGCCGACGCTGACTCTACGGTGGGGCCTCCCAGCTCCGAAGAACTTCATCCCGGACACCCACACCCTTTCCTAGTCATTAGGGTCCATGTTCCTTCCACGAGGTCTCCCGGACACCCCGAGCCCGCCCTGCGAACCTGGCACGATGAAGTGAACCATCACGTCCTGGCGCCAGGCCAGGCGCAGTGGCCGGCAGAGCTCGGGGCGGCCGTCGGGGCGCACGGAGGCGGCGGGAGCGGGTTCGGGACTTTCTCCGTCTGCATCCCCTACGCGGGCTCCCGGCAGCCGCAGGAAGACGTACTCGGACAGTCGCAGGCGGCCGCCCCCGCGCTCCTGCAGCTCCAGCTCCAGCAGGAAGCGACTCCCTCGCGCCGAGTCCCGGCGCTTCTCCACGTTCACGATGCGCAGAAGCGCGAAGCGCCTGCAAGGCTCAGCGGTCAGCCGGTACTGGGGCTTCCAGCCTGCACCCCGCCCGCAACCCTGGTCCGCCCTGGCCACAGAAACTCAGCCGACTTGGAGTTGGCGGAGGCTGCGGGCTCCGCGGCACAGCACCTGCCCCTCCAGGTTGGCCCAGCAGGCAGGTCCACCTTCCAGCCACCCCCTCCAGGGTCGGGGCAGGACTGGGGGCACACCAGCGAGCCCAGGCCCATCCTCACCTCCTCGCGGGCCTCCTGGCCACCACTCACGTCCCAGGTGACGTTTATGACATGCCCGCCTGTCCTGTTACCCCCTTGCTCAGAAACCTTCAGGAGTTAGCCACCGCCCATAGGACAAGGTTCCAAGGGGCTTTTGTGGCATTCTAGGACCTTAAGCAGTTTTGATTTTGTGGCTTTCAACCTTCCCCTCATACTGGGGTAGCAGACTCCTCCTCAGGCACAGCCACTGTCTCCTCTCCTTTGTCCTGAGGAGTCCCCTGCCTGGGATGTTTGCCCCAGTCCTCCCAGCCACTCCTCTTCCAGGCCCTGGGTCACCTCTTCTGAGAAGCCCCCAATCGTGCCTTCACAGCACCCCTTTCCCCCAGGCAGCAGTTCCGCTCCTGTCCTGATCCCTGAGTGGAGGAGGCTGCTTCCATGCTGGGAGCCCGTTCCTGGCCCCTTCCTCCTCATTCCACTCGGCCAAGAACCTCAGTTTCCCTCCACTCTGCTCTCCTCATCTGGAGAAAACAGGACCCTGCCCTAGACGATGGTTTCTCTTCAGTCGGCCTCACGTCCTCCCTTGGCAGTCTGTGCCTTTCACTGGGGGACGCCCACCTGTGTGACAGCTGAGGGTCCAAGGCCTCCCTCCAACTCCTGTCCTTCCCCACCCCAAAGCCCTGAGTGTCAGGGACCTCCTGCCCCAAATGCTCTTGGTCTCTCTACACTGTTGCTCCTTGAGCCATACCCAGGTGGGCATTGGTGGGGCCACAACCATGATCTTCCCATGAGGCCCCCAAGAAATGACGAGCTGCTCTCAGGAAGCTTAGAGCCGGGGCAGGCGTGCCCTCTGAGCCACCTAGAATCCAGCACCCACCGCCCAGGGCTCCAGGCTGTCAGTCACCACCACCACCTTCCCTTCCCCTCCAGGCAGAGGCATACCTGTCTGCACCCAAACCGGTGGAATTCCTGCTCTGCTCGCAACCTTCCATCATGCACACAAGAAACAGTCACATGCAGCTGTGCCTCCATCCTCTGCCCCTGCCTTTGCTCTGCTCGCAACCTTCCATCACACACATGAGAAACAGTCCTGGCCCTGTCTCCATCCTCTGCCCCTGGCTTTGCTCTGCTCGCAACCTTCCATCACGCACAGGAGAAACAGTCCCGGTTCTGCCTCCATCCTCTGCCCCTGCCTCTGCCTGTCATCACTGTGCAACTCCTAACTCGCCTTCAAGGCTGGGCACAGCAGACACTGCCTCTTCTTAGAACTCCACAGGCCTCCCCAAGGCCAAATTAGACTCCCCACTCCTGCCCACCAGCCTGCAGGGAGGGCAGACAGCACTAGATTCCTGGGGCCTCAGGGAGACCAGAGGGGCCAATGGGGCAGAAGCCCTGCACCTTCCTCTGCAGTCGGGTCCTGACAGTCTGGGAACGCCCAGGGGCACTGCGAGGGGAGAGGAGGAGGGGCCCAGGGGTCTTGAGCTTTGCCCTAAGGGTCTCTGCCTGGCCCCCCCGGAATGGGGCTGTCTGCGCAGCAACTGGATGCGACTGACGCTGATCTCTGCAGCTTGGACTCATCCCTGGGCCCAGGTCCAGGATGACAGAAGTGGGGTACACAGGTGCAAGGATGGGGCGCCAGCCCTGGGTGGGGCTCCAGGGAGGTCCCTGAGGCTGGACAAGTGCCCGGGCAGTCAGGACGCCAGGAAGGAAGGAGAGAAGCTGGGGCTTCCCTGGGGTGGGGCGCGGTGCCTCAGCCCCCAGGCCGGTACACCACTGGGCCCTGGGGAAGGTCTGAGGAGTCCGCCAAGGCCAGGACCTCCTCTCCCCGGCTGTCCCCGCCTCCAAAACCGCCCTGGCGCGCGTTCGGCCGCCCCCATACCCGCCGTGGCGCGCGTTCAGCCGCTCCATGTACTGAGCGGTCACGTCCACGGCCTCCGCCTCCGGCAGCTGCAGGTTCCCCGAAACGTTGCATCGCAGGTCGTTCCAGTCCGAGCGCAGCAGCTCGAAGTCCACGGCGCCCACGCTGAACGTGCGCTGCCAGTCGATGGCGTCCTCACGCCAGCGTCCGAGCGCCGGGCCCGCGGCCTCCTCGCTGTCCTCCGACGCGGCCTCGTCGCCCGGGGCCCCATCGTCCTCCCCTTCCTCCTCCTCTTCGCCCTCCCCGGGCAGCTGCGGCCCGGACACCTGGGACAAGCTCAGGAAGGAGGTCACGGGCCGCGCTTCGGAGGACAAGTTTGAGTCCACTGTGGGCGCCGCAGGTCCCAGCGTGCGCGCCTGGCCCTCCCGGCCCCCTTGGGTGGCCTGCGCCCGGGCTGGGGGCCTCGGCTGTGTGGCCTGGGGGCCGCCGGTCCTGCGGCCGTGGGGCCGGGGTGGGCGTGGGGGCGCCCGCAGCTGCACTCTGGGCAGAGGCCTGGGGTGCAGGAAGACGCCAGGGAAGGGCGGCCAGGGCGCACGCGGCGCTGGGGCCCGGGGGGATGCCCGCTGTCCCGGCCGCACCCTGGTCACGTACACCTTTGGGGGCGGCTGCTCCACTGCAGGGCGCGGGGGCGGAGCTCGGCCCAAGAAGAGCGGCAAAGGGCGGGCGGCCCTGGCGGCCCAGCTCAGGGCCCGGGAGTGCCTGGGGGTCCCCCCGTCCCGGGGGCGGGGAGGGGTCGGCGGGGCGAGGGTGGCTCCGGGCTGGGCGGGGGCTGCTGGGGCGGGGGACTGGGGGCCGCTCCTGGGCGGGGCCGCCTCGGTGGGCTCCAGGCTGTCGAGCAGCTCCCCCTCGTCCTCGTCGTCCAGGAAGTCTGCGGGAAACGCGGGTTAGAAGCTCCCTGCGCAGGTGGGTGCGGGCCAGGGGCGCTGCGGACACTCACCGTCCGGGTTGAGGAAGAGGAAGGCTCGGCGCTGCACCTCGTCTTCTTCATCCTCATCCCCCTCCTCCTTGTCCATCTTCATGTATTTATAGAACCCAAACCTGGGGCGCGGCGGGGCATCAGAGCCGAGTCCCGCCCCGCCCACCCCGCCCCGCATTAGCCCGGCCGCGCGCCCACCTCTCCAGATACAGCGGAGACTCGCGGTAGAAGCACTTGTTGTCCGTCTCCATGTGGGTGAGGCGAGTGTAGTCGTTGGGATAAACGAAGGACAGGTACACCTGGGGGGTGGGGGGGCGCAGGGCTCAGGGCGCGGACCTCCCGGGGCGGCCTCCCAAGGGGCTGGAGAAGGCTCCGCGGAGTCCCGGACGGGAGACGGGGTCTCCAGCCGCACTCACAAATTGCAGGCCCTGGTATCTGGCGATCGGGAAGTCCTTGACCACGTAGGTGGGGGCGTAGGCGCAGGGCTCCAGCACGTTCTCCAGGCTCGAAGATTCCATGCGTGGAGCTGCAGGAGGTGCGGTCACAGGGTGGCTGGGGCAGGCACCCCCGCCCTCGCCCCCGCGCGGGCCCCCTCTCACTGAGGAAAAAGGTATCCCTGGGATCTGGCCGCAGCATGTCTGCGCTGGTCTCCTCCTGCGGCGGACGCCCCCCCACGTGGCTGGCTGGAGACTGGGGGACGTGCGCCACGTGGTCCATCTTCAAGGCTGACTCATCTGGGGGCAGAAGAGTTCCAGGGAGTGCTCAGACCCCCTCCTCCACTCTTCCCACTCACACCCAGAGCCCATCCCGAGGAGCCCCACATCCCCAGAGGCGTCCGCTCGCACCTGTGTACAGGGAGATGTGAGCAGAGCTGATGACCTCGAACTTCAGGCCGGGCAGGAAAGCTCGCCACTGCGGGGCAGAGAGGGTGGGGGTCAGGGACAGGGCGGTGGCTGGGTCCAGGGAAGAAAGGGTCTACCCTGGCTCAGGGCCGGGGGACTAATAGGACCAATCCCTTAAAGGATGCAGGAGAGGAGATGGCAGAGGGGTCCGGGGCGTTCCAAGAAGGGGCAGCAGGGAAGCTGGGGAAGGAAGCCCAGAAAGCTGAGGGACCCTGGGAGCAGGGCCAGACCCCACCATGCTCCCTTCCTCACCTTTCCTCCTCCCTCCCTTCCTCCTCCCTCCCTTCCTCCTCCCTCCCTTCCACCTCCCTCCCTTCCTCCTCCCTCCCTTCCTCCTCCCTCCCTTCCTCCTCCCTCCCTTCCTCCTCCCTCCCTTCCACCTCCCTCCCTTCCTCCTCCCTCCCTTCCACCTCCCTCCCTTCCTCCTCCCTCCCTTCCACCTCCCTCCCTCCCTTCCTCCTCCCTCCCTCCCTTCCTCCTCCCTCCCTTCCTCCTCCCTCCCTTCCTCCTCCCTCCCTCCCTTCCTCCTCCCTCCCTCCCTTCCTCCTCCCTCCCTTCCTCCTCCCTCCCTCCCTTCCTCCTCCCTCCCTCCCTTCCTCCTCCCTCCCTCCCTTCCTCCTCCCTCCCTCCCTTCCTCCTCCCTCCCTTCCTCCTCCCTCCCTTCCTCCTCCCTCCCTTCCTCCTCCCTCCCTTCCTCCTCCCTCCCTTCCTCCTCCCTCCCTTCCTCCTCCCTCCCTTCCTCCTCCCTCCCTTCCCCCTCCCTCCCTTCCCCCTCCCTCCCTCCCTGAGGCCCCCCCGCCCCGCCTCAGGTTAAGATTTCCAACCCCACCCAGTGAGGGTCACTGCTGGCCCCCTAAGGGCCAGGCTGGATGCCCCCCCCACTCTACCCCCACCAAGTTGGGGCTCCAGGGGCTGTCTCAGGCCCTTCTGTTCCCACCTCATCCTGGGGCCTCCACAGACCACCCCAAACCCCTGTCTCCAGTCTGGGCCCTCTGCCCAGCTGAGCTGGGGTGAAACGTGCCCTCCACACACCAGACACAGGCACCATCGTGCTGCCCCCCACACCCACCAGGCTGCAGGCCCTCTGCCTTGCTGTATAACCCCTTCCGCCTTCCCCCGTCCATCCCCACAGCCACCTCCCTGGGTTTGAGGACCAAAGGCCACAGTAAAAATCCTTCCCCCAGGCTCTCTCCGCTTTGTGGCCAGGGGTTTTTTCCTGGAATGCAAATCCAATGGCCTCATTCTCAGGACAAAGGCCTATCTGTCCAGAGTGCTGCTCAGGCCCCGCCTGATCTGGCCACCAGACCCCTCCTAGTCTCGAAGACCCGGTTCCTCTGCTGGGTCTGTTCCTTCGCTGTTCTTGTGGTGTGGAATTCATCCGCCGTACACCCCACCCCAAATTCTCTGCCCCCCACATCTCCCTACTGAAGGTCTCCATCCTCTCAAGACTCTACTCAAAGGTGACTCCTAGTGAAGCCTCACCGAGCCCCCCAGGAGGGCAGAGCAGACCCTCCTGACCTCAGGCCCATGGCCCTGACCATCTGCTTTGTCAACTTTGGGACGGGGACCCCATTGCGGTTGTCCTGCAGGGAGGTGGGGGGAGTGGAGTCTCCAGAAGCCCCCAGGGGAGGAAGGCACTCACGCCCACTTCCACGTGGTCCGAGCCGCGGTCGTCCTGCTTGTGCAGCAACTCAAAGTAGTACCTCCGGGAGGCCATGAGCCTGGGGACACGAGGAGCAAGGGTCGTGCCATGCACAGGACGCTCAAATAGTGGAGGCAGGGAAGGGGGCAGGTGGCTCCCACACCCCTCAGGGCTGGCCCTCAGGAGGATGGCAGCTTGGCCGGGCGGGTGCTCGTGCAGAGTGTGCGCAAGTGTGCACAGGATAAGGAGACAGCGCGTAACCCCCTCCCACGAATACACAAGTGCACGCACATGCACCCCACAGTCACTCACCGCCTGGGCTTGGACACCTGGGAGCTGAACTTGGTGAATTCTCCAGGCGCTGTCCACTCGGAGCCAGTCTGGGGGGTGATAGAGCAGGGGTGGTGGTGGGGGGGGGGGTTCACTCTCTCCCTGGGGACACCAAACCCATCGGGTCCTCATTCCCAAGAGGCTGGTGGGCACAGGTGACTGAGCTGCAGGAGGCCCGGGACGACACCAGGGCTGGGGTGGGGGTACCTTGCCCACAAAGGCCACAAGCTGGGCAGCAGCAGGGCTCTCGTCCAGACTCAGCCAGAACTCCGAGTTGTCGTCTGAGGCCACAGAAAACTGGACGTCTCCTAGTCCACAAGACTAGGCTCAGGGGGGTGGAGCCTCACGGCACCCCTCCCCCGGGGCACCCTCACCCCCGTACCGTCCCTCGCCGGGTGGATGAAACCAAAAATACGGAGTCCATAGTTCTTCCACTTGGGGGACACGGCCAACTTCTTCACGGTGGTGCGCGTCTGGGGGGGCAGTGACTGTTGCTGTCGAAGCCCCCTGCGTGCCCTGCCCACCCGGCACCCCCCAACCCCGGCACTCACATGAGGGAACAGCGGGAAGTGCAGGTTCCTCCTCAGGTGGCCCACGGCGCCCCCACACCAGTCCTCAAACACGTGCAGGTTCACCTGCCCCTTGTACTGGGGATGGGGGGGCCTTACCTTCTGCACGGCCCGCCGCCCCCCCGCCCCAGCCCCCGCCCTGCCTCCCAGCCCATTACAGGCCGAGCCAGCTCACCTCCTCCCGCCATGGGGGTGTCTGATGGGTGAAGTTCAGTGGCAGCCTCCCAGCCCCCCCAGGAAACAGCATGTCTAGGTCCCGACCTTCGGGCTGCAGGAGAGAAAAGGCAACAGGGTCAGGGTTGGAAGGGCAGGGAGGAGGTCACACACACCAAGACAAACCTTCACAAAGACCCCTTCCAACATGTATCCACACAGCCCTAAATGCCCGTGAGCCCCAGCCATGCAAACCCTGACCTGTGGCACCTGGCACATACACTCAGACACCCTGGTCACTCTAGCCCAAGCAGATGCTTGGCCACCCCACACACTGACCGGCCGGCACATTCATGCACCTGCTGCAGCCCCCAGACACAGAGCTCCAGACAGGATGGCTGGTGCTGGAGCTCACACAGACAAGCTGTGCCGTGCCCCACATGTCCTGTGTCTCATGCCCCCTGCTGCGTCCTCCAGAATGGACAGGTTCTCAAGACACCAACACACAAGTGGCTTCGGGGTCTCGTCTCCGTGCACACGT
This sequence comes from Homo sapiens, assembly GCF_000001405.40. Lineage (NCBI taxonomy): Eukaryota > Metazoa > Chordata > Mammalia > Primates > Hominidae > Homo > Homo sapiens. The sequence goes on along the minus strand of NC_000011.10, from coordinate 372,235 downwards.
GTTCTCCCCAGGGCTCTGCTCACCGCTTGCTCCTCTTCACGGCTCTCACTGGAGTCCTCAGCCCTCTGTGTGGATGGCGCAGCGTGGACCCCCCGGCCGTCGGTCTCACTGGTCAGCTTCTCACCATCTGCAGGTGGCACATGAGGCCTGTCTCGGGCCCAGGCTCTCTCCAAGGCCATTCTGCCTGCTGCTGGGTTCAGCTGGGCCAGGGACCCACATGGCCAGAGCAGGGCAGGCAGGCTGTGGTGTCTCTCACTAAAGCCTCTCCTTCTCATCTGCTTCCTCTGCCACCAGATGCCCCTCCCCCCAGCAAGGCAACTTCTTCTACACCCCACCTCTGGTGGGGCAGCCCAGGCTGAGCCTTCCAGCAGGCTCTTCCCAACCTCCAGCAGGTGTGAGGGAGGAAAGCCGGGTGGGCCAGCTGGCGTGTGTAGGCACCCACATGCACCTCCATCTGGCCATTCTTGTTGAGTGGCTCTGCCTCCAGGAAGACCCCAGGACTGCCCTGTGCCCTCAGCACTTTCTCTGTGTGCTGGAGTGTTCCACGTCTGCCTCCCTTACCAGAACTGAGAACTCAGGGTTAGTGCCAGGGACTGTAGTCTCTCCTGAAGGATTTGAGCTCTCAAAGTCTGGACTGAGGAACAGGCATGGATGCTGACGCCCAGGCATGGCCCTGGAGCAGAGGGTGGCCCTGGATTGAGTGTCCTTGGGTAGGAGGACCAGGAGGGGCAGAATTGGGGTGAAGAGAAGCATCCCTACAGATGCTCAGATCCCAGGGCGTGGAACCCCCTGGGGCTGCAGTGGGGATGTCTAGGTCCTCAGCTTAGGGAGGTCCAGGAAGTGGAGAGGGCTGGGGTGCAGAGCTGGCCTGCCCAGGCTTGTGGGGAGGCAGTAGAGATGTCCACAGGCAGATCTGGGAAGGGTCCCCCAGGGCTCCCCTGACTTGGGCCCCAGGTCCCCCGACAGAACAGTCTGCTCACTCGCCCTCTCCCTGGGCAGCTGTTGGGCTCCTCTGGTCCTGGCCCTAGCCTCAGAGGTAGCAAGTGTACAGGTGCCCTGGGGCGGAGCTGGCTTAGCCTCAAGGGGTCCTTGGAAGAGGGGTCCCTATGCCTCCGCCCCCTCCTGGTTGGGCTTAGACCCCTGCGCTGCTCAGAAAACCACAGAGGAGCCTGCAGAGGGGGCTGGTTTTGTTCTGTGTCACTGGGCCAGCTGTGGATCCTGCCCTGTCTGCTGATAGCTGGGGTGGGGCTTTTTAGGGATTCAGCAGTATCGGGGGTCTCTTGAGGGTGTGGAAGCTGTGAGGTATGTGGGTTGGGACAAGCCCCAGACCCTTGGCCTGTGTGGGTCCAGGCGTCCCGGTACAGGAAGAGAACACAGGGGCTTTGGCAGGTGGAGTGGCCCAGGAGTCCCCAGCCAGTATCATTGTTCTGCCCCCTCAGGACACCTGGCTCCCTGGAAAAGGCTCAGAGGCAGCCAGCTGGGGTCTCTCCTGGTCTGGGCATGGCACTAACCTCCCTCCTCCAGAGGGGGCATTCTGCCCCACCTTCTCCCCCAACCCCACCGCCAGGCTTTCATCTGCGCCTTCCTGTCTGGAATGCTCTTTCCCCCAAAGGTGTATGTCAAAGATCACCATCTCCAGGAGGCCCTACCCCGGCTGGCTCACCGTGACCCCATCTGCTTTGTTTGTGGGTTGGGGTTGGGAGAGTTTACGCCAGGCTCCCCAAGCTGGGCCCCATCCCTACGCATGGACCCCCACAACACTGGCACAGTTCACCGAAGGCGCCCCCGCCGGGAAGCGTCCCAGCTGCACCGGCCACTTCAGCAAGCCCCGGCCCGGGTCCCCAGCACACAGGGAAACTGAGGCCCTGCTAAGCGGGCAGGGGGTGGAGGCGAGGCCTGAGAAGGCCTCTTGGAAGCCTCAGCAGGGTCTAGGGGCAGAGACTTCCCCAGGAGCCCACCGTCAGCCCCTCACTACCGGATCCAAGCCAGATCCCAGAGTCAGGGACCCTCTCTGGGAGGGTCGCGCGCGTCACTGCCGACGTCATCGAGCGTCCGGGCCGAGCCGAACCGCGCCCCCTCCCCCCAAATCGCAGAGCGGAGAACAGCGGGCGGGGTCTCCGGGAGGGTCGGGCCCAGCCGAGACCTCTGTGCGGTGGGAGGCCCGGCCCGCGCCCCGGGGCCCCCGCCGCCCGCGCCGCCCGCGCCCCCCGCGCCGCCCGCGCCCCCCGCGCCCCCCGCGCCGCCCCCGCCCCCCGCGCCCCCCGCGCCCCCCGCGCCGTACCTCGCCCGTAGCCCAGGCGCTGGCGCAGCGCGCGTCCCTGGCGCACCAGGCCCAGGTGCACGTAGGTGAGCCACGCGGCGCAGCTCAGCAGCAGCAGCAGCAGCAGCAGCTTCATCTGCTTACGGATCTTCTTCACCGGGAGCCGCGGCATCGCGGCCGCCGCGCCCGCCCCAGGCCGCGCTCAGCGGCGCCGCTGCAGCCCCCGGCCCCCGCCCGCCCCGCGCCGCATCCCCGGCCCGCCCCGCCGCGCTCAGCGCCCGCGGCCCCGCATGGTCCTTTGTCCGCCGTGCGCGGCCACCGGGTGCGGCCGCGACCCCCCCAGGCCGCCCTCGGCCGCGGGCCCGGGGTGGGCGGCGGGGGCGGCTCCTCGCGGTGCCCCCCGCCCGGCCGCTCCCGGCTCCGCGCTCCTGGGGCGGCGGCGGGACCGAACAGCATCCACGGCTGCCACCGCGGATCGGGCCCCGGCCGCGCGCGCGGAACCAATCGGACCGAGCCAGGCCGCGGGGAGCCAATGGCGGCGCGCGGGGAGGGGTGCGGGGCGCGGGAAGGCGGGGCGGGGCGCGGGGTGCGGGGCGGAGGAGGCGGGGCGAGGGGAGGCGGGGCGGGGCGGGGGGTGCGGAGGGTGCGGGGCGGGGGGTGAGGGGTGCGGGACGGACAGGGATGCGGGGCGCGGGGCGCGCGTCCACCTGGGCCACGGAGCGCGGGGGCGCGGCACACAGACGCGGGGCTGGGAAGCGCTGGGGCTCGGGGACCGTGGGGGGCGGCGGGGGATGGGCACAGCCTGACTGTGGGGCGGGGCGGCCTCCCGAGAACAGTGACCCGAAGGACTGCAGGCGGACAACACGGAGGAGGGAGGGGAGGGACCCGGGGTCCTGGGGGGCGGGGAATGGGGGCGGGCGAGAGAGGCCGGGGGGCGGGGGGGCCCAAGCACCGGCTTCAGCCCAGGGGTGGGAGTCGTTGCGGGATCTCAGCCTGCAGGGCTGGGGCCGCAGGGGGCCGAGCTGTCTGGGCGGCAGGAGGGGCCTCAGCTGGTGGCCCCCGCCCCACCGAGCGCGGCCTGAGGCAGGTGACAGTGTCGTGCCTCTCACCGGGACCTTGTCCCACTTCGTGCCCTTTCTCACCTGGTCTGCACCAACCCCTGCCAGTCCCTCTGTCCCCCCAGTACTTCCCTTGTCCAGCTGCCAGCGTGACCCTACTCTTCTCCCTCTGTCTGCTCAGCTGTCTCTGGGTGTGTAGCAAACCGCCCAGCTTCAGTGCTGTCCAACAGCAGCGTTCCTGTGTTCCTGTGTCCTGTGGGTCAGGAACTCAGGGCACTCGGGGACAGCTCCTCTCTGCTCCTCGAGGTGCTGGCCTCCGGTGGGAAGACGTGAGTGGTGGGGCCGGCTCCGCGGGACAGGCTGGAGCCATCCAGAGACTTCTGCCCCAAGCCAGTGCACCCTCGGCAGGAATGGCTGGGCTCACCCCGGGTGGTTGGCCAGAGCGCCTGCAGGCTCAGCTGCCAGGGGCAGCCTCCCGGTCCAGCACACAGAGTGAAGCATCTTGGAGTCACCCCTCAGGTTTGCCACATGCCGCACGGCCACCCAAGTTCGTGGGTTGTGGGGACGTGGACCCCACCTCACAATGGAAGATTGCCCAGAAGTTGCCTTCTTAAGACCTCAACTCCTTCCCTCCTTCCCCTCCATCCTCCTCCCCTAACTTCTGAGCACAGAAGCAAGCTGGTTACATCCTGCTGTTCATACCGGCCCTTAAACAACACCCGGTCTCTCAAACCTTCCCCCACCCCATCAGCTCCTCATCTCCTGCCTCCTGCAGTCCACTTTTCATATTTCTGTTATCTGCATATTCATTAAAATATAGTGCCCCACCCCTTTTTGAGACAGGGTCTCACTGTGTCTCTGAGGCTAGAGTGCAGTGGTGCAATCTCAGCTCACAGCAGCCTTGACCTCCTGGGCTCAAGCGATCCTCCCACTTCAGGTTCTTGAGGAGCTGGGACTACAGGCATGCATCACCATGCCGGACTAATTTTTTGTATTTTTTTTTTTAACAGATTCAGGGTCTCACCATGTGTCCCGGGCTGGCGTTGAACTCCTGGGCTCAAGTGATCCTCCCGCCTTGGCCTCCCAAAGTGCTGGGATTCCAGGCGTGAGCCACTGTGCCCGGCCAGTGGTGCTCTTTTATGTGTCTCATTCTGTTTCTCCAAGTCCCATATTTTCTATGTGCATCTGTCTGGCTGTGCGTCTAATGCTTTCCCTCTTTCCACTGCATGGCACCCCATCCTAGGCACATTCATCCAGCCAGTGGACGCTACCTAGTATTCTAGTGTCCTGACGAGCCAGGGACTTAGGGGACACAGCAGTGAGCAAGACAGAAAAGGGCCCTCCTTTCATGGAGTTTACATGTTACTAGGCAGGGACAGACCAGTGAACGCATAGTCGCTTTGCTGGTGGTGAGTGACGTGAAGGAGATGAGCTGGGTGATGGAGGGAGGCCGGCTCCCGCTCCAGGGTCGCTCTCTGGGGAGGCAACGGCTGGCCTGACCCGTAAACAGGTTCTTAGAAGGCAAGTGTTGGCAATGTCGGGAGAGACGTGTTTGGGACACTTCATGGGTCCACAGTCAGAGGGTGTCCCCTGTGGATCCAAAGCATAGTAGGTACAATTGAGGGGCGAGCTGGGATCTGCCGGACGCAGATGCTCCATATGCTACCACATCCGTCTCGGCCCCTTCTGGAGAAGAACGGCCACCGCCTCACTTCGGTGTGACCCAGCCACAGAGGAGAAGGTTCTGGGAAATGGGTCTCCAGCTTAGAATAAGAGAACAACCTGGCCGGGCGCGGTGGCTCACGCCTGTAATCCCAGCACTTTGGGAGGCCGAGGCGGGCGGATCACGAGGTCAGGAGATCGAGACCATCCTGGCTAACACGGTGAAACCCTGTCTGTACTGAAAATACAAAAAATTAGCCGGGCGTGGCGGCGGGCGCCTGTAGTCCCAGCTACTCGGAGGCTGAGGCAGGAGAATGGCGTGAACCCGGGAGGCGGAGCTTGCAGTGAGCCGAGATCGCGCCACTGCACTCCAGCCTGGGTGACAGAGCGAGACTCGGTCTCAAAAAAAAAAAAGAGAGAACAACCTGGCAGGTTCCTCCTCTTGACAACTCAGCACAGACGCACACTTCTTTTAAAAAACACATTTAACTTCCAAATAAAGCAAAAAACAAAGTCATGCTTCTACGTAACATGATGCAAATATTCCAACCAGAAGGGACTGAACAAAAGGTTCGTGTCATGTTATCCACATTTGAGAAGACGATCCTCGTTCTTCTAGTTTCTCTAAGAGCGTTTAACACTTGACACTGCAAAGTGCATGTTGGGGGTTGGATGACACAAATACTGAGATGAAATGTAAAGTTAACTGTTGTTAACGCATTTTATGCAGCTAGGAGGGCAATGGAAGAGGAAAAAAGCAGGAAGAACGGATAATGTCAGTACAAGTGTGACTTGTGTGAGGATAAGAAGTACTCACTTCTACGGTCACCAGGTCGTGGCTGGTACAGTCTTTATGGCCACGCTCTTCCGTCACTCCTGCGTGGTCCCTTTGCCCTCTGCAAGCACCTCTGCTGGTCGTGGTTCACTGTCTGGTGGGGTGACCCAAACGTTCCTTCCCAAAAGGCCTATGCTGTTAGCAGTTTTGCCTTATGGGGTGGTTCTGGTTTTCCAGTGGTGTTTTCTGCAAGGCTTAGAGGAGCTACGTGATATTACAGACGATCTCCTGCCTCCCAAATTTCTCCCCCTTAGCCCCATTCTGTGATCAGGTTCCAAGTTCCCCTTGTTGGGCTCAGTCAGCCGGACCAGCACAGGGACCCTCTTCTTTGTCGACCCCCTGGTGTGAGGAACCGGCGTCCAGGTGGGCAGTCTCAGCTTCCTGCGTAACGTGTCCCCTGGTGGAAACACTCCAGGGCTTTCCCAGGACCGAGGGGATTCCTAGGACATGGAACTTTCCGTTTTAAACCTGGGAAAGTCGGCTGGGCGCGGTGGCTCACGCCTGTAATCTCAGCACTTTGGGACGCTGAGGCAGGTGGATTACCTGAGGTTGGAAGTTCGAGACCAGCCTAACCAACATGGAGAAACCCCGTCTCTACTAAAAATAAAAAATTAGCTGGGCATGGTGGTGCATGCCTGCAATCCCAGCTACTAGGAAGGCTGAGGCAGGAGAATTGCTTGAACCCAGGAGGCGGAGGTTGTGGTGAGCCGAGATCGTGCCATTGCACTCCAGCCTGGGCAACAAGAGCAAAACTGAGCCTCAAAAAAATAAAAAATAAAAAAATGAAAATAAGACCGGCAAAGTCTTAAGCAAACTGGGATGAGTTGGTCCCTGGGAATCTGAGGCCTCTAGACCAACAGCGTGCAACACTGCAGGGGGCAAAACTTTCACTTGTGGCTCACTGGGGATTAACGACAATGGGAAGAAGTTGGGGTTTCCACTCCTCCACGCCTGGACCAGTGAGCCCCGGCTTTGGGAAAAGCCAGAGATTAAGTGCTGATTCAGTGGATCCGCTGCATCCAGAGGACCCCAGATCCACAGCATTGTCACTCAGCTGGTGCCAAAACTGAGCCTCCCAAAGGCCATTCCATCAGGAACACGGCGAGATCTGTGGGTTCCAGGAGCACCGGCCGGTTGCTGTCCCCAGGACAATGGCGATGCCGCCATGAGGAGCACCCCGTGGGTGGACGAGGAGCTCTGAATGTGTGGGGTGGTGGTTTGGGCAGAGGCATTGAGGGCACTGACCATCCACAGCTGGGGTGGGAGCCCATCCTGCTGGGACAAGCATCCTCCATGGTGGAGGAAGGGGCCAGTGTTGGTCTCCGCTGTTGGCTGCGCGGTGCCCAGGGTAATCCGCTTCCCACTGCTACAGCCACTTGGCCCGACTCAGGACAAGGGGAGCTGGGGAAAGAGGCTGCCTGATGCGCACAAATGGGTCATTTTGTCCGTCTGACTATTAGGGTCCCTCCTCTGCTGAGACAGGTCTTTGCACACAAATTCTTTATGCTCTGCCCACCCCAAGAGGTCTGTCTACATACCTTCACCCCGACCGTTTCATCTCTAACTTTGTAATCGTGCCCCTCCAAGTGCCTGGCCATCAGCTAGACGGTCGGCCGTGGCCGGGGCGTCCACGGAACTCTGCCTCCTCCTCCATCCTGCTTGCTGCTCGGCCCTGCGAGGACCTGCCTTTGCACCTGTCGTGCAGGCCTGGCCTCCCACACCCAGGTGAGGACCTGCCTTTGCACCTGTCGTGCAGGCCTGGCCTCCCACACCCAGGTGGCGCTGCCGTGCTGGGGCGCCCACTTCGGGGTGGTGCCAGCTTATTAGGCAGAGCCATCTGTGACCAGGGCTGCATTGTGCTTTCTGAGTCATCTGGTCCGAGGGAACGCCTCACGACCCAGTGGTGTATTTCAGAGAGATGAGGCAGAGTGAGGGGAGCTGCCTGTTCATGCCTGTTCAGGACCCACCTCCTCCACTGGCTTCCCAGGGCCCCCAGGACCTGTTTGAGCTGACCACGTGTAGACCACTTCCGTCGGTGGCATCTGCTGTGCACACCCAGCCCTGAGGCTGGTGGGTCCGACCACACCCAGTGCACGATGGCAGCCCAGGCGTTAGAATGTGCCTTTGGGGTTGGGCACGGCGGCTTATGCCTGTAATCTCAACACTTTGGGAGGTGGAGGTGGGAGAGGACGCTTGAGCACAGGAGTTCGAGACCAGCCTTGGCAACACAGGGAGACCCTATCTCTACAAAAAACACAAACATTTGCCAGGTGTGGTGCAAACCTGTAGTCTCAGCTACTCGAGAGGCTGGGGTGGAAGGATTGCTGAGGCCTGGGAGGTCGAGGCTGCAGACCTGTGATTATGCCACCGCACTCCAGACTAGGCAACCAAGCAAGATCCTGTGCAAAAAAAAAAAAAAAAAAAAAAAGAATGTGGCCCTTGGCCCTGCTCAGTATCTGGAGCCTGGTGGGGCCGGGACAGCTCTCCCCAGACGGTGGGGGCCGGGACACCTCTCTCCAGACGGTGGGGCCGGGACAGCTCTCTCCAGACGGTGGGGCCGGGACACCTCTCTCCAGACGGTGGGGCCGGGACACCTCTCTCCAGACGGTGGGGCCGGGACAGCTCTCTCCAGACGGTGGGGCCGGGACACCTCTCTCCAGACGGTGGGGGCCGGGACAGCTCTCTCTCCAGATGGTGGGGGCCGGGACACCTCTCTCTCCGGATGGTGGGGGCCGGGACAGCTCTCTCTCCAGACGGTGGGGCCGGGACAGCTTTCCCCAGACGGTGGGGCCGGGACACCTCTCTCCAGACGGTGGGGCCGGGACAGCTCTCTCTCCAGACGGTGGGGGCCGGGACAGCTCTCTCCAGACGGTGGGAGCCGGGACACCTCTCCCCAGACGGTGGGGCTGGGACAGCTCTCTCCAGACGGTGGGGCCGGGACACCTCTCTGCAGACGGTGGGGCCGGAACAGCTCTCCCCAGACGGTGGGGCCGGGACACCTCTCTCTCCAGACGGTGGGGCCGGGACACCTCTCCCCAGACGGTGGGGCTGGGACACCTCTCTCCAGACGGTGGGGTCGGGACACCTCTCTCCAGACGGTGGGGCTGGGACAGCTCTCTCTCCAGACGGTGGGGGCCGGGACAGCTCTCTCTCCAGACGGTGGGGGCCGGGACAGCTCTCCCCAGACGGTGGGGGCCGGGACCCCTCTCTCCAGACGGTGGGGCCGGGACAGCTCTCTCTCCAGACGGTAGGGCCGGGACAGCTCTCTCCGGATGGTGGGGCCGGGACACCTCTCTCCAGACGGTGGGGGCCGGGAGAGCTCTCTCTCCGGACGGTGGGGGCCGGGACACCTCTCTCCGGATGGCGTGGGCTGCAACAGCTATGTCCAGA